>NC_000009.12:131358730-131672548 GCF_000001405.40 Homo sapiens
CTGACCGTCCCACCCTAATCATTTATCATGCAGATGGAGTCTCTACCTGGCCGGTGCCATGACACCTGCACACGTGGCAACAAAGAAAAGGGAAGAGAAAGACTCCATGTTGACTCTACCTGGCTCCCAGGTATCCCTTCTCTATCGGCACGGCTGCCGACTTCGCCTGTGCAAGTTTCCAGCTTGCTTACCTATGCTTGCAGCTTGATTTTTCAGGCCGCTTTTTGTTAGAAAAGAAATTAGTTGGGGGCTGCTTTATTATTAAAATAAAAACCTTACTTTCTGTACTCTCACTAACTGCCTAAATAATTTCTTTTTAACTCCTATATCAGCGGGAGGATTGCTTGAGCCCAGGGGTTGGAGACCACCCTCGGCAACACAGGGAGACTCCGTCTCTACAAAACATTAAAAAATTGCCAGGCGCAGTGGCTCATGCCTGTAATCCCAGCACTTTGGGAGGCCGAGGCGGGTGGATCACGAGGTGACGAGATGGAGATCATCCTGGCCAATATAGTGAAACTTCATCTCTACTAAAAATACAAAAATTAGCCGGGCATGGTGGTAGGCACCTGTAGTCCCACCTACTCGGGAGGCTGAGGCAGGAGAATGGCGTGAACCCGGGAGGCAGAGCTTGCAGTGAGCCAAGATCGTGCCACTGCACTCCAGCCTGGGCGACAGAGCCGAGACTCCGTCTCAAAAAAAAATAAAAAATAAATAAAGTTAGCCAGGCATGGTGGCGCATACCTATAGTCTAAGCTACTTGAGAGGCTGAGGTGGGAGGATCACTTGAAACTGGGAGGTCGAGGCTGCAGTGAGCCATGATCACACCACTGCACTCCAGCCTGGGCAACAGAGTGAGACCCTGTTTCAAAAAACAAAATGGGCCAGGCACAGTGGCTCACGCCTGTAATAGCAGCACTTTGGGAGGCTGAGGTGGGTGGATCACCTGAGGTCAGGAGTTCCAGACCAGCCTGGCCAACATGGTGAAACCCCATCTCTACTAAAAATACAAAAATTATGGCAGGGTGCAGTGGCTCACACCTGTAATCCCAGCACTTTGGGAGGCCGAGGCGGGCGGATCACCTGAGGTCGGGAGTTCAAGACCAGCCTGACCAACATGGAGATACCCCGTCTCTACTAAAAATACAAAATTAGCGAGGTGTGGTGGCTCATGCCTGTAATCCCAGCTACTCCGGAGGGTAAGGCAGAAAAATTGCTTGAACCCGGGAGGTGGAGGTTGCGGAGAGCCAAGATCATGCCATTGCACTCCACCCTAGGCAACAAGAGTGAAACTCCGTCTCAAAAAAAAAAAAAAAAAAAAAAAAATTAGCTAGGCATGGTGGCCTGCCCCTGCAATCCCAGCTGCTTGAGAAGCTGAGGCAGGAGAATCGCTTGAATCCAGAGGCGGAGGTTGTGGTGAGCCGAGATTGCATCATGGCACTCCAGCCTGGGCAACAAGAGTGAAACTCCATCTCAAAAACAAAAAGAAAACCCACATATACACCTTGATTTAATACTTCCCAAGAGCTATTCGTTTGGCCCTATGTCTGTGACAGCTGGAAAGAATGCTTTATAAAAGAAAGAAGAGGCTGGGCGTGGTGGCTCATGCCTGTAATCCCAGCACTTTGGGAGGCCAAGGCGGGTAGATCACGAGGTCAGGAGTTCAAGACCAGCCTGGCCAAGATAGTGAAACCTTGTCTCTACTAAAAATACAAAAATTAGCTGGGCGCAGTGGCGGGTGCCTGTAATCTCAGCTACTCGGGAGGCTGAAGCAGGAGAATCGCTTGAACCCAGGAGGCAGAGGTTGCAGTGAGCCAAGATTGCACCACTGCACTCCAACTGCAGCGACAGAGCAAGGCTCCGTCCCAAAAAAAAAAAAAAAAAAAGAGAGAAAAGAAAGAAGAGCGGCCAGGCACGGTGTCTCACACCTGTAATCTCAGCACTTTGGGAGGCTGAGGCGGGTGGATCACCTGAGGTCAGGAGTTCAAGACCAGCCTGACCAACATGGCAAAACCCTGTCTCTACTAAAAATACAAAATTAGCCGGGTGTGGTAGTGCATGCCTGTAATCCCAGCTACTCGGGAGGCTGAGGCAGGAGAATCCCTTGAACCCGTGAGGCAGAGTTTGTGGTGAGCCAAGATCGTGCCATTGCACTCCAGCCTGGGCAACAAAAGTGAAACTCTGTCTCAAAAAAAAAAAAAAAACGAAAAGAAAAGTAAGAAGAGCATCCTGGCCAGGCGCGGTGGCTCACGCCTGTAATCCTAGCACTTTGGGATGCCAAGGAGGGTGGATCACATGAGATCAAGAGTTTGGGACCAGCCTGGCTAACATGGTGAAACCCCATCTCTACTAAAAATACAGAAATTAGCCAGGTGTGGTAGCGGGCGTCTGTAATCCCAGCTACTTCGGAGGCTGAGGCATGAGAATCGCTTGAACCTGGGAGGCAGAGGCTGCAGTGAGCCGAGACAGCGCCATTGCACTCCAGCCTGGTGACAAGAGCAAAACTCCATCTCAAAAAAAAAAAAGCTTTAGAGCAGGAATGAAAGGAAGTAAAGTACACTTGGAAAAGGGCCAAGCGGGTGACTTGAGAGATCAAGTAAGCAGTTTGGCCTTTTGACTTGGGGTTTTATATGTTGGCATGCTTCCGGGGTCTTGTGTCCCTTCTCCCCTCATTCTTCCCTTGGGGTGGGCTGTCCGCATGCGCAGTGGCTGCCAGCACTTGGGAGGTGAGCATGCACAGTGTGTTTCCTGGAGCTGTGCACGTGTTCACTTGAGGCATTCTTCCCTTAACAGTCAAATGCCCCTAGAAGTTCATATACCAGTTAAGCCCTACCATTTTGCCTCTTAATGCACATGCTCGAGCCTACTTGTCCAGCTCCTGAGATCTTATCAGGAAGCTGCTGATCCCCAGTTTCAGGTGTTCCTGTTTATTAGGAGACTGCTTTCTCTGCTGCCTGGTGCTGAGTCACAGTGTCTGGCACCCACATTATTTTTTGAACAATTATTATGTTAGAGAGACAGTTAACAACCGCTTAACCATTACATGATGGTGGCGGACATTCCTGGTTGGGGGGGCCCTCTCCTGCTGTGCTCATGCCTGACTAGCTACCTACTGTAACAAGACCCCGTCCCTAAAAAATTGAAAAGAAAAATAAATTTAAAAACTAGGCCAGGCATGGTGGCTCATGCCTGTAATCCCAGCACCTTGGGAGGCTGAGGTGGGAGAATTGCTTGAGCCCAAGAGTTTGAGACCAGCCTGGGCGACATGGCAAAGCCCCATCTCTACAAAAAATACAAAAATTGGGCTGGGCACGGTGGCCCACGCCTGTAATCCCAGCACTTTGGGATGCCGAGGTGGGTGGATCACTTTAGGTCAGGAGTTCAAGACCAGCCTGGCCAACACGGCGAAACCTCGTCTCTACTAAAAATAAAAAAATTAGCCGGGTGTGGTGGTGGGCATCTGTAATCCCAGCTACTTGGGAGGATGAGGCAGGAGAATAGCTTTAACCCGGGAGGCGGAGGTTGCAGTGAGCCGAGATTGCACCACTGCACTCTAGCCTGGGTGACAGCGAGACTCGTCTCAAATAAATAAATAAATAAATAAGAAGTATGGTCTTTCTGCCATAAGCAGAGACAGGCTAAAAACATTCATAACATCCGTCTGACCCTGAATACTTTGTTCAAATTCAGCCTTGCTTTCTGCTGGCTTTCCAATGATACATGTGATTGATGAAGAAATATATTTTAGTTCCTTGCCAGATTTTATTTTTATTTCTGTTACAGTTTTTACTGCAGAATTTTTTTTTTTTTTTTTGAGACGGAGTCTCACTCTGTCGCCCAGGCTGGAGTGCAGTGGCGCGATCTCAGCTCACTGCAAGCTCTGCCTCCCAGATTCATGCCATTCTCCTGCCTCAACCTCCCGAGTAGCTGGGACTACAGGCGCCCGCCACCACGCCTGGCTAATTTTTTGTATTTTTGGTAGAGACGGGGTTTCACCGTGTTACCCAGGATGGTCTTGATTTCCTGACCTCGTGATCCGCCCGCCTCGGCCTCCTAAAGTGCTGGGATTACAGGCTTGAGCCACCGCATCCGGCCAGAAATTTTTATCTGACAGGAAGAACAAATGATTCCCAACGGTATGCAAGTTTCTGCTTTTGCTATTAAGAAACCTCAAAAAAGAAGCCAGGCGCAGTGGCTCACACCTGTAATCCCAGCACTTTTGGAGGCCGAGGCGGGAGAATTACTGGAGCTCAGGAGTTTGAGACCAACCTGGGCAACATGGCAAAACCCCATCTTTACAAAAAATACAAAAAAATTAGCCAGGCTTGGTGGCACACGCTGGTAAGTTTCAGTTACTTGGGTGGCTGACCCTGTCTCAAAAAAAGCTGACCCTGTCTCAAAAAAGGCTTTGAATCATTTATCATTAAGTTTGAAGAAACTCTGGGGGAAGCACTGGATTAAGTATGACACAACTTTAAAAATCACTGGAGAAATTGTAGAGGTTCACCTGGACATTTGATTTTCACATGCTCCGGTTCTTGGGATGGAGTCATATTATGTAACCCAGTATCTCAAGGCCCATCTATGCCCAGAGTGAGGTTCTTCATTCAAATAAATGGGTGTAAATCCACATTTCAAATAATCTTCTGGATTAATTGAAGTCCTGGGCCTTGAAAAAGGGTCAGTTTGACATTTTTTTTTCTTGTCTCATTCTGTCAACCAGGCTGAGTGCAGTGGCAAGATCTCGGCTTACTGCAACCAACACATCCCCGGCTCAGGTGATGCTCCCTCTTCAGCCTCCGAAGTAGCTGGGACTATAGGCATGTGTCACCATGCCTGGCTAATTTTTGTACTTGTTTTTTTGTAGAGATGGGGTTTCATCTTGTTGCCAAGGCTGGTTTCGAACTCTTGGGTTCAAGTGATCCTCCTCCCTTGACCTTCCAAGGTGCTGAGATTATAGGCACCAGCCATGGCTCCTGGCCTAATACTATCCTCATTCATTCACTTCTTTTTTCAAGATGGCTTTATTATTCTTCTACAGCTTTACTGAGGTATAATTAATGTGCAATAAACTGCACATATATGAAGTGTAAAATCTGATGTGTTTTTGTGTTGTGACCTATGTCTACACATGTGAAATGATTACCACAACCAAGATGATATTTCCTTCACCCTCATTGGGTTCTTCCTGCTTCTTTTTTTTTTTTTTTTTTTTGAAGCAGAGTCTCGCCCTGTTGCCCAGACTGCAGTGCAGTGGCGAGATCTCGGCTCTCACTGCAACCTCTGCCTCCCTGGTTCAAGCGATTCTCCTGCCTCAGCCTCCCTAGTAGCTGAGATTACAGGTGCCTGCCACCACACCCAGCTAATTTTCGTATTTTTAGTAGAGATGGGGTTTCACCATGTTGGCCAGGCTGGTCTCAAACTTCTGACCTCAGGTGATCCACCCGCCTCCGCCTCCCAAAGTGTTGGGATTACAGGAGTGAGCCACCATGCCCGGCCTCTTCCTGCTCTTTTGTAATCTATCTTTTACTCCTCCTACCCCCAACCCCCAACCCTAGAAAATCACTGATCTGTCACCTTTGGTTTGTATTTTCTAGCATTTTCTATAAATCAAATCATGCAATGTGTATTCTTTTTTTTTTTTTTTTTTTTTGAGACGGAGTCTTGCTCTGTTACCCAGGCTGGAGTGCAGTGGCGCGATCTCAGCTCACTGCAAGCTCAGTCTCCCGGGTTCACGCCATTCTCCTGCCTTAGCCTCCCCAGCAGCCGGGACTACAGGCGCCCGTCACCATGCCCGGCTAATTTTTTTGTATTTTTAGTAGAGACGGGGTTTCACCGTGTTAGCCAGGATGGTCTCGATCTGACCTCGTGATCCGCCTGCCTCAGCCTCCCAAAGTGCTGGGATTACAGACGTGAGCCACCGCGCCCGGCCACCATGTGTATTCTTTATCTGACTTTTCTTTTTCGAGACAGGGTCTCTTTGTTGCCCAGACTGGAGTGCAGTGGCACAATTATAGCTCACTGTAACCTTGAACTGGGCTCAAGTGATCTTCCTTCCTCAGCTCCCTAAGTAGCAGCTTGAACTACAGGCGTGTGCCGCAGCCAATTTTTTTTTTTTTTTTTTTTTTTTTTTTGAGACGGAGTTTCGCTCTTGTTGCCCAGGCTAGAGTGCAATGGCACAATCTCAGCTCATCACAACCTCCACCTCCCAGGTTCAAGCGATTCTCCTGCCTCACCCTCCCTAGTAGCTGGGATTAGAGGCATGAGCCACCATGCCCGGCTAATTTGGTATTTTTATTAGAGACAGGGTTTCTCCATGTTGGTCAGGCTGGTCTCGAACTCCTGACCTCAGGTGATCCACCCTCCTTGGCCTCCCAAAGTGCTAGGATTACTGGCGAGCCACCGTGCCAGGCCATTTTTTTTTTTTTTTTTTTTTTTTTTTTTGGAGAGATGAGGTCTCATTATATTACTCAGGCTTGTCTCAGGCAATCTTTCCATCACAGCCTCCCAAAGCACTGGGATTATGGGCACCACGACTGTCCCTTTTGTCTGGTTTAAAAAAAAAAGTTTATATTACATAAATAAATATTTTAAATTTTTTCTAGAGACAAAGTTTTGCTCTGTTGCCCAGGCAGATCTCAAACTCCTAGGCTCAAGCAATCCTCTTGCCTTGGCCTCCTTAAGTGCTGGGATTACAGGAGAGAGCCATGGCACCCAGCCTGTCTGGCGTTTTGTTTTTGTTTTTTTGTTTTTTGAGATGGAGTCTTGCTCTGTTCCCCAGGCTGGAGTGCAGTGGCACAATCTCGGCTCACTGAAACCTCCACCTCCTGGGTTCAAGCAATTCTCCTGTCTCAGCCTCCCAAGTAGCTGGGACTATAGGCAGGCAACAACACCCCTAGTCAATTTTTTTGTATTTTATTTTTGAGATGGTTGGAGAAAGGTATGGTTTGTCCAGAGCAGAGTTACTACTTGAATCAGTCTCCCCCAAAATGTTGAGGCTAGGCTTTTTCAAGGATAGTTTGGCAGGCAGGGGCTAGGGAACAGGTGCTGGTAATTGGTCGGGAATGTGATCATGGGGGTGTGCAAAATGCTCCTTGAGCACTGAGTCTTCCTGTGAGTTGGGCCACAGGACCAGTGGGCATTAGTTTTTTTGTTTTGTTTTGTTTTGTTTTTTGAGATGGAGTTTCACTCTTGTAGCCCAGGCTGCAGTGCAATGCTTGTAGCCCAGGCTGGAGTGCAATGGCACAATCTCGGCTCACCACAACCTCCACCTCCTAGGTTCAAGCGATTCTCCTGCCTCAGCCTCCCGAGTAGCTGGGATTACAGGCATGTGCCACCATGCCCAACTAATTTTTGTATTTTTAGTAGAGGCAGGGGTTTCTCCATGTTAGTCACGCTGGTCTCGAACTCCCAACCTCAGGTGATCCGCCCATCTCAGCCTCCCAAAGTGCTGGGATTAGAAGGGTGAGCCACCGCGCCTGACCAGGCATTAGTTTTACAAAGGCAGTTTAGTTTGGGAAAGTACTACTATCATCCTTGCTTTAAGGTTAAACTATAAACTAGATTCTCCCCAAAGTTAGCCTGGCCTAAGCCCAGGAATGACCAAGGAGAGCTTGGGGGTTAGAAGCAAGATGGAGTCAACTATGTCAGCTTTCTGGTTTTTTTTTTTTTTTTTTTTTTTTTTTTTTTGAGACAGATTCTCGCTCTGTCACTCAGACTGGAGTGCAGTGATGCAATCTCAGCTCACTGCAACCTCCGCCTCCTGGGTTCAAGCAATTCTCATGCCTCAGCCTCCAGAGTAGCTGAGATTACAGGTGTACACCACCACACTTGACTAATTTTTGTATTTTTAGTTGAGATGGGGTTTCACCATGTTGGCCAGGCTAGTCTCAACCTCAGGTGATCTGCCCATCTTGGCCTCCCAAAGTGCTGGGATTACAGGCGTGAGCCACCGCGCCTGGTCTAGATGTCTTTCACTGTCATAATTTTGCAAAGGTTTCAGGGCTGAGATGAGAAAGAGTGGGAACAGGGCTTGGCTTCAGCTCACTCCCACTGGAGCATTCTTCCATGCATTCCCAGTGATCACAAACCCCACTCCACTGCCTCATTGATGCCATAATGTTTAACCACGCCTTTTACTTAAGGAATGCCAAGAACTGGCTTTAGGAAATCCAAATATGAAACCAAGGTTGTGGCGTGTTCCACCCTGGGAAGGAATGCTGAGCAACTGATTTATAGCCTTGCTACCAGCCAGACCACCAGGTGGCCCCTTAGTCAAGACAACCATAGCAACCGGCCATGCTAACCTGCATACCCTACCCCTCAGTGTTTTGCCCAGTCCAGTCTGCACACCACCCTACCCCTGACGTTAATTCCCACACTTTGCCTAATAAAAAAGCCCTACTGACTCTTTTTAGAGAGGCAGTCAGGGAATTCTCCTCTCTGTCTCTTTCTGCCTCCCGTGCTACCTTCATATGTCCAGGCATAAGCTCCAACTAAGTCTTTCCTGGGAAAACTCCAGGCTTCATGACGATTTCTATTGCATTGAGAGCCCAAGAATCTATGGTCAACAACAGGGAGCAGTGGCTCACACTTTTACCCAGCACTTTGGGAGCTTGAAGTGGAAGGATTATTTGAGCCCAGGAGTTCAAGACCAGCTTGGGCAATACAGTGAGACCCCATCTCTACAAAACATAAAAACAAATTAGCTGGCCATGGTAGCATACGCCTATGGTCCCAGCTGCTTGGGAGGGTAAGGAGAAAGGATTGCTTGAGCCAGGAGTTCAAGGCTGCAGTGAGCTATGATCCTGCCACTGCACTCCAGCCTAGGTGACAGAGTGAGACACTGACTCAAAAAAAAAAAAAAAAATTTTTTTTAAAGGAATCACCAGCTTGTGCTGTGAAGAATACTACCAGGTAGTTAGGGAAGTACACCCGGAACCTGCTTATCTGCTTGTTAATCTCTCAGCAACACAGACTTTCAAATCATATTCTTAACTGGAAATAAATGGGAAAAAAGATCTCTGGGGCAAGAAATTATTATCACAAAGACCTCATGCTAAATTATAATACTTACAAAAAAACAATTCATATTTTGATTTTTAGCCCAAAGGATTTGATCAGCCACATTTTGGGGGTGAGGGTGGAGAGAGCTGGTTGGAGAAAGGTACTGTTTGAGACAGACCATGGCCACAGGGAGTTTTGGCTGGGAGCCTGATAATAAAGTAACAGCAATCCAAAGAACAAAACAGAATTTTCCTAAAGCACAGGATGACAATGTTACACAGACTGTTTCCACCCCTGCTGCCCCAAATTCATATGTTGAAATCCTAGCCCCTGCCGGGCGTGGTGGCTCACACCTGTAATCCCAGCACTTTGGGAGGCCGAGGTGGGCGGATCACCTGAGGTCAGGAGTTCAAGACCAGCCTGGCCAACATGGTGAAAACCTGTCTCTACTAAAAATACAAAAACTAGCCGAGCAGCACAGTGGCGGATGCCTGTAATCCCAGCTACTCGGGAGGCTGAAGCAGGAGAATTGCTTGAACCCAGGAGACGGAGGTTGCAGTGAGTTAAGATCGCACCATTGCACTCAAGCCTGGGCGAGCGAGACTCCGTCTCAAAAAAAAAGAATAAAAAAAAAAAAAAAGAAATCCTAGCCCCCCAAGGTGATGGTATAAAGAGATGGGGCTGGGCTGGGCCAGATGACTCAGGTCTGTAATCCCAGCACTTTCGGAGGCTGAGGCAGGAGGATAACTTGAGCTCAGGAGTTCAAGAACAGCCTGGGCAACATAACGAGACCCTGTCTCTACTAAGAATTTAAAAAAAAAGAATTGTCGGGCAAGGTGGCTCACACCTGTAATCCCAACACTTTGGGAGGCTGAGGTGGGCAGATCATGAGGTCAAGAGATTGAGACCATCCTGGCCAACATGGTGAAACCCCGTGTCTCCTAAAAATACAAAAATTATCCGGGTGTAGTGGCATGCACCTGTAATCCCAGCTACTTGGGAGGCTGAGGCAGGAGAATTGCATGAAGCGGGAGGCAGAGGTTGCAGTGAGCTGATATCATGCCATTGCACTCCAGCCCGGTGACAGAGCGAGACTCCGTCTCAAAAATGAATAAATAAATAAATAAAGAGAGCAATGGGGCTTTTGGGAGATGATTAAGTCACGAGAGGTGGATACCATGTAAGGACACAGCCAAAGGACAGCTGTCTCTGAGCCAGGAAGCAGGCCCTCACCAGACAATGAATCTACCAGCACCTTGCTCGTGGAACTTCCCAGCCTCCAGAACTGTGAGAAATACATTTCTGTTGTTTGTAAGCCACTCATTTTATGACATTTTGTTATAGCGGTCCAGACATGCTAAGACAGGTTATAAATACTAACAATAGTGCTAAGCTATTAAGAAAAGGTTGGGCCAGGCGTGGTGGCTCACGCCTGTAATCCCAGCACTTTGGGAGGCCCAGGCGGGCGGATCATGAGGTCAGGAGATTGAGACCATCCTGGCTAACATGGTGAAACCCCATCTCTACTAAAAATACAAAAAATTAGCCGGGTGCGGTGGCAGGCGCCAGTAGTCCCAGCTACTCAGAGACTGAGGCAGGAGAATGGCGTGAACCCAGGAGCGGAGCTTGCAGTGAGCCAAGATAGTGCCACTGCACTCCGGCCTAGGTGAAAGAGCGAGACTCTGTCTCAAAAAAAAAGAAAAGTTTAACTATGTCCAAGATCCTCTATTTAACAGGACAAAGATAGTTTGTTTTTTTTTTTTTTTAGACGGAGTTCCGCTCTTTTTGCCCAGGCTGGAATACAATGGCACGATCTCCACTCACTACAAGCTCTTCCTCCCGGGTTCAAGCAATTCTCCAGCCTCAGCCTCCTGAGTAGCTGGGATTACAAGTGCCCGCCACCACGTCCAGCTAATTTTTGTATTTTTAGTCAAGATGGGGTTTCACCATGTTGGCCAGGCTGGTCTCGAACTCCTGACCTCAGGTGATCCTCCCGCCTCAGCCTCCCAAAGTGCTGGGATTACAGGCATGAGCCACTGCACCTGGCCAATGGATCCATTTCAAAAATCTCTTAATAAATTTTACAAAAACTCACCATGGTGTAAATGTGCCATCATTCTTTGCCTGGCCAAGTTCCTGTGTGTCACCTTGGTGAGGTGCTGCAGCACAACAGAAAGCAGAAGGTCTGTGATAAGCTGCATAGGGGTTCACATCCTGGCTCAGTCAGTTACTCGCTGGGAAAATTACTTCTCTAGTCCTCAGTTTCCTCATTTATTATTATTATTATTATTATTTTGAGATGGAGTCTCGCTCTGTCACTCAGGCTGGAGTGCAATGGTGTGATGATCTTGGCTCACTGCAACCTCCACTTCCCAGGTTCAATAGATTCTCCTGCCTCAGCCTCCCAAGTCACAGGGATTACAGGCACGTGCCACCACGCCCAGCTAATTTTTTGTATTTTTAGTAGAGACGGGGTTTTACCGTGTTAGCCAGGATGGTCTCGATCTCCTGACCTTGTGATCCGCCCACCTCAGCTTCCCAAAGTGCTGGGATTACAGGTGTGAGCCACTGCACCTGGCCAGTTTCCTCATTTCTTAAGTGGGGCAATAAGGCCGGGCACAGTGGCTCATGCCTGTAATCCTAACACTTTGGGAGGCCGAGGCAGATGGATCACTTGAGGTCAGGAGTTCAAGACCAGCCTTGCCAACATGGTGAAACCTTGCCTCTACTAAAAATGCAAAAATTAGCCAGGCATGGTGGCAGACGCCTGTAATCCCTGCTATTCAGGAGGCTGAGGCAAGAGAATCACTGGAACCTGGGCGGCGGAGGTTGCAGTGAGCCGAGATCGCACCACTGCACTCCAGCCTGGGCAACAGTGAGACCCTGTCTCAAAAAAATAAATAAATAAATAAAAATAAAATAAAGTGGGGTAATAATAGTACCTGCTGCAGAGGGTTGTCGTAAGGATTTAATGAATTGATGCATGTAAAGCACCTGCACAGGGCTAGGACGTGAAGTCAGAGTGCACTGGCTGTTTGTGTAGTATGAGTTACTATTCATGTTTCAGCATGCATGCCCCTTACTGGTTCTGAAGAACACAATGGTCTTTGGTTACCAAGATACAAGTAAACAATTGAAGATTACTTTTGGGTGTTCCTACACTGATGAACAATCCTGTGTGTTTTTATCTCCCTAGATAATTTTAATGATCTGGAATGCTCTTAATGACCTAATTTGGGGCTGGGCATTCATACCTATAATCCCAGCACTTTGGGAGGCTGAGGTGGGAGGATTGCTTGAGCTTAGGAGTTTGAGACCAGCCTAGGCAACATAGTGAGATCCCAGTCTCTACAAAATATGCTTTTTTTTCCTTTTTTTTTTTTTGAGACAGAGTCTCTCTCTGTCGCCTAGGCTGGACTGCAGTGGCGCGATCTCGGCTCACTGCAAGCTCCGCCTCCTGGGTTCACGCCCTTCTCCTGCCTCAGCCTCCTGAGTAGCTGGGACTACAGGCACCTGCCACCATGCCCAGCTAATTTTTTCTATTTTTAGTAGAGACGGGGTTTCACCGTGTTAGCCAGGATGGTCTCAATCTCCTGACCTCGTGATCCGCCTGCCTCGGCCTCCCAAAGTGCTGGGATTACAGGCCTGAGCCACCGTGCCCGGCCTACAAATTTTTTTTTTTTTAATTAGCCTGGCATTGCAGTGTATGCCTGTAGTCCCTGCTACTCAGGAGGCTGAGATGGAAGGATCTCTTGAGCCTGGGAGGTTGAGGCTGCAGTGAGCTGTTAATTGTACCACTGCACTCCGGCCTGGGAGAGAGTGAGGCTATGTCTCAAAAAAAAAAAAATCTGACTTGGGAGTATTTTCTTTCTTTCTTTTTTTTGAGACAAGAAATCTCGCTCTGTCACCTAGGCTGGAGTGCACTGACGCGATCTCGGCTCACCGCAACCTCCGCCTCCCAGGTTCAAGCGATTCTCCTGCCTCAGCCTTCTGAGTAGCTGGGATTACAGGTACATGCCACCACGCCTGGCTAATTTTTGTATTTTTAGTAGAGACGAGGTTTCACCATGTTGGTCAGGCTGGTCTCGAACTCCTGACCTAGTGATTCGCCCGCCTTGGCCTCCCAAAGTGCTAGGATTACAGGCATGAGCCACCGCGCCCGGCCGGGAGTATTTTCAAAACAACTCTAAAGCAGAATGCTGTTCAAGTCACCTAATTTCTGCCTCATATGGTGTCTCTTTATATGCATAAGCCTCACTATTTCCCTAGGTCCCTTGGAGATATTATCACGAAGGTGACTGACTGATGGACTTCATCTTTTGGTATCATTATATACTTCCGGTGGCATGTTACCCTTGTTCAGCAAGCCCAAGGGGCACTGCGTGCAGGGATTTTCACTAGACAGGATCGTGTCAGCTTATTAAATATAATAAACAAGTGGCATCAGAAGTAAGATCTACCATTATCCTTTCCTGTTTTTCTGATAACATGGAAATTTTGCATGTTTTCAGGCTGTTGCCATTCTTGCCACTGCCTAGCTTTATCACACCAGAAAGTACAGCGTGACTGAGAATTCATATAAACCTTCCAAAAATCTTCTCTCAGAAAATGAACCGGATCTCTCCTGGGCCTCATACACCTCACAGATAACAAATCTTCATCCAAAAAAACGTTTAGCTTTTTGTTGTGATGAATTTCTTGCGAGTCTTCCATTTAACTTCTTTAACAACTTCACGATGATCTTTGCAGATAAGCTCATTCCCACAGAGGTTCCTTCTCCTACAGAGAATTATGTCGAGGACAGGGAGTTTTTGGTTTTGTTCTTTTTCCCCCACCGATAAAAAACTACAGAAATGAGAGGCCATGCACCAATTTCTGCTGGTCACAGTTCTGGATCCTTCTCCTTTGACCAAATGTCCTCAATTCCCCCACTTGGCTCTGGAGATGGGTTTGTAACCGAGAGACCTCGCTGTCAGCAATTAGCTTCCCCCTCACCCCGCCAGACGGAGTCTCGCTCTGTCGCCCAGACTGGAGTGCAGTGGTGCAATCTCGGCTCACCGCAACCTCCGCCTCCCGGATTCAAGCAATTCTCCTGCCTCAGCCTCCTGAGTAGCTGGGTTTACAGGCGTGCACCACCATGCCCGGCTAATTTTTATATTTTTAGTAGAGACGAGGCTTCACCAGGTAGGCCAGGCTGGTCTCGAAGTCCTGACCTCGTGATCCACCGGCCTCGGCCTCCCAAAGTGTTGGGTTACAGGCGTGAGCCACCGCGCCCGGCCTTTAGCAATTAGCTTTTTGATTTTTTTCTTCCGGTTCCTTTGCTCATAAATCTCTACAAGCGGATCACTGCTCTGCCGCAGAAGCGCCACCTGCCACGACAGACTCAAGTTTGTGTGCTGCCGCTGATGGGTTGTGTCCATTTGCTTTCGGAGAAGGCTCCAAGTCTAGGTTCCGAATTCGGTTGCAAGCTGGGGACCTTACTGGGGGGTTACACAGACCACGGCGTCTGACTTCCTCTCAATCTCACGAGCCAAAGCTCCTGTCAGCATCTTGGACAGTCTTTCCCGGGGCAGCGGCCACCACCCCGCTTCGGCTGGCCCTCCGCCCTCGAGCCGGACTGTCGCTGCACTGGACCGCCTCGCACTACCCAACACACGCAGCACGGCTGCCGGCGCCGGGACCCTGCGGGAGTCAACTGCTAGCATCTCAGCCCAGCTGGCGTGAAAGTTCGTCAAAACCCATGGCGGTATCTCGGCCAATCGGAGCTGGCCAATGGATGAGAGGCAGCTATTTCATTCAATCACGTCCTTCCGACATCCCGCAGCTCTCCCAATCGCAAAACGATGCAGCCAAAGTCGCTCCCGGAAGATGCGCGGAAGGCGGGGAATAGGGAAGGGGTGTGGCCACAGGCCCCGCCTTCCGCTCTGGGCCGCCGCGATTCTGGGCGTGCGTGAGGGAGGGTGGGTGCTGAAGGCGGAGGCAGCACCCACGCCAGGTGAGCCGTCGTTTCTTTGCGTGGATCTTTTAGGATCGCTCGTCTAGGCCGGGCGTGGTGGCTCACGCCTGTAATCCCAGCACTTTGGGAGGCCGAGGCGGGCGGATCACAAGGTCAGGAGATCGAGACCATCCTGGCTAACACGGTGAAACCCCGTCTCTACTAAAAATACAAAAGATTAGCAGGGCGCGGTGGCGGGCGCCTGTAGTCCCAGCTACTCCGGAGGCTAAGGCAGGAGAATGGCGTGAACCCGGGAGGCGGAGCTTGCAGTGAGCCGAGATTGCGCCACTGCACTCCAGCCTGGGCGACAGAGCGAGACTCCGTCTCAAAAAAAAAAAAAAAAAAATCGCTCGTCTACAAAGAAAAGGTAACGTTTGAGGTAATGGATATTTCAGTCACCCTGATTCGTTCATTACACATTGTATGCATGTATCAAAATAACACATATACCCCCCAAATAAGACCTATATCAATTTTAAAAATACCAAAGAAAATCACTCGTCCATACTGTGAGTTAGTGTGGTTAAAACTAAACACACTGTGGCTGGGTGCGGTGGCGCCCAGCGGAGACTCTGTCTCAAAATAAATAAATAAATAAATAAAAACTAAACACACTGCACTGATTCACTTATCCAAGAGTTGCAGGTGACGCCTTCTGTTTATGTTTATCTGTATTCTAAAAAAAGAAAAAAGTCAGAATGATATTAAATTTTGCTAACATGTATTACACAGATTGAACGCCACTCGGCATCAGTCTGTATAATGCATATTGTAAAGTTTAACCTCGCTCTTTTTTTTTTTATTTTTATTTTGAGACAGAGTCTCACTCCATCCCTCAGGCTGGAGTGCAGTGGTGTGATCTTGGCTCACTGCAACCTCTGCCGCCTGGGTTCAAGTGATTCTCCTGCCTCAGCCTCCTGAGTAGTTTGGGATTATAGGCATGCACCACCACGTCCAGCTAATTTTTGTATTTTTAGTAGAGACGGGGTTTCTCCATGTTGGCCAGTCTGGTCTCGAACTCCTGACCTCAGGTGATCTGCCCATGTTGGCCTTCCAAAGTGCTGGAATTACAGGCGTGAGCCACCATGCCCAGCCGATTTTTTTTTTAAGATAACAGATAAATGTAAATAGAAGGATCATATTTCCCACACACATCCCAGGGGACCAGCTTGCACCCTCCCCAGGGTACCACTGCCTCTCTTAGGAGACTCTGCCCCACAACACTTCACTTCATTGTTTGTAGAGAGGCAGAAGCTGGGCAATTAATGTGTAGGTAGACTGGAGACAGACTACCCAGGTTTGAGTCCTGTCCCTTCCATACATGTGCTGAGTGACTTCAAGTCACATAACTTCTCTGTGCAATTTCCTCATCTTCAAAATAAGGGCACTGGCCGGGTGCTGTGGCTCACGCCTGTAATCCCAGCACTTTGGGAGGCCGAAGCGGGTGGATCACGACGTCAGGAGTTGGAGATCAGCCTGACCAACATAGTGAAACCCCGTCTCTACTAAAAATAAAAATTAGCCGGGCATGGTGGTGCATACCTGTAATCCCAGCTACTCGGGAGGCTAAGGCAGGAGAATTGCTTGAATCCGGGAGGCGGAGGTTGCAGTGAGCCGAGATTGCGTCACAGCACTCCAGCCTGGGTGACAGAGCAAGACTCTGTCTCAAAAAAAATAAAAAAAATAAAAAAATAAGGGCATTAACAGTAGCTGTCTAGCAGGGTTTTTGTGAGGATTGAATGAGTTATTATGAAGGTGCTTAGAATAATGCCTAATCCATAATCTGCACTTAATAAATGATGCTGTTGAGGGAATGGGTGTTGTCTCAGAGCAGGTAGGAGCTCGCCATGTTATCTGTCCTTATTTCATTGTCTGCCACAGGCTTTGGGGTCAGAAGGCTCTTGTTCCACATTGGTTCTCCAAGCATGCACATTTTACCTTATAAAATTTACTTAAACTTTCTGAGACTCAGTTTCCTCCTCTGTAAATGAGAACTGATGTTAAGGATGAAATTCGGCTGGGCGCGGTGGCTCAGGTCTGTAATCCCAGCACTTAGGGCAGCCTAGGTGGGCGGATCACCTGAGGTGTTCAAGACCAGCCTGAGGTCAGGAGTTCAAGACCAGCCTGGCCATTGTGATGAAACCCTGTCTCTACTAAAAATACAGAAATTAGCCGGGCATGGTGGCGATTGCCTGTAATCCCAGCTACTTGGGAGGCTGAGGCAGGAGAATCACTTGAACCCAGGAGGCGGAGGTTGCGGTGAGCTGAGATCTCGCCACTGCACTCTAGCCTGAGCAACAGAGTGAGACTGTCTCAAAAAAAAAAAAAAAAAAAAGGCCGGGCATGGTGGCTCACGTCTGTAATCCCAGCACTTTGGAAGGCTGAGGCAGGTGGATCATCACCTGAGGTCAGGCGTTCAAGACCAGCCTGACCAACATGGTGAAACCCCGTCTCTACTAAAAATACAAAAAAATTAGCCAGGTATGGTGGCGCGCGTCTGTAATCCCAGCTAATCGGGAGGCTGAGGCAGGAGAATTGCTTGAACCTGGGTGGTGGAGGTTGCAGTGAGCGGAGATCGCGCCAATGCACTCCAGCCTGGGTGACAGAGTGAGACTCCATCTCAAAAAAAAAAAAAAAGGATGAAATGATAACATGCATGTAGCATGCTTAGCATGGTGCCAGACATGTAGTAGAGTCTCAGTAAACAGTAGCTGTGACAGAGACTACTGGGTGTTCAGCAATCCTCATTTACTTTTCCTCCAGGGCACACCACTGGACTACAATTCCCAGCCCCCTGTGTAGTTAGATGGGGCCATAAGACAGGTATGGATGATGGAATGAGGCCAGAGTGATGGGCATGCTTCCCGGCCTGTGTTTCCTTGTTAACACAACTGGAAGTGGGAGTGGAACCAGGAGGTGACGTTTCCAGAGTCCTTGCAGCGCCACTTGGAACAGAGCAAAACCCACTTGGGACTGCTGTGTGGGAGACAAAAAAATAAACTTTTGTGCTGGTGCCTATAATCCCAGCTACTCAGGAGCCTGACACGGGAAGATCACTTGAGGCCACGAGTTTGAGACCAGTCTGGGGAACACAGTGAGACTCCCATCTCTAAAATCATTCAAAAATTAGCCAGGCATGGTGGTATGCACCTGTAATCCCAGGTACTCGAGACACTGAGGCAGGAGGATGGCTTGAGCGCAGGAGTTTGAGGCTGCAGTGAGTTGTGATGGCACCACTGTACTCCAGCCTGGGTGACACAGCAAGACCCGGTCCGTTGAAAAAATAAATAAAAAAAGTTTGTTGTGATGCACCACTCAAATGCTGGGGTTATCTGTCGGTAGCCAACCTGACTAATACATAACCTTTTCAATTATTACTGTACAATTAATTTTTTTTTTTTTGAGACGGAGTCTCGCTTTGTCACCAGGCCGGAGTGCAGTGGCGCATTCGGGGCTCACTGCAACCTCCGCCTCCCAGGTTCAAGTGATTCTTCTGCTTCAGCCTCCCAAGTAGCTGGGATTACTGGCACACGCCACCATGCCCAGCTAATTTTTGTATTTTTAGTACAGACGGGGTTTCACCATGTTGGCCAGGATGGTCTCAATCTCCTAACCTCGTGATCCGCGCGCCTCAGCCTCCCAAAGTGTTGGGTTTACAGGCGTGAGCCACTGCTCCTGGCCTATACTATTAATTTTTTTTTTATACCTCCACAATTGTACTTTTGGAGGATATGGTCTTTTGTGATGGCATTTTATTTAATTTTTCCTTTTTCTTTTGTGTGTGTGTGTGTGTGTGATGGCATTTAAATGTGTGCATGCCTCTCCTCAACAGAATTGTAAGCCCCTCTTTGAGTTCTGTTTCTGCACCCCCACCCCAGCCCTGGGCTCCACATCCACAGTGCCCAGGTCCTGGGACGATGCCTACGGAATGACAAGAGGGTTTAGTGTCCAAGGCGAGGTGGAAAGATTTTCTTCTTTGTTGCATTTCATTCTGCCGCTTTCTCCTCTCCTCTCTGTTTTGTTTATTTGTTTGTTTTGTTTTTAGACAAGGTCTTGCCCTCTCGCCCAGGCTAGAGTGCAGTGGCACACACATGGCTCCCTGCAGCCTCAATTTCTTGGGCTGAAGTGATCCTCCTGCCTTAGCCTCCTGAGTAGTTGGGACCACAGGCATTAATCACCACACCTGGCTAATTTTTAAATTTTTTGTAGAAATGGCATTTCCCTCTGTTGCCCAGGCTAATCTTGAACCCCTGGGCCCAAGCGATCTTCCTACCTTGGCCTTTCAAAGCGCTGGGATGGCTGGGCATGGTGGCTTACGCTTGTAATCCCAGCATTTTGGGAGGCTGAGGCAGGTGGATCATGAGATCAGGAGTTTGAGACCAGTCTGACCAACATGGTGAAACCCTGTCTCTACTAAAAATTCAAAAATTAGCCAGGCGTGGTGGTACCCACCTGTAATCCCAGCTACTCGGGAGGCTGAGGCAGGAGAATCGCTTGAACCCAGGAGGCGGAGGTTGCAGTGAGCAGAGATTGCACCATTGCATTCCAGCCCGGACGACAAGAGTGAAACTCTGTCTCAAAAAAAAAAAAAAAAAAAAAGTCCTGGCAGGCCTGTGCTCACAAAGGCAGGGGGTGCTCCTATGCCACAGGTCTCTAGCCTCCCAGAGGAGGACCATAGCTGGAGGGGGAATGACACACCATTGGGGCCCAGGTGTGGAATCTAAAATGCACCAAGAATAATGAGATAATTGGGCTTCCTTGGACTATGTTCCCACAGGTCAGGTCCCCACCTGCAAAAGTTCCCCAAGGGCTGTGAGCAGCAGCTTTTCCCAAGCGCTCAGCCTCCATCCCAGCCCTGGGAGGGTGAGCTGAACACTCCTGTGCTCTCTTCCATTCTCTTCAGAGGAGAAATTAACTAGTGAAATACCAGCTTTTTGTCTCTGTGGATTTGCCTGTTCTGGGCATTTTGAGTGTTTTGTTTTGTTTTTGTTTTTGTTTTTTTAATTGAGATACAGTCTTACTCTGTTGCCCAGGCTGAAGTGCAGTGGTGTGATTTTTGGCCCACTGCAAACTGCCTCCCATGTTTAAGTGATTCTCCTGCGTCAGCCTCCTGAGTAGCTGGGACTGCAGGTATCTGCCACCACACCCGGCTAATTTTTGTATTTTTAGTAGAGACGAGGTTTCACCATGTTGGCCAGGCTGGTCTTGAACTCCTGACCTCAAGTGATCTGCCCACCTCGGCCTTCCAACGTGCTGGGATTACAGGTGTAAGGCACCGTGCCTGACCTTTTTTTAAAAATTATTTTTGCAATCTAAGGCAGGATGGACATTTTGTACAAAGGGAATCATGCAATACCTGGCCTTTTGTGTTCAGCTTCTTTCCCTTAGCATAACGCCTTTCAGCTTCATCCATGTGGTACCATGTGTCAGCACTTCTTTCCTTGTGTCTATCCATTCATCAGCTGATGGAATTTGGGATTGTTTCTGCCTTTGGCTATTGTGAATAATGATGATATGAACATTCGTGTATACTTTTTTGTTAGAACATCTGTTTTCCATGTGTTGGGGTATATATCCAGGAGTAGAATTTCTGGGTCATATGAGAATTCTGTGTTTAACTCTGAGAAACCACTAAACTCTTTTCCACAGTAGCTGCACTATTTTACATTTCCACCAACAATGTATGAATGTTCCAGTATCTCTGTATCTTTGTCAACACTTGTTATTTTCCATTTTTTTGGATGATGGCCATGCTAGTGGGTACAAAGTTGTATCTCATAGTGGTTTTGATTTGCATTTCCCTGCTGGCTGGTGATATTGAGCATCTTTTCATGTGCTCATCGGCCATGTGTATATCTTCTTTGAAGAAATACCTATTCAAGTCCTTGGTCCATTTTTTTTTTTTTTTTTTGGAGATGGAGTCTCACTCTGTCACCCAGGCTGGAGTGCAATGGTGCGATCACAGCTCACTACAACCTCCGCCTCCTGGGTTTAAGCAATTCTCCTGCCTCAGCCTCCTGAGTAGCTGGGATTACAGGCACACGCCACCATGCCTGGCTAATTTGTGTATTTTTAGTAGAGACGGGGTTTCACCATGTTGGCTAGGCTGGCCTTTAACTCCTGACCTCGTGATCCACCCGCCTCAGCCTCCCAAAGTGCTGGGATTACAGGCGTCAGCTACCGCACCCAGCCAGCCTTTTTTTTTTCAGTGGTTGTTTGCCTTTTTGTTCTTGAGTTGTAAGAGTTATTTATATATATATAATAATTTTTTTTTTTTTTGAGATGGAATCTCACTCTGTCGCCCAGGCTGGAGTGCAGTGGTGCAATCTTGGCTCACTGCAACCTCTGCCTCCTGGGTTTGAGCAATTCTCCTGCCTCAGCCTCCCAAGCAGCTGAGACTACAGGTGTGCACCACCACGCCCAGCTAATTTTGTGGATTGCTTGAGCCCAGGAGTTGGAGGCTGCAGTGAGCTATGATCATGCCACTGCACTCCAGCCTGGTGACAGAGTGAGATTTTCTCTAAAACATAAATAAAAATCTTAATAAAAGAGTTCTTAAGCTGGGCACGGGCACGGTGGCTCACACGTGTAATCTCAGCACTTTGCGAGGCCGAGGCGAGCAGGTCACCTGAGGTCAGGATTTCGAGACCAGCCTGGGCAACATGGTGAAACCTTATCTCTACTAAAAATACAACAAATTAGCCAGGCGTGGTGGTGCGTGCCTGTAATCCCAGCTACTTGGGAGGCTGAGGCAGGAGAATCCCTTGAACCCGGGAGGCGGAGGTTGCAGTGAGCTGAGATTGCGCCATTGCACTCCAGCCTGCAAAACAGAGCAAAAACTCCGCCTCAAAAAAGAAAAAAAAAAAGGCCGGCCGCAGTGGCTCATGCCTGTAATCCCAGCACTTTGGAGGCTGAGGCGGGAGAATTACGAGGTCGGGAGTTTGAGACAAGCCTGGCCAACATGGTGAAATCCCATCTCTACTAAAAATACAAAAAATTAGCTGGGCATGGTAGCAGGCGCCTGTAATCCCGGCTACTCGGAAGGCTGAGGCAGGAGAACCGCTTGAACCTAGGAGGCAGAAGTTGCAGTGAGCTGAGATCACACTACTGCACTCCAGCCCGGGTGACAGTGTGACAGTGTGAGATTCTGTCTCCAAAAAAAAAAAAAGAGTGATTTGTATATTCTGGGTACCAGACCCTTCTCAGACATATGGTGTACACATATTTTCTCCCACTCTGTGGGTCGTTGTCTCACTTTTTTGACATCAGGTTAGATTTTGAGATCTATTTCTCCAGGGCCTACACTTCTGAGATACCGGCCTACGCTACATAGGGCAAGACTTGATTACTAAATTCTGCTGCCAATGACCCTCCTTCATCCTACCCTTATCCTACCACCTCCACCTCACATGTCAGCTTCACTAGTTGTTGTGTCTTCCTGGGTCTCCATGTTGAGGAATATTCTCAAGCGGTTGAGCAGGAAGAGGACTGTAGTTCAGGAATGCTGCCATGGGCACAGAAAGGGAGCAGGTGGGATGGCTTCCTGGGACTTGGCCATTCCTGTTCTTTATTTGGGAGGCTGCTTTGAGAGCTGCCTCTTTTCTTTTCATTTCCTTTCTCAAACCCAACCCTTCAATAATTTTTCATTGCTTCTTATACTCAACCAGAGTTTCCAAGTTCTGGTTCTTTTTTTTTTTTTTTTTTTGAGACGGAGTCTTGCTCTGTCCCCCAGGCTGGAGTGCAATGGTGCGATCTCGGCTCGCTGCAACCTCCGCCTCCCGGGTTCACGCCATTCTCCTGCCTCAGCCTCCTGAGTAGTTGGGACTACAGGAGCTCGCCACCATGCCCAGCCAATTGTTTTGTATTTTTAATAGAGATGGGGTTTCACCGTGTTAGCCAGGATGGTCTTGATCTCCTGACCTCGTGATCTGCCTGCCTCGGCCTCCCAAAGTGCTGGGATTATAGGCGTGAGCCACCGCGCCTGGCCAATTCTTTTTTTAAGTTTGTTATTTTTATTATTGTTTTTTTGGGACAGTCTCGCTCTGTCCCCCAGGCTGGAGTACAGTGGCGTGATCCCAGCTCACTGCAACCTCTGCCTCCCAGGTTCAAGCGATTCTTGTGCCTCAGCCTCCTGCGTCACTGGGACTACGGGCACGTACCACCATGCCTGGCTAATTTTTGTATTTTTAGTAGAGACAGGGTTTCACCGTGTGGGCCAGGCTGGTCTTGAACTCCTGGCCTCAAGTGATCTCCCTGTCTTGGCCTCCCAGAGTTTCCAAGTTTTATTTATTTATTTATTTTTGAAGACTGAGTCTCACTCTGTCGCCCAGGCTGGAGTGCAGTGGCATGATCTCAGCTCACTGCAACCTCCGCCTCCTTGGTTCAAGCAATTCTTCTGCCTCAGCTGCCCAAGTAGCTGGGATTACAGGCATCCGCCACCACGCCCGGCTAAGTTTTGTATTTTCAGTAGAGACGGGGTTTCACTATGTTGGTCAGGATGGTCTCAAACTCCTGACTTCAGGTGATCCACCCTCCTCGGCTTCTCAAAGTGCTAGGATTACAGACGTGAGCTACCAAGCTGGACCAGAGTTTCCAAGTTGTAAATCTTACCCTCATTTGTTCTTTTATTCCCCAGTCTCTGGTCTTTGCCTCCTCTCTTTCTCCAGTGTCTGATGGGAAATGGAGGGCAAAATTATAAAGACTGGCTGTGGTTTGAAGAGAGGATGCCAGGAGTCCCAGGGAACCCCTGTGTTGTTGAGCCCCTCGGAGACTTGCTTTTATCCTGTGTGTGTGTTCACTGCTAAGGCTCAGATGTCCCTCCCTGCTGTGAGCTTCTGGGTCTGTGCAAGGGCCCCCTGCTGCTGGTTCGTTCGGACCCAGTGTTGTATTTTTAGCTCCAGGCCCCCATTCCTTTTTTTTTTTTGGAGACAGAGTCTTGCTCTGTTGCCTGTCGCCCAGGCTGGAGTGCAGTGGTGTGATCTCGGCTCACAGCAACCTTCGTCTCCCAAGCTCAAGCGAATCTCCTGCCTCAGCCTTCCAAGTAGCTGGGATTATAGGTGTGCACCACCACGCCCGGCTAATTTTTGTACTTTTAGTAGAGACGGAGTTTCACCATATTGGCCAGGCTGTTCTCGAACTCCTGACCTCAAGTGATCCGCCCGCCTTGGCTTCCCAAAGTGCTGGGATGACAGGCCTGAGCCACCGCACCCAGCCAGGCCCCCCATTCCTGTAGGAGTGCACCTCCCCTCAGGTGGGGCCACATCTCTAGTGGCTACCAGACAGCGTGGGATGTCCTCCCGGTGCTCAGACACTCCCATCCCCAGGCCTTTGTTCATGCTGGTCCCTCCATCTGGAATGTTCCTCCACAGTCTCCGCTGATTAAACTCTGCTCTTCCTTTAAGGCCTGGCCTCAAAAGCACCTGCACCGAGAAGGCCTCCTCCGGCTCCCCAGCTGGAATCCATTTCCCCCTGGAATATTGTTCATTTTTCCCCTTCAGTTTAGATGACTCCACTTTCTAAACTGAACATGGGAACTCATGCTGTGTCTCGTTAGTACAACTGCACTGTGGAGAACAGGTGCAGAGCATTTGAAAGCGGCCAGTCCAAGAATCCTGGAACAGCTCATGACTGCACCAGCTGGAGGCCTCACATTCCTGGATCAGATCATATTACAAGTTAGCTGTGGCCAAATCCCTGTTATCCTCCTACCCTTTCTCGGGAAGGAGGAAGCACTAGACCACGTTAAGAGCCAGGTCCCAAGATATTCAGGCCCAGCTTAGGCTGTGTCTGGCAGGTAGTGAAAGAAAGCTCACGAAATCAGTCTTTATTCTTGTAGGGTTTTTGTTTGTTTGTTTTGGTTTTGGTTTCTCTTTTTTTTTTTTTTTTTTTGAGACAGAGTCTCGCCCTGTCACCCAGGCTGGAGTGCAGTGGCCCAGGATGGAGTGCAGCGGCTCGATCTCGGCTTACTGCAACCTCCGCCTCATGGGTTCAAATGATTCTCCAGCCTCAGCCTCCCAAATAGCTGGGACTACAGATGCCCACCACCATGCCCAGCTAATTTTTTGTATTTTTAGTAGAGACAGGGTTTCACTGTGTTAGCCAGGATGGTCTGGATCTCTTGACCTCGTAATCCACCCGCCTCGGCCTCCCAAAGTGCTGGGATTACAGGCATAAGTCACTGCGCCCGGCCGGTTTTGGTTTATTTTTTGCGACAGGCTTGCTCTGTCACCCAGGTTGGAGTCCAGTGGCACAGTCATGGCTCCTTGGACCCTCTGCCTCCTGGGTTCAGCTGATCTTCCCACCTCAGCCCCTGAGTAGCTGGGACCACAGGCACGTACCACCATACCCGGCTATTTTTTTTTTTTTTTTTTTTTTTGGAGACAGAGTATTGCTCTGTTGCCCAGGCTGGAGTGCAGTGGCACGATCTCAGCTCACTGCAACCTCTGTCTGCCTCCCGTGCTCAAGCGATTCTCATCCCTCAGCCTCCTGAGTAGCTGGGATTACAGGCACCTGCCACCACGCCTGGCTAATTTTTGTATGTATGTATGTATGTATGTATGTATTTTATTTGAGGTGGAGTCTCACTCTGTCACCCAGGCTTAAGTGTGGTGGCACGATCTTGGCTCGCTGCAACCTCCACCTCCCAGGTTCAAGTGATTCTCCTGCCTCAGCCTCCCAAGTAGCTGGGATTACAGGCACGCACCACCATGCCCGGCTAATTTTTTGTATTTTTAGTAGAGACAGGGTTTCACCATCATGGCCAAGCTGGTTTCAAACTCCTGACCTCAAGTGATCCGCCCACCTCGGCCTCCCAAAGTGCTAGGATTACAGGTGTGAGCCACTGCGCCCGGCCTAATTTTTGTATTTTTAGTAGAGATGGGGTTTCACCATCTTGGCCAGGCTGGTCTTGAACTCTTGACCTTGTGATCCACCCGCCTCAGCCTCCCAAAGTGCTGGGATTACAGGCGTGAGCCACTGCGCCTGGCTTAATTTTGCACTTTTTTAGTAGAGACGGGGTTTCACCATGCTGATCAGGCTAGTCATGAACTCCTGACCTCAAGTGATCCACCCACCTTAGCCTCCCAAAGTGCTGGGATTACAGCTGTGAGCCACCGCGCCTGGTCGAAGGAGACATTTTCACATTGGCTGTAACAGGAGTGGAACCAGAGCTGGAAGATGGACAGGAAGTAACTGAGTGAAACCAGGAGAGCAAGGCTGGAGAGAGTGGGCATGAACCAATGAGCAAGTGTTGGGTTGTGTTTTGTTTCCTTTTAGTTAATTAATTTAATTTTTTGAGATGGAGTTTCACTCTTGTCGCCCAGGCTGGAGTGCAATGGTGTGATCTTGGCTGACTATAACCTCTGCCTCCTGGGTTCAAGCGATTCTCCTGCCTCAGCCTCCCGAGTAGCTGGGATTACAGGCATGAGCTACACCAGTAAGTTTCCTAATATTTAAAAGAAAACAGCCGGGCACTGTGGCACATGCCTATAATCCCAGCTACTTGGGAGGCTGAGGCAGGAGAATCACTTGAACCTGGTAGGCGGAAGTGGCAGTGAGCTGAGATCGTGCTGTTGCACTCCAGCCTGGGTAACGAGCGAAAAACTCCGTCTCAAAAAAAAAAAAAGTTTCCTTCAGGGTCCCCCAAATGTCCTGGGAAATCCCACCCAGGAGCCAGCCCTCACTGGCAGCCTCAGACCACAGACAGCAGCTGCCACAGCTGGCCCAGCACATCAGCCTTGCTCTCCCCTGGAAAGGCTAAACTTCCCAGACTGGCACTGCTGGATTCTTCTAGTCCTGGCTCGGCTACCCATGTCATTTGTGTCCTTGCCTATGTAAGTCACTTAACTTCTGACCTAAATTTCCTTATCCGTAAAGTGGGAGAAATAATAACAGTCTTGCAAGTGTTAATTAAGTTATCTTAGCAGCATGCCTGGCCCAGAAAAATGCTCAGTAAACAACAGCTATCCTCATTCTTTTTTTTGAGGCGGAGTCTCGCCTTGTCGCCCAGGCTGGAGTGCAGTGGTGTGATCTCGGCTCACTGCAAGCTCCGCCTCCTGGGTTCACGCCATTCTCCTGCCTCAGCCTCCTGAATAGCTGGGACTACAGGCGCCCACCACCACGCCCGGCTAATCTTTTGTATTTGTAGTAGAGATGGGGTTTCACCATGTTAGCCAGGATGGTCTCAATCTCCTGACCTCGTGATCCGCCCACCTCGGCCTCCCAAAGTGCTGGGATTACAGGCGTGAACCACGGCGCCCGGCCATCATTCTTATTGTTGTCATCTCAGAGAGAAGTGCAGAGAGAAGAGGATTTCCTGAACTTGGGATGTGGTTTGGATGTAGCCTAACCATTGAGTTTTACGGGGCAAGTGAAGGATCTCTGTTTGTTTGTTTTTTTTAAGAGATAGGGTCTTGCTCTGTTGCCCAGGCTGGAGTGCAGTGGCGTGAACATGTCTCACTGCAGCCTCGACTTCCTGGGCTCAAGCAATCCTCCCACCTCAGCCTCCGGAATAGCTGGGACTGCAAGTGTGCACCAACATTCTCGGCTAATTTTTTAATTTTTTTGTGGAGATGGGGCATCTCACTGTTGCCTATGCTGCTGGTCTTGAACTCCTGGGTTCAAGCAGTTTTCCTGCCTTGGCCTCCCAGAGTCCCGTGATTATAGGTGTGAGCCACTGCGCCTGGCCTATGCCTGTGGCTTTTTAACTCCCAGGGATGCAGCAGCTCCCACTGTCCCCAGAGGGTGTCACCCCACTTCCAGATCTGCCCGAGGAACAGAGCCTTTGACTTGACTTTCCCCCCTTAATACTTCCTCATCTGTCTTCCCAGAACACCCACGTCCTTCCAGGTTTTTCATACGCTTATGTCCTCTCTTGTCAGATGATAAAAACGGGTAACCCTATGAGTCCCAGGGTCCCTTCTGTTGTAGCCAATGAGGTCAAGGGCCAGACACCCATTCTGCCATTCAACAAACCAACCAAATTCATTGAGCACTCACTATTTGCCAGGCACCATGCTTGATGCTAAGGATAGCACAGGTGTATTAGGGTTCTCTTAGAGGGACAGAACTAGTAGGATATATATAATCATATATATATATAAGTCATATATATATATAGGAGTTTATTAAGTATTAATTTACACGATCACAAGGTCCCACAACAGGCTGGCTGTCTGCAAGCTGAGGAGCATGGAGAGCCGGTCCAGGTTCCAAAACTGAAGAACTTTGGGAGAAAGATGTAGGCTGTGAAGTTAGGCCTGTCTCTTTCTTTCTTTCTTTCTTTCTTTTTTGAGACAGTCTCGCTCTTGTTGCCCAGGCTGGAGTGCAATGGCACGATCTCGGCTCACCGCCACCTCAGCCTTCCGGGTTCAAGCGATTCTTCTGCCTCATCCTCCCAAGTAGCTGGGATTACAGGCATGCACCACCACGCCTGGTTAATTTTGTATTTTTAGTAGAGACGGGATTTCTCCATGTTGGTCAGGCTGGTCTCGAACTCCCGATCTCAGGTGATCCGCCCGTCTCCGCCTCCCAAAGTGCTGGGATTACAGGCGTGAGCCACCGCGCCCGGCCACCTGTCTCTCTCTCTCTTAGTTTTCTGCCTGTTTTATGTTCCGTGGCAGCTGATTGGATTGTGCCCACCAGATTAAGGGTGGGTCTGCCTTCCCCGGCCACTGACTCAAATGTTAATCTCTTTTGGCAACACCCTCACAGACACACCCAGGATTAATACTTTATATCTTTCAATACAATCAAGTTGACACTCAGTATTAACCATCACAGCAGAGAACCAAATGGACTAAGTCCTTGTCCTCCTGAGCCTTAGACCGATATCTCCCTTGTGCCAGACTTAATCCCTGAGGGATTTGCATCAAATAAGACAGATGCGGTCATCCTGCCTCTCACGGTACTGTCATCTCCTCCACTTCCCAAACTTTGGCAAAGGCTGTGAGGAACAGTGGAGAAGGTAAAGAGCTCACTGCCCCTGTGCCACCACCGAGAGTGTGAAACCTGCCCAGCACTGAGTGGCATGTGCTATAAAGTATAAAATACATGCCGGACTTGAAGACTTCATGTGACCACAAAGAATGTCAGTGATCTCATTTATAATTTTAAAATATTAATTACCTGTTGCAACAGTAATATTTTTGATATAGTAGGCTAAATAAAATTCATTATTAGGCCAGGTGCAGTGGCCCATGCCTGTAATCCCAGCACTTTGGGAGGCCCAGGTGGGTGGATCACTTGAGGCCAGGAGTTCAAGACCAGCTTGGCCAACATGGCAAAACCCCATCTCTACCTAAAATACAAAAAGTTAGCTGGGTGCGATGGCACACGCTATGTAGGAGGCTGAGGCATGAGAATCATTTGAACGCATTGTGGGCGGGGGGCCGAGGTTGCAGTGAGCCGAGATTGCTCCACTGCACTCCAGCCTGGGCAACAGAGCGAGACGCTGTCTAAAAAAAAAAAAAAATCATTATTAAAATTAATTTCATCAACTTTTACTTTTACTTTTTTTTTTTTTTTTTTTAGATGGAGATTCCCTCTTGTTGCCCAGGCTGGAGTGCAGTGGTGCAATCTTGGCTTACTGCTACCTCCACCTCCCAGGTTCAAGCAATTCTCCTGCCTCAGCCTCCCGAGTAGCTGGGATTACAGGCATACACCACCACACCCATCTAATTTTTTGTATTTCGTAGAGATGGGGTTTCACCATGTTGGTCAGGCTGGTCTTGAACTCCCAACCTCAGGTGATCCGCGCACCTCGGACTCCCAAAGTGCTGGGATTACAGACGTGTGCCACCACGCCCAGCACTTTTTTTCTTTTCTTTTCTTTTGAGACAGAGTCTTGCTCTGTCACCAGGCTGGAGTGCAGTGGCGCGATCTTGGCTCACTGCAACCTCCGCCTCCTGGGTTCAAGTGATTCACCTGCCTCATCCTCCTGAATAGCTAGGACTACAGGCACACGCCACTATGCTCAGCTAATTTTTGTATTTTTAATAGAGACAGGGTTTCACCATGTTGGCCAGGATGGTCTCGATCTCTTGACCTCGTGATCCGCCCTCCTTGGACTTCCAAAGTGCTGGGATTACCGCACCTGGCCCCTCCTTTTACCTTTTTTTTTTTTTTTTTTGAGACGGAGTCTCGCTCCGTTGCCCAGGCTGGAGTGCAGTGGCATGATCTTGGCTCACTGCAACCTCCCCCTCCCGGATTCAACCAATTCTCCTGCCTCGTCCTTCCAAGTAGCTGGGACTACAAGTGCATGCCGCCACTCCTGGCAAATTTTTTGTATTTTAGTAGAGATGGGGGTTTCACCATGTTGCCCAGGCTGGTCTCGAACTCCTGAGCTCAGGCAATCCACCCACCTTGGCCTCCCAAAGTGCTGGGATTACAGGTGTGAGCCACTGCGCCTGGCTCCTTTCAATTTTTTTTTTTTTTTTTTTTGAGACAGAGTTTCGCTCTTGTTGCCCAAGCGGGAATGCAGTGCTGGGATCACGGCTTACCACAACCTCCGCTTCCCTGGTGAATCAAGCGATTCTCCTGCCTCAGCCTCCCAAGTAACTGGGATTACAGGCATGCGCCACCATGCCTGGCTCAGTTTTTGTATTTTTAGTAGAGATGGGGTTTCTCCATGTTGGTCAGGCTGGTCTCACACTCCCAACCTCAGGCAATCCGCCCACCTTGGCCTCCCAAAGTGCTAGGATCACATGCATGAGCCACTGTGCCTGGCTGGGCAAGTCACTGAACTTTCTGATGCTCTATTTTCTCGACTGTTAAGTGCAGGTATTCAAAACACCAGGTATGTTTTCTTCCTCTGACACCTTGCTGGATGCTTTGTCCCCATAGTGGTGACAGTAGGGGAAGGGAGGCTGGGCACCCACCTCCAGGCTTGCTGAGGTTTGGAGGCTTTAGTGCATGTGCTTATTTGGCTGGTTTTGTGAGCCGTGTGTTTTGTGTGGTTGGTCAGGAGCCATGATTTTGGCCTCAGTTGTCCAGGCATCCACTTTTCAACCACCATGGAGATTGAGTGCTTACTTTGTGCCAAGCTCTCTTCTCTGCTTGGGGATCCCAGCTGGAGAGACACCACAGTGCTCCCCACCCAATTTTCGCAGGTAGAAACTCTTAGGCACCAAAAGGCTAGCTCTGCTGGTTGGAGACAGAACCAGAACTAAAACCTCGGAACATGGTTGTTTTTTTTTTTGTTTTTTTTTTTTTTGAGATGGAGTCCTGTTTTGTCGCCAAGCTGGAGTGCAGTGGCGATCTTGGCTCACTGCAACCTCCAACTCTTGGGTTCAAGCGATTCTCCTGCCTCAGCCTCCCGAGCGATTACAGGTGCCCGCCACCACGCCTGGCTAGTTTTTGTATTTTTGGTAGAGACAGGGTTTCACCGTGTTGGCCAGGATGGTCTTGATCTCCTGACCTCGTGGTCCTCCCGCCTTGGCTTCCCAAAGTGCTGGGATTACAGGCGTGAGCCACTGCGTCTGGCCTGTGTTTGTTTTATTGACTGTAGTGGCCCTTCTCTGCCCAGTTCAACAGCATGGCCCCAGAGCCTGGCACAGTGAGCACCAGAGTGCAGGTGCCCAGTGAATGAACGGACGAACTTTGATTCCCAGGGCTCTCCTCTGGGCTAAGCACTTTGCAGGGATGGATGACTGCATGCCATTCTCTCCATGAGGATGGTCAGGGAGGTAGGAGATGGCTGAGCTGGATTTGAAGCCAGGTCTCTTCTCTCCCAAGACTCCTAGCTTGCCTTTTTTTTTTTTTTTTTTTTTTTTGAGACAGAGTCTTGCTCTGTCGCCCAGGCTGGAGTGCAGTGGTGTGATCTCAGCTCAGTGCAAGCTCTGCCTCCCAGGTTCATGCCATTGTCCTGCCTCAGCCTCCCGAGTAGCTGGGACTATAGGCGCCCGCCACCACGCCTGGCTAATTTTTTGTATTTTTAGTAGAGATGGGGTTTCACCATGTTAGCCAGGATGGTCTCGATCTCTTGACCTCGTGACCCACCTGCCTCGGCCTCCCAAAGTGCTGGGATTACAGGCGTGAGCCACTGTGCCCTAGCTTTTTTTTTTTTTTTTTTTTTTTGATACAGAGTCTCGCTCTGTCGCCCAGGCTATAGTGCAATGGTGCAATCTCGGCTCACTGCAACCTCCACCTCCCAGGTTCAAGCAGTTCTCCTGCCTCAGCTTCTTGAGTAGCTGGGATTACAGGCACATACCACCAGGCCTGGCTAATTTTTGTATTTTTAGTAGAGACAGGGTTTCACCATGTTGGTCAGGCTGGTCTCGAACGCCTGACCAAGTGATCTGCCCACCTCAGCCTCCCAAAGTCCTGGGATTACAGGCTTGAGCCACTGTGTCTGGCCCTAGCTTGCCTTTTAACCCTTCCCTCGCTGTGTTGCCTTCAGCAAGTCTCCAAGGTTGTACTAGTTTTCTATTGCTACATTACCACACATTTAGTGGCTTATGTAACTTTGTTATCTTAAAGTTCTGGAGGTCACGGTGGTTGGCAGGGCTCATTTTCTTCTGGAGGCTTTAGGGGAGAATCCATTCCTTGTCCTTTGTAGCTTCTAGAGGCAGCCTGCATTTCTGGGCGTGAGGTCCTGCGTCATTCCTTTGTCAGTCAATATGATGAACTCCGCTTCATCAACCACATCTTCTCCGACTCCGACCCTCCTTCCTTCCTCTTGTGAGGACCCTTGTGATTCCACCTGCCCAACCAAATAATCCAGGATTCATCTCTGCATCTCAAGATCCTTAACTTCATCCCATCTACAGAATCCCTTTTGCCAGAGAAGGTACCATTTTCACAGATTTCAGGGATCAGGACTTGGACATCTTTGGTGGGGGGCATTGTATTGCCTCCACAAAGTCTACTTTTCTTCTCTGTTGGATGGGCACACTAGTGTCTGTTTTATGGGTATGTCGTGAGGATTACCTGAGTGACTCTATAGGGAGTGTTTAGCACAGTGGCTGTCACATAGTAAGTGCTCAGTAAACCACCCTGTTACTGTTCAGCCTCCTCCTATCATTTTGTTTTGAGACAGAGTCTCTCTCTGTTGCCCAGGCTGGAGTGAAGTGGCGTGCTCTTGGCTCACTGCAACCTCCACCTCCTGGGTTCAAGTGATTCTTGTGCCTCAGCCTCCCGAGTAGCTGGGATTACAGGACCCCACCACCATGCCCGGCTAATTTTTGTATTTTTAGTAGAGACGGGGTTTCACCATGTTGGCCAGACTGGTCTCAAACTCCTGACCTCAGGTGATCTGCCTGCCTCGGCCTCCCAAAGTGGTGGGATTACAGGGGTGAGCCACCACGCTTGGCCTTACAAATAAAGAATCTGAGGCTTCAGATAGTTTATTTCTTTTTTGCTTGTTTATTTTCTTTCTTTTTTTTTTTTTGAGATGGAGTCTCACTCTGTCACCCAGGCTGGAGTGCAGTGGCATGATCTCGGCTCAGTGCAACCTCCGCCACCCGGGTTTGAGCAATTCTTCTGCCTCAGCCTCCCAAGTAGCTGGGATTACAGGCGACTGCCACCATGCCTGGCTAATTTTTGTATTTTTAGTAGAGATGGGGTTTCACCATATTGGTCAGGCTGGTCTTGAACTCCTGACCGCATGATCCACCTGCCTCGACCTACCAAAGTGGTGGGATTACAGGTGTTAGCCACTGCGCCAGCCTTACAGATGAAGAACCTGAGGCTCAGTTTATTTATTTAATTTATTTTTTATTTGTTTATTTGCCTTCTATCATTTTTATTAGTTGCTGGGTTTTGAGCACTGGGCCAATTCTATGGCCTTCCTGAAGATGGTCAAGGAACAAAATCGAAAACAAAAATTAGGGTTACATCCTCCCTGTTTTGTAGAGATAGCGAAATATTGAAGACATTGGCAGGGGAATAATGCAGATTTGATGATGTAAAACAGAGTGGCCGGCACTGTAATCCCAACACTTTGGGAGGCCAAGGTAGGTGGATCACTTTAGCGCAGGAGTTCCAGACCAACTTGGCCAACATGGTGAAATCCCATCTCTACCAAAAATACAAAAATTAGCTGGGCATGGTGGCAGATGTCTGTAATCCCAGCTACTCAGGAGGCTGGGGCAGGAGAATCGCTTGAATCTAGGAGTTGGAGGTTGCAGTGAGCAGAGATTGCGGATTGTGCCACTGCACTCCAGCCTGGGGGACAGAGCGAGACTGTCTCAAAAAAAAAAAAAAAGAAAAAAGAAAAAAAGGATAACACTGAAAATGACCATGGATAAAATGTAGGAAAATTCAGAGAATTATAAATAAGGCTATAAAAGTATCCAGAATTCTACTCCCCAAAAACTAAGCTTTGTTCACCAGCCTCAGTTCTGGAGTTAGGCTGAAGTGGGTTAATTTTCCTTCTGGGTCCAGCAGTGTGGCCTGGGGCACATTCTCTCAAAGCCTCCTTTGTCTCACCTGTGAATTAGAACAATAATATCTGCCCCTGGGTTAGGATTAAGTGAGACAAACCACGTGCTTTAGCATAGGGCATGGCCCGCAGCTGGTGCTTAGAGCAACCGTGACTGGAAGAGGGTGGGATGATTTGGGTGCCAGGCCCTAACATTTTTTTTTTGTATTTGCTTTTTGAAATTGCTTTTATAGTTGGTTAGGTGTCTAAAAAAGTAAGAACCCTCCTCCGCTCTCCCAACCTCAAACCACGGAGGTAACCAAGACAGGAGTGCAGTCTCCCGGACCTTTTGTTTTGCAATCACACAAACACACAACACTCAAGAGGAGGGGCTTATTAGTTTTCATTTTGTAAAAATGGGACAAAGTACCCATATTGTGCAACAACCTTGCTTTTGAAATGAAAAAAGTATTATTTCTGCTTCCTTTCCGTTCATATACCGTATACATATTTTAACAAAATCCGGGCTTAGTCTGTTCTGAGGCGCTGCAGTTTTGAAGGGGGAGGGGGCGGAGATCCGGGCTCGCTCCCCCGTCACTGCCCCCTCCATCCCTTCCCCCTCTTTCCGGGCGCCCTTCCCCCGGGCCCAGGCCGGGCCCATGCCCTTCCCAGGCCCCTTCTCTTGGCTCCTGGCCCCTCCTCCGGGTCTCCTCCCCGATCCCCGCTCTGCCCCGTTCTCTCCCGCCTCTCCCGCCGTCCCCGGGCCCCTCCCCACTCCCAGCCCCCTCCCAGCCCCCTCCCGCCGCTCCCCGCCCCTCCCCCCTGGCCCCAGCCCTCGCCCGGCCCCCGGGCCGATCCCAAGGCCGCCGCTCCCGGGAGGCGCGGCAGGGGGCGCTGCGCGGGCCCAGGTTGCGGGCGGCGGCGGGAGGAGGAGGACGAGGAGGCGGGGGCGGCGGCAGGCGGGGGGCGGGGAGCCGAGCGCGAGGGAGCGAGCGGCGAGACAGGCGCCGAGGCTCCACCGCGCAGCGACGAGCGAGCCCGGGAGGAGGGAGGGAGCGAGCGAGCGAGCAGCCCGCGCCGCCGCCTCGCAATCCGCCGCCATCCCGCCGCCCCCGTGCCCGACCGCCGCCCGACTGCCATCGCCCGGCCCGGCCGCGCCCGCGGAACCAGACCAGGTGGGTCGGGGCCGGGGCCGGGGCCGGGGCGTGGGGGCGGCGGCGCTAAGATGGAGGCGGCGCGGCCCGGCCGGGCTTTGTCTCCCGCGGCCGCCGCCGGGGGCCCGGGGGCCCTGCGGCCCTGCCCGACCTTTGTCCGCGAGCGCGGCCGCCGCCGCCTCCTTCCCGCCGGGCGCGGGGCTGCGGGGCTGGGAGGCCGCGGGGCCTGGGGGCGGCGGGCCCGGGCGCGCTCGCCATTGTTGTGGCGGCGCCGCGCGGCCTCAGGCTCGGGCGGGGTCCAGGGGCCGCGCGACTCCCTCAGGGCTCGCCCGCCACCCCCGTACCCCCGAGGCCGGGCCGGGCTGCAGAGGCCGGAGGGGCGGGGGTCCCGGGCCCGCAGCCGGGTCTCGGGGTTCTGGGGCCGGCGTCTTTGCTCCCCGCCCCGCCCAATTGACGGAGCAGCGCGCCCGAGGCGGGATCCTGCGGGGTCGGGCCTTGGGTCCGGGGCGCTGAGCGGCGTTCGCGGGGCCGTTCCTGGCGCGGGGTGGGCCGGGCCCCGGCGGCGCTAAAGTTGGCGGCTGGGGGAGGGAGGCGAGCGGCCGCCCAGTCTCGGTGTGAGTGCGGGAACCAGAGGGTTATTTTCGAAATGCTGAATGCTCCATGCTAAAAATGTTTAATAATAAACAGGATGTCGCCACTCGGGGCCTGCCAGATGGGGTTTTTTTTTTTTTCCTCCTCTTTTGCCTCCCCTCAACCCCCAGGAGAGAAATTCAGCCCTGTTGAAACTGTGGGCCTCTGAAGAGTGGATTTGCCTTAAGAGGTGGATTTTTTTCCTTTTTCTTTTTTCCTCCTTCTAAATATCGTGGGAGGTCGGAGCCCACCTTTAGGCAAGAATTGGAGGTGTTTTCAGTGGTGAGCTTGAAGGAAGTGGGAGAAGGGGGGCTGGGGAGTGTCTTTTGCTAAATGGCTTCCTGGGAGAAATCTTTAAATGCCTTTGGTTTACAGGACTGTTAAACTTTCCCTAAGATTTTTTTTTTCTTTAAGGTTTAGTGTGCATTTGATGTGGCTTTGTACAGTGTCATCCAGTTTGGTTTTTGTAACCAATTGTGTGCGGTCTTAGCATGGTTTTTCCGAATCTCGCTGCAGCCATTTAGTCATGTCTATGCACAGCGCTGTGGTGTAAGGTGGGACTGGGGAGGCCCAGGCATTGGGGTGCAGATCCTGCTTCTTTCTTCCGTAAACCTAGTGACTCTGGGGCTGTCTGAGGCTTCATCTGCATAAATCGGGGCGTGCACCCTCCACCTGGCAGGTTTGGGCAGCGGTGAAGGGCCTAGCAGAGGGCCTGGCACAGTTAGTGGTTCCTCCTACGGTTGTTGGTATAACTGCTGTCAAGTCCTAGGACAGACGTGAGCCCCTTGTGGTGCCACCCATAGAGCCAAACTGTGCCCATGGATGCCACAGGTGCTGGCCTAAGGCATGGACAATACAGAAGGAATTCAAGGCCCAAACATTAGTGGGCGCTTATACAGTGCTGAGCCTCTCGGGAGGCAGGGATGGGAAAAAGTAGCATTTGGAGGTCTCTAGAACTTAGTAGACCCGGAGTGTGTGGCAGTTGGTCAGTTTAAGGCAGGGTTAGAACAGTACGAGATGCTCAGGACAAACAGACGCCCAAGGAGTCCTGCCTTCTGAGGATAACTGCTTTCCTTGGGGATTGGCAGATAATCATCTGAGAGTGAGTTTCTACTTGTTTGGGCAAGTGTGTCTCTTGGAGCCTGCGCAGCTGGATTCTGGTCCTCATCGGGTTACCTTTACAAAGCAAGTCTCTGAGGCTCAGATCTTGCATCTGTAAAATGGGAATAATTATGCCTGCCTTGGGTATCTATTAGGGCTCTTGGGAGCCTCACTTAAGATTCACAGTGAATTGTTTTCTCTCCATAGGAAGGTGATGAAATGTATGTGTTTGTTGATTATCTGTTTTTCTGGTTCCTTTCTCCTTCCTTCCTCCCTTGCCCTCTTCCTCTCTCCCTCCCTCCCTTTCCCTTCCTTTTCCTTCCTTCCCTTCCTTCTTTTTTCTTTTCTTTTCTTTTTTTTTTTTTTTTTTTTGAGACAGTCTCACTCTGTCGCCCAGGCTGGAGTGCAGTGATGTGATCTCAGCTCACTGCAACCTCCGCCTCCTGGGTTCAAGCGATTCTCGTGCCTCAGCCTCTGGAGTAGCTGGGATTACAGGCATGTGCCACCACACCTGGCCAATTTTTGTGTTTTTAGTAGAGACAGGGTTTCACCATGTTGGCCAGGCTAGTCTCAGACATCCGACTTCAGGTGATTTGCCTGCCTTGGCCTCCCAAAGTGCTGGGATTACAGGCCTGAGCTACCGCGCCCGGTCTTCTTTCTCTTAATGCTTATTTTTTCCTCTTCTCTTGGTTGATGGAACTGTGACTTCCCCACCCCAAATTCTATGGCCGGCTAATGTTTTGCTATGGTGACTATCACCCATCTACCTGGAAGCACCAGAATGGCTTAGTACAGCTAGGGAGCTCAGCCAGATCTCGGTGTCTGCTGTTTGAGATTGTGTGGAAGGACTATTGCTAAGAAGCAGGAGACAGACTGAACCCAGTGTTGGCCACAAGTGAGGACTGAGACCCAGGTCACCTCTTGGCTGAACATGTTAGCTTGTTGGTAAATGGCTCTGCAGTGGTTCTGCATTTTATTGGGGAATTTGTTTTGGTTCATTTTGGCATTCCCGCAACCATCTTGTTGGTTTTTTGGTAAAATGTGGCACCCCCTCCAGACCTCCTAGCTGTGGAACTGAGATATTTTAGCAGGGTCCTGTCATCCTTTGATTTTTCCTCGCTTCCTGCCTCTTGGCCCTTCCTTTTTGTCTGACTTCACTCGGGCCCAGTCTGGCTCTATACTGTTAACTGGTTAGTTAGGCCAGGAGATAGTCGCTGCCTCTCCCATGAGCTTCTGCATACCTGTGAATTTTGGTTATCTGTGGCCCCCTAATGCTGATTGCATGCCCTTGCCTTAGGCCCTAAGCCCACTGTGTGGGCGTCCCATCTCGTACAGTGGCCGTCTCCAGCCTCCACTGGGCCCAAATAGGTAAAAAGAAAGCCTGGGGAAGGAAGAGCCAGGAAACCTCGGGAGAGTGGAATTTCAGGAATGGCAGGTCAGAACTGGTTCCAGCATGGGTCCCTTTGCCTTGTGCTTAGCTGAGGGATTTTTGTTATTAATTTTTTTTTTCCTGTTCAACACTCCTAACCTCTTTTGAATTTCAGTTCTCTTTTTTTATCCTGAAGGATTATTTTATTGTACTTTTGAGGGTTTTTTTTTTTTTTTTTTTTTGCCTTGCACAAAGTACTGACTCATGTTGCTAATGGCTGTGGCTGTATGCTAGTTATATGTCTCATTATCCTACCCCTTAAGATTGATCATTTCTGTGTTGGTTTCTATTTCAAACCAGAATAGGCCAGGTGGGTCAATTCATGTATTTCTGAATTCAATAATGAGGCTTCCCTACCGTGAAATGTACATATCTTGTCATGGGCGGACAGGTACTAAATAGAGCCTATCTATACTAGATTTTAAAACAATGGATTTCTCCCCAAAAAACAACATTTCCAGCAGACAATGGGCTTTGTGCTCCAAATCTTGTAATTTTGGTTTTAAATAAATTTCATGTAAGGAGGCAGGGCTAACTAGACTGTCTTCTTTTCAGATCATAACTTGATCTCTTTTTAAGATTATTTCTGGGACTTGTACAGCCTCAGGAAACTTGGGTCTGTCATTGGGACAAAGAAATACAGGCACTGGCTGTGGTGTTGGAGATGGGAGCGACATGGGATATGGTGAGCTTTGTTTCTGGTGAAATAGAATTGTTTGTCATTAGCTTTAGGTTTAAAAGGTGCCATTCAGACTGGACCTCCTCACCTGGGAGCTGGCAGACCTGGGCCTTGCCATTGGCGATATTACTGTTTATACCTCTGGGTGGCACGTGGGAAATCTCTTTTGTGCTGGGAGGTAGGTTTGTCTTAGTGTCTTGAGCCAGAAGTTGTGGTTGAGCTTTGTTCTCAGCTGTACTTGTTGGTTTTCTGTGTGACCTGAGAAGCATCCTTCGTCCGAGCTGAAGTGCACCTCCGAGGTGCTGGCAGCAGCACTGATTTGTGAAGCATTGCGTGCAGCAGGAGTAGCTGGCAGAACAAAGCCTATCTCAAGTTGCTGGCGGTCTTTCACATCTTGTACAGGACTTCCTTCCGTTCTTACCTCTGCAGCCAGTTGTGTGGCTTCCGTCTGGACCGTCTTCCTCCTTTCCAAGATAACCATCAGTCTTTTTCTCTGTGGGGCTGCAGCAGCAGTATTTATTGCATTTTTAATTGACTTGTCAGGCAATAGATACTCCTTGAGCACCTATCATTTGCCAGGCATTGTACAAGGCCCTTTAAATACATTTTTCTTGTGGTAGGGCAAGGTGGCTCATGCCTGTAATCCCAGTACTTGGGGAGGCCAAGGCAGGTGGATTGCTTGAGGCCAGGTTAAGACCAGCCTGGGCAATGTGATGAAAATAAAAAAATGCCTCTTAAAAGAAAAAATTAGTAGGGTATAGTGGCGCATGCCTGTAGTTCTAACTACTTGGGAGGCTGAAGCAGGAGGATCACTTGAGCTTGGGAGGTTGAGGTTGCAGTGAGCCGTGATCATGCCACTGCACTCTAGCCTGGGCGACAGAGTGAGACCCTGTCTCAAAAGAATAAAAAGTAGGTCGGGCACGGTGGCTCACGCCTGTAATCCAAGCACTTTGGCAGGCCGAGGTGGGCGGATCACCTGAGGTCAGGAATTCAAGACCAGCCTGGCCAACATGGTGAAACCCCGTCTCTGCTAAAAATACAAAAATTAGCTGGATGCCGTGGCGAGTGCCTGTAGTCCCAGCTACTCAGGAGGGGTGAGGCTGGAGAATCACTTAAACCTGGGAGGTGGAGGTTGCAGTGAGCCGAGATTGTGCCACTGCATTCCAGCCTGGGAGACAGAGTGAAATTCTGTCTCAAAAAAAAAAAAAAAAAAAAAGTCTGGGCACGGTGGCTCACACCTATAATCCCAGCATTTTGGGAGGCTGAGGTGGGCGGATCACGAGGTCAGGAGATCGAGACCATCCTGGCTAACACGATGAAACCCCGTGTCTACTAAAAATACAAAAAATTAGCCGGGCGTGGTGGCGGGCGCCTGTAGTCCCAGATACTCAGGAGGCTGAGGCAGGAGAATGGCATGAACCCGGGAGGCGGAGTTTGCAGTGAGCCGAGATCACGACACTGCACTCTAGCCTGGGCCACAGAGCGAGACTCCATCTGAAAAAAAAGGAAAATACTGAAAAGAATAAATGCCAAAATAAATATATAAATCACTTGTGACCTCACCATCCAGAGCTAACTGCAGTAAAGTTGCTGGTGTGTTTCTTTCCTCTGATAATGTCTGTGTTTTCTAAATTAGAGCAATAGTATATATACATTGAATACACAGTTGATAGCTTGCTTTTCCCCTTTTAATGTTATAGTGTATTCCTCTACGTTATTTTTATAATTATATAATTGCTATTATACGGATATGCCATAATTTATTGACTCCTGTATTCGTAGACATTTAGATTATTGTTGCCCTCTTTTCCCTCCTATAAGAGAAACTGTAGGGAGCATCTCGGCATGTTAAGTCTTGGTCCACGTGGCTGATTATCTCCCATAAGTGGAATTTCTGGGGTCAGAGGATTGCAGGTTTGTTCTTCTCTTCTGGACAGGATCGGTTGTCTCCTTCAGTCTTTGTCACCTCCCTCTCCAGCCTTGAGCCCAAGGCAGTCTCTTTCTTAGTTTTTTCTTTTTTGAGGCAGGGTCTCACTTTGTCGCCCAGTCTGGAGTGCAGTGATGTGATCTCAGCTCACCGTAACCTCTGCATCCTGGGCTCAAATGATCCTTCTGCCTTAGCCTCCCAAGTAGCTGGGATCCTATAGGCATGCGCCACCATGCCTGACTAAGTTTTGTATTTTTTTGTGGAGACGGGGTTTCGCCATTTTGCCCAGGCTGTTTGTTTTTCTTTTCTTTTCTTTCTTTTTTTTTTTGAGATGGCATCTTGTTCTGTTGCGCAGGCTGGAGTGCAGCCGTGCGATCTTGGCTCACTGCAACCTCCACTTCCTGGGTTCAAGCAATTCTCGTGCCTCAGCCTTCGAGTAGCTGGGATTACAGGCGTGCACCACCACACCTGGCTACTTTTTGTATTTTTAGTAGAGACGGGGTTTTGCCATGTTGGCCAGGCTGGTCTCGAAATCCTGACCTCAGGTGATCCACCTGCCTTGGCCTCCCAAAGTGCTGGGATGACAGGTGTGAGCCACCGTGCCTGGACACCCAGGCTGTTTCAGACTCCTGGACTCAAGTGATCCCTCCGCCTCCGCCTATCAAAGTGCTGGGATTACAGGCATGAGCCACGGCACCCAGCAAGGCAGCCTCTTTCATGAGCCACTAGGTTCTGGGGGGTCTCAGTCCTGGTTAAGCCCTTTGATGAGTGGGGCTTGAGGTCTTACTCCATTTACTGGTTTGAACCTGGAGAAGCCTTTTGTCTTAAACAGTTTTTGTTTCTAGGGACATGGATGCCCCATTGACTCCTGGGGAGATCCTGGTCTGGTGGGGAGGAGGCCCTGGAGAGCCCCCCACCTAACTTTGGCCTCATCCTCTTGTGGTTTCTTTCTTTCTTTTTTTTTTTTTTTGAGACGGAGTTTTGCTCTTGTTGCCTAGGCTGGAGAGCAATGGCGCGATCTTGGCTCACTGCAACCTCTACCTCTCGGGTTCAAGCGATTCTCCTGCCTCAGCCTCCTGTGATTTCTTCGGAGCCCCCTACAGTTTCTCTTTATAGCAGTTTTCACAACTTGTAAATAGGTGTTTTTTTCTTTATTTGAATTTTAAAAATTGTGGTGAAGTATACATAACATAAAATTTACCATTTTTAAGTGTACAGTTGAGTGGCGTGAAGCACTTTCACAGTGTTGTGCAACCATCACCACCATCCATCTCCAGAACGTTCTCATCTTCCCAAACTGAAACTCTGTTCCCATTAGATGCCAACTCCCCTCCCCCATCCAGTGGCGGCGGCCACCATTCTTACCATTCTTTCTCCTTTTTTTTTTTTTTTTGAGATAGGGTCTCACTGTCGCCCAGGCTGGAGTGCAGTGGCACGATCTTGGCTCACTGCAACCTCAGCCTCTTGTGTAGCTGGGATTACAGGCACACGCCACCACACCCAGCTAATTTTTGTATTTTTTTGTAGAGACGGGGTTTCACCATGTTGGCTAGTCTGGTGTCGAACTCCTGGCCTTAAGTGGTTTGCTTACCTCAGCCTCCCAAAGTGCTGGGATTACCGGCATGAGCCACCGTGCCTGGCCTAGTTTTTGTATATTTTATTTTATTTTATTGAGACAGAGTTTTGATGTTGCCCAGGCTGGAGTGCAATGGCGCGATCTCGGCTCACTGCAGCCTCTGCTTCCTGGGTTTAAGAGATTCTCCTGCCTCAGCCTCCCGAGTAGCTGGGATTACAAGCGCCTGCCACCATGCCCAGCTAATTTTTGTATTTTTAGTGGAGACGGGGTTTCACCATGTTGGCCAGGCTGGTCTCGAACCCCTGACTTCAGGTGATCTGCCCACCTCGACTTCCCAAAGTGCTGGGATTACAGGCGTGAGCCACTGTGCTTGGTCTAATTTTTGTATTATTGTTATTATTTTTGAGACAGAGTCTCGTTATGTCTCCCAGGCTGGAGTGCAATGGCACGATCTCGGCTCACTGCACCTCTACCTCCCGGGTTCAAGCGATTCTCCTGCCTCAGCCTCCTGAATAGCTGGGATTACAGGTCTGGCTAATTTTTGTATTTTTAGGAGAAACGGAGTTTCGCCATGTTGGCCAGGCTGGTCTCGAACTCCTGAGCTCAAGCGATTTGCCTGCCTCGGCTTCCCAGAGTGCTGGAATTACAGCCATGTGTAATCCCATGGTGGCAATGTTGAGCCACCTTGCCCTGCCAACCATTTTACTTTCTTTCTGTGAAACCGAATACTCTTAAGTACCTCATGTAAGTGAGATCATCCAGTATTTGTCATTTTGTGTCTGGCTTATTTTTAGCATAGTATTTCCAAGGTTCATCCATGTTGCAGCATGTGTCAGAACTAACTTCATTCTTAAGGCAGAATAATATTCTCTTATTTGCATGTATCTACCACATTTTATTTATTCATTCAGCGACGGGCAGCAGCCTGTAGATAGTTTTGTTTTCATGTATTGAATGGTCCTTTCCCCCAGTGGAGTGAGTAAATGCATCCGGAAGCAGAATTCTGTTGTTTCCCATTCATCACTGTGTGCCAGGTGTCTGAGAAGGGGGTCTTATAGGAGCCCACGCAGAAACCAAGCTCACCTCAGTCTGGGTGTGGGGCAGTCAGGGAAGGCATTCTGGAAAATGTAGCTGACTCGAAATAAGCACCTATTGAAAATAGTGTGCTGAGCCCTGGAACATTAAAAATGTGTTCCTATGTGGAAATCAGAAATGTATGGGTCCCAGAAGAGAACTTGTGGGTCAGCCTGCTTTCCAGAGAGTGCCGAGGCCCTTTGAATGGTGAACATTATGCAAGCATTCTTGTATGGCCAGTGGCCAGCAGGGAGGAGGGCAGAGAATGACTGTGCCTCCGGGAAGCCGGCGTCAACTTCCCGACACGCTTCAGGATCATCTCTTTGTATAGAACCATGGGATGGATCGCTGCAGGACCTACTGGAAAAAGGAGGTCATCTCCAGGACTCTTTCCATGGGTCCTTTGTGTCTTGCAGAACTTTTTTCGGCAGGTGTTGTTTACATATGGTTCAGAGCTTAAAGAACAGCTGTGTTCCAGGCCAGGGCAGAAAGCACAGGCCTGTCTGGGAGGGGCATCATCACTCCTGCCTGCCTGCCCAACCGACCTGTCGGTGGACTGAATGGGCCAAGTGTTCAGAAGTCCTTGGGAAGAGGATAGTGTCCTGAATCATAATGTGGTATTTTCTGGTTTTTTGTTTGTTTGTTTGTTTTTGGTAAAATGTTAATTGCAGAAGTATACAGGTTATTTTATTTATTTATTTATTTTTTTTTGAGGTGGAGTCTTGCTCTGTTGCCCAGGCCGGAGTGCAGTGGCATGATCTCGGCTCACTGCAACCTCCACCTCCCAGGTTCAAGCAATTCCCCTGCCTCAGCCTCTTGAGTAGCTGGGAGTACAGGTGCATCCCGCCACGCCTGGCTAATTTTTTTTTGTATTTTAGTAGAGATGGGGTTTCGCCTTGTTGCCCAGGCTGGTCGCAAACTCCTGAGCTCAGGCCATCTGTCCACCTCAGCCTCCCAAAATGCTAGAATTACAGGCGTGAGCCACTGCGCCTGGCCCATACTTTAAAAAAAAAAAAAAAAACAAAATTAAAAGCCAAGTGTTTGAAGAGAAATGAAAGCTTTTCCCCAATGTCCCAGGCAGTAACCATTATTGATAAATTTGCTTTGTTTATCCTTCTAGGCTCAGTGCACGTATAAATATGGCCTCATGTAGGGAGGTTTTTTAAAAAACAAAAATGGGATATACTATATTGTATTGCAACTTGGCATTTTCAAAATATCACAGTATTTTTCCATACGTATTTTTAAGCGTAACTTCTCTTATTTTTATTTTCAGTAATACTTTTTTTTTCTTCCTTAGGGATGTGGGGGTGGGTCTCGCTATGTTGACCAAGCTTGTCTTGAACTCCTGGCCTCAAGCTGTCTTCCCATCTTGGCCTCTGAAAGTGCTAGGATTACAGGTGTAAGCCACCACACCCAGCCATTTTTCCATATTCATGTGAACAGACCTGCCACACTAAGTGTTTTAAAAATAATGTTAGGTTTCTAAAAAATATACAGGTGTGTAAAAGAAGAAAAAATCGTTTATAATCCCATGGTTTAGATATTCCCAGTTGACTTTTTTTTTTTTTTTTTTTGGTGGTGGGGACAGAGTTTTGCTTGTTGCCCAGGAAGGCAATGGCGTGATCTTGGCTCACTGCAACCTCCGCCTCCTGGGTTCAAGCAATTCTTCTGCCTCAGCCTCCCTAGTAGCTGGGATTACAGGCATCCGCCACCATGCCTAGTTGATTTTTTTGTATTTTTAATAAAGACGAGATTTCACTATGTTGGCCAGGCTGGTCTCGAACTCTTGACCTCAGGCGAGCCACCCGCCTCAGCCTCCCAAAGTGCTGGGATTACAGGCGTGAGCCACTGCACCCGGCCCCCAGTTGACTTTTTAAAAAGAAAATTCAAGTTGCTCAGGGAGGTATAAAGGCTCTTCCCCACTCTCTCTGAAAAAAAAACCAGTGTGAGGAAGTTCTTGGGATTCCTCCCAGAAAAAAACCCACATTATCCACATGCACGTTTGTATTCTTCAAGCATGCTGCTGCCCTTTCACGTGATAAAATGTCTCAGCGTGCTCCCTGACAGCTACGCAGACGGATTATGTTATCTATTTTAGCAACTGCAGAGAATATTTTGTGGGTATACTTGATTTAACCTCTGTCTCCTACTGGTGGACATTTGGGCTATTTGTAGTTTTGGAATATTACACAATTTTGGTCAAACTGTACCAGATTTGTTTTCAAAAACATACAATTTGTATGTAAGCATGTAAGTGTGAGAATGTGGTTCTGCAGTGTGGACTCTTCAACTGAATAGCTTTTTGGTAAGAATTCTGCCAGATTTCTCTTCAGAAAACTTTGTATCAGCTTATATGTGTGAGCGTATGTTTCTGGACTATGGGCTTTTCTAAATGAACAGGCTTTTTGGATTGTTTTGGGTGTGCACATTTTCCAATCAAAAGCTACTGTTTGCGGCTTTCTGTGGTGAGCGTAGGGTCTGATGTTTTGGTGAGCTTGGGCAGACAGCGATCAGACACAGCAGCTCCGTTCACAGTGCAGAAGCGGCCACTGGAGGAGTTGCTCTGGGTGTCTTGTTAGGTGAAGGCCACTGTGGGAGCTGGAAGGAGGCGATAGACACAGCCAGGTCTAAGGTTGATTTTCTGTATCAAGTAAAATGATTGTCCTTGCTGCCTGTTTTCTTCCAACTGTTATACACTGGAGCCTGGTGCATAAAATTCAGAGACGGCCTCCATTTTAAGTTTTCTCATAGCCCCGTCTTTCACAGTCCTTGGTGGTTTTGTTGCTGTTAATATTCATTGCTGTTGGCGCTTTTGCAGCTCCTGATAGTGGCTGTTGTGCATATCTCACTTCTCGACTCAACCTCTTGGCGTCACTTGCCACCCCTCCTGCCCCCCACTTTGGTTTAGTTCTTCCAGGAGATCACACCATTGGTTGAAGTGACTGCAGAAATGAAGCACTGGAATGCCTGGGTGGTGGTGTTTCATCAGGCTAGGCTGGCGGGGATTTGTGCTCTGGCAAGAGGAGGTGCGGTTTGGAATTACACTGCTCTGGCTCCTGGGGGGGTTATTGTTAGCTGGAATTCAGAGAGAGCTCGCTGGGAGAGTTGGGAATGCCATGCCCCCTCTTCCTGGTGGAGAGTAGCTCTCCCTTGCAGGCACAGTGCAGCACCCCACACTGGAAGCCCTGCTTTGGGGTCAGCTGCCTTCAAGTCCAGGTTCTACCACTTAGAAGCTGGGTGACCTGGGGCCAGCTTTTAAATCTTTTTGAATCTCCATTCTCTTCCTCTGCAAAATGTGATAGTAACACCTTCATAGGACCTGGGAAAGGATTCAGAGGGTCATGTGCTGCAGAGTTGATAGGGCACCTGGCACAAGACAGCAGGCTCTCCATAGACCGCAGCTATTAATGGTTCCTGGATTCAGCCCTCCCCGGGGGCCCGGGGGTTTGGAGCAGGCAGGCTTTTGTACACTTGGGGCTTGTTTGTTACCTAGGTGTTGGGGTTTCTAATTATGTGCTCAGCACTGTGCTACATGCTAAAGATTTGGACCCGTAGCGCATTGCCCTCACCTCCTGGAGCTCAGTCACCTTAACTAGCAAGGGCCTCCCATGGGCAGGTGCATCAGGGCTCTTCTGTACATCTCTCCACAATGAACACCACTGCGGATGTCTGTTCCCACGAGCAAGGGCGTTTGATAGCTGGCAGCTGCCCTGTGTCTAGTCTGTTGTGTTGTGTTCTTGGGGAGTTTCAGGTAAATGTCTTGGAAGGAATGAAGGTAGGCATGTTAAGGCAGTTTGTGGGTTCTGGCTGCAAGGGAGACTGCAGCTGGGCCAGCAACAGCCCTGACTTGACCTCAGGCCGACAGGAGTGTTCCTTTCAGCCACTTAGACCTACCTGCTATGAGGTCTTGAACAAATCATGTCTTTTGCTCCTTTAAGTCTCAGTTTTCTTATCTGCCCCAAATGGATACGGAACCTGTCTCACAGCATTGCTGCAAAGATTGGCGTAATTTCTGGGATGCAGTGTTAGTGCAGTGTAGGAAACCTAGTCAACTTGGAACAGTATATGGTGTTGATACTATGTTGCTCAGTTCACCGAGATCTTAAAAACAATGTAACAGTTACAATACAGGCGTGTCACAGTTACAATACAGCCTTGCTACAAACATCAAGCTCCAGAAGTGTATAGAGTAGAAAGTGAAAGTCATTCCTTCTTCCCTGCTGTTTCTTTATAATATCAAGAGAGGACTGCTGTCTTAACCAGTTGTTTTTAACTAAGGGGACTGTTTTAACTGTGCATATGAATTCTAAACCTGAAGTGACCACTGGAAGGTGGGAGGTGTGACTGTTTATAGGTAGACCTTAATATAAGCAAAGACATCTCATATGGCTCCTTAGTGTGGTCTCTTCAGCTTTTTGAGGGGAGAAAAGGCCATTGTAATTCTTTGCACACCCTGGATGAATCATAATGTTGTATTGGTAAAGTTCAGCAGTGGCATAGACTGGGTTTAATTAACAAGTGCTGCTTCCAAAGATCCCACAGCTTTACAATTTGCTGTTGACATGGTTGGAGGGTGGGGGAAGGGGAAAGGTGGGCATGCCCTTAGGGTAATGGGGCAGTGCAATACGGTTTTTTAGACGCTTCGGGGAGATGGTGGGTGGGGGAGGAGAGTTGTGAGTATAGAGTTTTGGGTGAGGTGAGGAGTCTGTGGGTAAGGTGTTTATAACGTGTGTAGTGTATTTGGAGTGAGGGTGCATGCTCCCTTTTCCCACCGTTCTGAAGTCACAGCTTGGCGTACCTGGGAATGCCCTTGGCGTAGTAATCCCTGGCCCTTATTTTGGATCTGTCCTTTATTCCTTTGTTACTTTAGAACTGGCTTCGCCGGCGATTGTCCTGGGTTTCCTCTAGTGTCTGAGGCTTGGAGGAGAAGTCATGCACGGCTTCTGGGGTCCAGTCCTTTGGCCTTTGCTGGAGATTATTTATACCAACCCAGCCCTTTTAGCTCCCACTTCAGTATTTTTGGATTTATTTATTTTCATCAAAGAGAAAGTTCCTTTGTCTCGGCTGAGTTGATGAACGTCTCTATAGCAGCAAACACCCGAGGGCGTGTGGCCCAGTTCTGAGAAGCTGTGGTAGAGTGAGGAGGGCACTGTGTGACCCTGGTTCTCACTTCACCTCTGAGCCTCTGTTCCCTTATCTGCAAATAGGGGGTGATAGTAAGGACAGCCACCTTAGTGGCGGTTAGGAGGATGCTCTCTGCAGCTGTAATGTTTATTCGGGCAGCCCGATGGAGTATTTCCTCACCGGGGTAACGGGAGGCATTGCATCCAGGTTGGAGTGGTTGCTGAGGAGTCCTTCGGTGCTTCTGGTGATAGTCATTGTTGGCCCTAATCCGCCTCCTGCAGCTGAACTGTGGGAGTGCCACAGCTAGAGGGGGTGGGAAGAAGAGGATGGGGTTGTTGTAAGTAGGCTGTGTTCTCTGCCTGTCTGGGCATTTGCTGCCGAAGGGCGTCTGACTCCCATGTAATTTACCTAATGAGAGGTCTCGGGCCTTGCTGGTTACTCTGTGCGGGGTTACAGGTCTCAACTCTTTTCTTTCTATGGACACAAACGAAAAATGTGCTTTGCAGAGATGCCAGGTTGTAAAGAAATATTGGCCCCAGCATGTAAAGATACATGTACTGGAGTGTTGGTTGTGGCATTATTTGTGGTGGGACATGTTCAGTTGGACATTTCCGTAGGGAAATGGGTAAATAAAATACGATGCCACTGTATAGTGGAATGCTGTGTAGGCATTAAAAAGAATGAGGTAGATCACTATGTGTATTTTTATCTTTTAATTTTTAAGTCTGAACTAAACAGAACTTATGTATATTTTTAGAAAGATGACCATGTATAGAAAGAGAAGAACCCAGGTTGAATAATACAGTAGCTTCCTGCATTTGTAGAGAAGACCATGACTGCTAATATGAATGTGTATAAGCCTGGAGGCTGTCCACCAGTTTGTTAACACTGTTTACCTTTTGAGTTGGATTGTTTTCTTGTGCACACATTAGTATCTTTTTTTTTTTTTTGAGACAGAGTTTTACTCTTGTTGCCCGGGCTGGAGTGCAAATGATATGATCTCGGCTCACTGCAGCCTCCGCCTCCTGGGTTGAAGTGATTCTCCTGCCTCAGCCTTCCGAGTAGCTGGGATTACAGGCATGTGCCACCACACCCAGCTAATTTTGTGTTTTCAGTAGAGACGAGGTTTCTCCATGTTGGTCAGGCTGGTCTCAAACTCCCAACCTCAGGTGATCCACCCCCCTCGGCCTCCCAAAGTGCTGGGATTACAGGCATGAGTCACTGCGCTCAGCCACTTTTTTTTTTTTTTTTCCTGAGATGGAGTTTTGCTCTTGTCGCCCAGGCTGGAGTGCAATGGCGCGATCTTGTCTCACTGCAACCTCCACCTCCTGAGTTCAAGCGATTCTCTTGCCTCAGCCTCCCAAGTAACTGAGATTACAGGCATGTGCCACGACGCCCGGCTAATTTTGTATTTTTAATAGAGATGGGGTTTCTCCATGTTGGTCAGGCTGGTCTCGAACTCCCGACCTCAGGTGATCTGCCCGTCTTGGCCTCCCAAAATGCTGGGATTACAGACGTGAGCCACCGCACCTTACAGGTGCCTGCCACCACGCCTGGCTAATTTTTGTATTTTTAGTAGAGACGGGATTTCACCATGTTGGTTGGCCAGGCTGGTCTCGAACGCCTGACCCCAGGTGATCTGCCCATCTCGGCCTCCCAAAGTGCTGGGATTATAGGTGTGAGCCACTGCTCCCTGGCCACATTAGTATCTTTTGAATTTGTCTTACTGAATGTGTATTAGTAACATGTATTGGTTACAAAGATAATAACAAAGGTAACTCGCATGCATTTCAGTACAGTGGAGCCTGTGGGGGCCGGGCTGGGCTGGGGCAGCTGCTGTGTTGGTGGCTCTTTTCCTGGTGCCAGATCAAACTTACCGTGAGGTAAGAGCTGCTCCAGGCTTCGTATTCCACGCAGACCCATCCAGTGCACCCTGGCTCCTGGTATTGGGCCCCAGTGGTTACTGTGAATTTAACTAGTTCAATCGTCTGTCTCTGTTGATGTGTCAGTGGCCCTCAGAAACTGCTTTGTTTATCTGGTTAGAAGGAACAATCCAATACAAATGCTGTCTCCGATTTCTCTTCTCTACTAAATCAGATTGTACAATAAAGAACATAGATTTTGGTTGCATTTGCAGAGTACTTCTCATTTGTTAATTCACCATTATTTGGAGGTGGAAAAGGAAGGAGTAACTGAAAGAAGCCCATGTATTTCATGTATTTCTTTTATTTGCCAGGTCCTTGTTAAATTTTGACGCCAGAGAGGGAGGCCTTTGTATAGCACATCTGTCCAACTGTTCATCACTCACCATATGTTGAAATCATCTTCTTCCCCACCCCCCTTGCTAAATTAACCGCATCTTCAAAGCGGGAGGTAGGCAGGAACTTGGAGACCGCATATGGGCTTTCCAGCCAGAGTCCTCTTCAGGCTTCAGCCCAAGCCTGCCTGCCTGTGAGCTAGATGAGGAGAGGGGCTCCAGGCAGACCCTGTGGGTGAGGAGCCCAGAGCTGGTGCAGACTCTGGGGGTGTGGGATGCTGTATTAGAGTAAAGATAACAGTGCCAGCGCCAGTTCACACCCCACCGCAGGCCAGGCCTGCACTTCACATTCACCTCAGGTCCCCAGGGGTGCTGGCAGGGCCAGGGAGTACCGTGGGCAGGTGGGGCCATTCTCTGGGGCCCACCGCATGGGCCTCCCAATCATGGCAGCAGGCGTCGTTCTTCCAGTGCCCAACACTGCCCAAGTAAGTCTGGATGTCACATCACCCCGGGTTCAGGTTCAGATTTTTTAGACTCACTAACTGGATGATAGTGACCTTGAACTAGTTATTTAACCTTGCGGAGCCTTCATGTCTATAAAATGGAAGTACTAATACCCTTCTCTGAGTGGTTTATCTATTTTGTTTCTTCGTTCAAGGAACTAATTTTATTCATTTTTTCTTTTCTTTTTTTCCTTGTGGACCTCACCTGACTGGAGGAGCTCCTATTCTTAAATGCAATTTTATGCAGATGTATTTATTACACTCCCTAGCTCTCTTTAGGCTTTTTCTTCATTGTTTCTGCTTTCCCTTACATTTGCTTGCATTGGTTTTTTTCTGATTTCTTAACTTGGATGCTTAATTTATATTTCATTTTTTTTCGTTAGGAATTTGGTTTTTAGGATATTTCCTCTGAGTACAGATTTATTTTTGCTTTGAAAGTTTTCTTACGGCCAGTAATCCCAGCACTCTGGGAGGCCGAGGAGGGCGGATCACCTAAGATCAAGAGTTGGAGACCAGCCTGGCCAACATGGTGAAACCCCATCTCTACTAAAAATAAAAAGAATTAGCTGGGGGTGGTGGCAGGCACCTGTAATCCCAGCTACTTGGGAGGCTGAGGCAGGAGAATCGCCTGAACCCGGGAGGTGGAGATTGCAGTGAGCCGAGATCACGCCACTGTACTCCAGCCTGGGTGACAGAGCGAGACTGTGTCGGCAGGGGAAGAAAGCTTTGTTATGCAGTGTTCTGTTTTTCATTTGTGCTATTTTCTTTTTTTTGTTTGTTTTTTTGTTTTGTTTTGTTTTTTGTTTTGTTTTTTTTTTTGAGACGGAGTCTTGCTCTGTTGCCCAGGCTGGAGTGCAGTGGCGCAATCTCGGCTCACTGCAAGCTCCACCTCCCGGGTTCACTCCATTCTCCTGCCTCAGCCTCCCGAGTAGCTGGGACTACAGGCGCCTGCCACCACGCCTGGCTAATTTTTTGTATTTTTAGTAGAGACAGGGTTTCACTGTGTTCAGGATGGTCTTGATCTCCTGACCTCGTGATCCGCCCGCCTCGGCCTTCCAAAGTGCTGAGATTACAGGCATGAGCCACTGCGCCTGGCCTCATTTGTACTATTTTCTAGATATTTTGCAGGTGTGGTTTTGAATTCCACTTAGATTCAAAACTTTTTTAGTAGAGAGTGTTAGGTTTTCCAGCTCTTGGGGTTATTATTTCTACTTTCATCATGTCTTGTTTTATTGCACTGTTGTCAGTTTTACTTTACAGAATTTGGGATTTTTCTTTTCTTTTTTCAGACAGAGTCTTGTTCTGTCACCCAGGGTGGAGTGCAGTGGCACAGTCACGGCTTACTGCAACCCCAAACTCCTGGATTCAAGGGAGTCTCCCAAGTAGCTGGGATCCAGGCATGTGCCACCACACCCAGCTAATTAATTTTTTTTTTTTTTTCTGTAGAGATGGCGTCTTGCTGTATTGCCCAGACTGATCTCAAATTCCTCACCTCAAGCGATCCTCTCACTTCGGACTCTCAGAGTGTGGGGATTACAGGTGTGAGCCACTGTACCTGGCCTGAATTTTTCTTAAAGTCTAATATAGTCACTTTTAGAACATGTTTGCTCATCTACGTTGACCGTCTCTATCTTGATGGGCTTGATCTACCAAGGTGGACAGGCTTCTGTTTGTTCTAATGTTTGTACTTTCATTGTGGGTGGTCCTCTTGGCCCTTTAAAACTACCCTGCTCTGCTGCTTGCTCTTTTGTGTCTGTCTCCTTTGATTCAACATTTTTTTTGTGCGTTTCATCTGTATAGTTGTGTATGTTTATTTGTTCTTATTGTAGGATGGTTTTTGGTTATGTGGATGTAATTATCCATGTGACAGACTGAGCTCATTTCCATAGTTCTTCCAAACAATGCTGCCACAGTGCGGGTATGTGCGTGCGTGCGTGCGTGCATGCACACGCTGTTGGGTATATACCTAGGTTTGGAGTTAACTGGGTCATGGGTGAGCATATGGTGGCTGCATGGGCAGCTGCCAGCTCTCAGTGATGGCACCAGGTACATGAGGGTCATCCTTGCTCTGCTGACGCTGTAAAGATGTTGCTTCTTTGCAAATTAACCGCTGGATTCCCTGTAATTCTAGTGAAAATCCCAGCAGCTTTTCTTTTGTTTTAGCTGTTTATTTCAGAAATTGACAAACTCATTCTGAAATTTATATGAAAATGCAAAAGGGCCAAGAATAATCAAAGCATTCTCTCTCTCTCTTTTTTTTTTTTTTTTGAGAAGGAGTTTTGCTGTTGCTCAGGCTGGAGTGCAGTGAGACGATTATAGGTCACTGCAGCCTAAAACTCCTGGGCTCAGGAGATCCTCCAGCCTCAGCCTCCCGAGTAGCTGGGATTATAGGTGTAAAAAGTAAAGTAGAGGTTTCATTTTAAAGATTTTCCTCTTCATCTAATTAGGAATAAATAGTAACTTCTTTTAGAAGCAAAATTTATTTAAAGACCTGTGCTAACATTCTTAAATATCTGCTAGCTGTAATAAATAAATTAATGTACTTTATATTCTTAGCTCCTACAATTTAGCCTGAATATTTGCCCTGGTATGCTTATACTGGTCCAAGCAAGCATTAGGTCATAGCCTGTTCCTTTTTCTTATTTGAAGGTGTTTTTACCTTTCTTAGCATTCCACAAGTTACTTTCTCCTTCCTTTGTTCTCCTCTGCCTTCGCCTCTTTTAAAAAGTTCTAAGTTCCTAGCCAATCGGGACAGATACAGAATGTGAGGTCCTGTTCCAGCCAATGGAAACTGAACGCAGTAGGGTGGACGCATCAGGTTGTAAATGACCCTGTCTCCTTTGTTCGGTGGCAAAACTGCTAGCGACTGTACCCTTTCTGCAGAAAGTATAAAAATGGCCTTGCTGAGGAAATTAAATTTACGTTCAAGTGCTATTTCTTTACAGCGTCAGGGAACAAGCATTTCAAACATAGGCATGCACCAACACACCCAGCTAATTTTTAGTGGAGACGTGCTCTCACTGTGTTGCCCAGGCTGGTCTCAAACTCCTGGCTTCAGAATCATCCTGCCTTGGCCTCCCAAAGTGCTGGGTTACAGGTGTGAGCCACCTCACCTGACTAATCAAAGCATTATTTTGTTTTTGAGATGGAGTTTTTGCTCTTGTTGCCTAGGCTGGAGTGCAGCGGTGCGATCTTGGCTCACTGCAACCTCTGCCTCCCAGGTTCAAGCGATTCTTCGGCCTCAGCCTCCCGAGTACCTGGGACTATAGGCGCACACCACCACGCCCAGCTAATTTTTGTATTTTTAGTAGAGATGGGGTTTCACCATGTTGGGCAGGATGGTCTTGATCTCCTGACCTCATGATCCACCCGCCTCGGCCTCCCAAAGTGCTGGGATTACAGGCGTAAGCCACCACGCCGGGCCTTAATCAAAGCATTCTTGAAGAAAAACAAAGCTGAAGGACATATCCTACCAAATATCCAGACTTTATAAAAGCTGCAGTGATTAAGACAATGCAGTGTTGCCAAAAAGATAGACAAATAGGCTGATTGGAGGGAACAGTCTTCAAACAAACTGCACATCAGTAGTCACTTAATTTATGACACATGACAAAGAGAAAAGATGGCCTTTTCAGAAAAGGTACTGGGAGAACTGAACTCTCCATAAGGGAAAAAAATGAAACTTTTATCACAAATCATATCGAGAAATCAGTGTTAGGTAGATCATAGATGTAAACATGAAAGATAAAACAATAAAGCCTCTAGAATAAAACATAGGATATCTTCATGATTTTGGAAAAATCGGACACAGAAAGCAGTAACCAAAGTAGAAAAATTTGATACATTAAACTGCATTAAAGTTTGTATCTTTTGCTTTTTACATTGCTCCAAGAAAATGCAATCAATACTAATTTGTAATTTCCTGGAAATGGTAGATAATCCATCCTGTTTGTTCCTCCAGAAGCCTCTATCCTGTTTTTACCAGGACTGTTGCCCCTCTGGCCCATGGTGCGGCTACCATCTTGGGCTTTTTTTTTTTTTGGAGATGGAGTCTCTGCTGTGTCGCCCAGACTGGAGTGTAGTGGCCTGATCTTGGCTCACTGCAACCTCTACCTCCCGGGTTCAAGTGATCTTCTGCCTCAGCCTCCCAAGTAGCTGGGACTACAGGTGCCTGCCACCACGCCCAACTGATTTTTGTATTTTTAGTAGAGATGGGGTTTCACCATATTGGCCAGGCTGGTCTTGAACTATTGACCTCAAGTGATCCACCCGCCTTGGCCTCCCAAAGTGCTGGGATTACAAGCATGAGCCACCGTGCCTGGCTGCTATCTCGGGCTTCTGTTGGTCGTCATTCTGGGACTTGTTTTTGTCCCTCCACACGTGGTCCTTATTTCCTGGATCCTATTTGTATTGGTTGGATAATTTGGACATAATGACAGCAACTGTCTTTTTTGTTTGTTTTTTTGAGTCGGAGTTTCACTCTGTTGCCCACGCCGGAGTACAGTGGCACAATCTCGGTTCACTGTAACCTCTGCCTCACAGGTTTAAGCGATTCTCCTGTTTTCAGCCTCCTGAGTAGCTGGGACTACAGGTGTGCGCCATCACGCCCAGCTAATTTTTGTATTTTTAGTAGAGACGGGGGTTTTACCATGTTGGTCAGGCTGGTCTTGAACTCCGGACCTCAGGTGATCCACCCGCCTTGGCCTCCCAAAGTGGTGGGATTTTCAGGCCTGGCCAACAGCAACTATCTTAATAAGAACGTTCATTGACTCAAGTAATTGCAAGTCCAGAAGTAGACAGGTTTGGGATTATTTGGGTGCACCCATTCTGAACCAGTCATTAGAACCGGAGCTGGGCTTCTCTTAGGCCAGGCCCCCGCTCCCCTGGGGCTGGGGCTGGGTCAGCCTCCCTCAGGCTCCATCAGGAAGGAGGAAGGGAGAATTAACTGCTGGGTAGGCAGACAGGAGTGGTCCCACTAATATTGCCAGTCCCTCGGTTTGCTCTCTTGTAAAAATCCTATTTTGAGTCCTTATGTAGGTCTGAAAAAGTCTTTTTCTGTCCCTACACTTGACTTGGTCAGCTGAGTATTGGATTCTAGATTGAAAGTCATTTCCTAGAGAGGATGGTGATACTGGTAAGAAGTCTCCATCATTGTTGCTCCTGAGAACTCATTGCCATTCTGATTGTTCCTCCCTGGGAACTTTTTTGCAAGAGGGATGACTTTTAGAAGCTTTTAGATTCTCAAACTGTATCCCTAACATGCTGAAATTTCACATTGTACTTTGTGTTCTTTTTATATCCATTGTTCTGAGCACTTGGTGGGCCTTTGAAGTCTCGGCTACTTGGCTACTTCAACTCTGGGAACTATTTTTGGCATTTTTTACTTGATAATTTCTTCCTCTCCTTCCCCCCACCCCACCCCCATGTTTCTGGAACTCCTAGTTAAATCTGGACTCCTGGGTTAATCCTTTGATTTTGGGGGTAGGATGTGACTAGCATTATCCCATCGCTCATTTTCTGAGATTTGTTTGGCTTGCTCTTCCACCTCTTCTTCGTTTTCTTTTCTTTCTTTTTTTTTTTTAAGACAGTGTCTTGCTCTGTTGCCCAGGCTGGAGTGCAGTGGCGCCATCTCGGCTCACTGCAACTTCTGCCTCCCAGGTTCAAGTGATTCTTCTGCCTCAGCCTCCTGAGTAGCTGGGATTACAGGCGCATGCCACCACGCCTGACTAATTTTTGTATCTTTAGTAGGGATGGGGTTTCACTATATTGGCCAGGCTGGTCTCGAACCCCTGACCTCATGATCTGCCGCCTCGGCCTCCCAAAGTGTTGGGATTAACAGGTGTGAGCCACTGCGCCTGGCCTCTTCTACCTCTTCTAATTGGATTATTTTACTTTAGAATAGTTTAGCTGTACAGAAAAGTTGGAGTTCCCATATAGCCTACTCCCAGTTTGCCCCCATTAAACACATCTTATGTTAGTACAGTATATTTGTCACAACTAATGAACCAGTATTGATACATTATTATTGACTAAAGTTTATGCTTTATTCAGATGTTCTTAGCTTGTACCCAGTGTCTTTTTTTTTTCCGTTCTAGGATGCCACATTAAATTTAATCATGTCCCCATAGTTTCCACTAGGTTGTGACAATTAAGTTTTTGATGACCATGACAGTTTTGAGGCATACCGATCAGATATTTGGTAGAATGTTCCTCGATTTGGGATTTGTCGGATGCTTTCTTCATGATTATCCTGAGGTTATGGGGTTTGGGCTATAACATGCTTAATTGTAACTAGGGTGATTCTTGTTTTCTAGTTATTTTTTAAGGGGGAAAAAAAGTTTATTTCATGGGTGTGGTATCTTCTCTTGATTTTATGAGGATATTAATTTTATAATACATATTTTTAATCTTTGATCTCTGGCACTGTCTGTTTCCTCTGTTATTTTGTCTATTTATTTGGTGTCTGTCTTTTAGTTGGTCATCTCTCAGATACCTGTGGTCTCGGGCACACAGCTGATTGGAAACTGCATGGACTCTTCAGAGTGGGTGCCTGGATGGGAGGCTGGCCTTTTCATTTCTTGAATCCCATGTTGGTGTATATAGGTTTTCTTTCTCTGGGGCTGGTTTTTCAAGAGAAGACTCCCTTGTCTTTGCCTGAGGAGTGGAGGGTGGTGTGGTGTTTGTCTGCTGCCCTCCTGTGAGGAGCAGCAGAAGTGGGGGGCCTGAAGCTTCTGAGGTTTGCCACTCAGGTTCTCTCTTCACTTTTTTGGGGGGTCTCCTTTCCCCACCCCTTCCCCCTCTGACCCTGGTGTTCTCAAGTCTAGACTTCTCTTGTTTAATGTATCCAGTGGGGGAGGGAAGGGGCCGTAGGTGTCTAGCTGTTGCACTTGCAGCCTTCAGCCAGTCCCCCCACATCTGAGTTCCCACCTTCCCCTTTCATGCAAGGTGCCTGCCACCTCCTACGACCTCCTGAGCCTTCTGATATCCTGGGTGAAGGGAGGTTTTCCCCTCTGCAGTCCTCATGTTGTGGCATCTTTCAGTCTGTGAAATCTGTTCATACTTTTGCCCCCTCCTTGCCAAAACTGTCCCTGTTGTTTGGGTTCTTCGCTGTTTTCATTTTCGGGGGTTGGAAGGATGAGCTGTACAAGCCCTCAGTCTTTCTGCCATGTTTAACCAGAAGCCCCCTGTATTCTAAATAGTGTGTCTGTGAGTTGGATGGAATTGAATTAAGGGCCATCTGTGGGATGTGTGTGCGTGGAGATGCGTGCACAGCCCTCTTTATGTACACGGGTGTGGGAGTATTTTTGTCCGAGCACCACTCGACTGCCTTTTCCCCATGATCGAGCATGACTCTCTTTTTGTGTCAGAACCTCAAGAACTGCCATTTGCTGTGGTCGCTACAGAGCATGGTGAGGCCCAGAGGTAAGGCTGGTTTTGATGTCTGGTCATTGGCACAACCTTCTTACACATATGGAGGGTGAACTTCTCTGTCCTTCCCTCCAGACGCCTTGAGAAAGGGAGTCCAAAGCCCCGGAGGCAGAGAGTTCAGCCAGCTGCAGGGGGTGATGGTGTCACCACCACTATCTGCTGAACTCCTCTGTGCCAAGGAGCATTGCATCAGGGTGCTGGTGGCACACCTGGGGATCATCATCTCTTCCTTCTAAAGCAGCTGTCTGTCTCCACTTTGTCACTGAGAAAACAGTAAGTGCAGGAGGTGACATTTGGCCCCTGGCCCCCTCTTCCTTCTGGAAACTTGTGTGTAGAGAGAGAGCTACTGCCTGCAAAGGGGGTTCATCCTCTATAGGGAGTGTTTGCCCCAGAGAGTGTTTACCTAGAGGTTAGGTGGGAGTTTAGATTCAGCGTTGGTTATTATTTGGGGGATGATAGAACCAATCTTGGTTTTTTTTACCCCCCTGTGTTTTTTTCTGTGAGTCTCTGTGAGGACATAGGGTTTAGGAAGGTGGGGAGGAATGCTTTCTCCTGGGCTGAAGGAAGTCACTTGCTGCCAGAGACAGGCCAGCCTGATTTGTCTTCTTCTTTTGTGCCCAGATTCCAGCTTGCTCCAGGTGACATCATTCCTACAGGGGAAAGGCTTTGGGTGTAAACAATGGCACTGCCGGGCAAGCCAGGGACAGCTGCAGCTGGCTGGGACGTGGCCTTCCTCCTCGGTGTGTGTGTGCTCAGCTCAGCCTTTCTGCCATCCTGAGTTTTCTTTAAAATTATCTTCATAGTTTTAAAAAACAAATAGCAAATCTGTTTGGAATTAATACACAGTGTTTTATGACCCTTACTGCTGAATTCTTTTGAAATGGGAAGTCAAAACACAGTAGAACACGGGCGAGGCAGATGATTAGTATTGCAGCGTGACAGCACCTGGAATTTAAGTGGCTCATGCTGGTGAAGAGAGATCCAGGGATCTAATCTGGGAGCTGGTTTAGGGATGATACTTTTCTGTAATTTTTTTTAAGATTTACAGTTTTTCTGTATCAAGCGTATATTTCTTTTGTTACTAAAAATGTGATGGAGAAATAAATGAGCAGTACTGGGATTATCCACTTCCATAAGGCCATCTATTGTAACATCAGAGGGTGACTGCAGTAAATAGCTACGTTTATTGCCCCAAAGTGGGAAGCCTTGAAACTGGGGCAGTTTAGTGTGGTTTAAATTAGTCACAGTAGAGTGTTTATCTCAAGAGGGTTTTCTGAGAATCTCCCTGCATCTCTGTCTTCCTGAGAATTAAAGGGGTCCACTAGCAGATCCTAAACACCTGGGAGTTTGTCCTCATGGTGTTTGAAGGTCTGCTCTCTGTACCAGCACCCTTAAACTGTGACACTTAAACTGTGACACACCAACGTGGGGACGGGTCCCCAGTGCACAGGAGGAGGTAGAAGCACAGGTGCCTGGTCTACCCAGCACCACCCAGAGCAGCCCTGCTGGGGAACGGAGGCTTCCCTGGCTGCATAGGAGTCTGGAGAGATGAGCACTGTCAAAAGCTGATAATTGGGTGGGCTGGAGAGAGAACAAGAGCAGAACCACGGTGAGGTGACAGCCGCCATTGGTCGAGTGCCTGCTGAGGACAAGTGCTGGGTCAAGTGCGGGGGTCTTTGTTCTCTTGTTTATTCCTTACAGCAGACCTGGGAGGTGGGAGATTAACATGGTATGTTCATCTTAATCCACGAGGAAATAGACCTCAAGTCACAGTGTGGAGTGGAGGCGAGATGCAAACCCAGTGTTTCAGATTTGAGACTGCCGGGGGTGGTGTGGGGAGAAGGCTGGGTGGCGGCGTGGGGCCAGCATGTTGGGCCGGGGGGGTCTGGACTTGACCCTGGCGCGGTGGGGGGTGATGTGGAAGGTGTGTGAGCAGGTGCTCCCCGTGGTCTGTGTTGCTGTGTGAGCCGTGGCTCTGGTGGAGGGGACCCAGCTGACCATGTGGTTCCGGCAAGGGGCTTGCAACTAAGTGCTGGAGAACCCCCCAGTTCTCCACTGGGGGTGGGGAGTGCTTCTTGTGTCCTCACCATACGCCTCAATGCTTCTTTGTTTTTCCTTTCCTCTTATTTTAAATTTGTTGCTTCCTATATATGCTGTCTCCTTGGGGTGCGTGGTCTTCTGGGGATGGCTCATGTCTCCCATAAGGAACACTGGGTTACCAGGAACCCCACTTTCCCCACTCTGTGGTTTCCTCAAACCTTATTTTCAGGCTGTTTATTCTTGGAGAGTTTGTGCAGTGTTCTGCAGGGACCTCACCCATTTGGGCTTCTGCAGGTAGAATGCCTGGATTGTGCTATAGCTGAGCCCAGCCTTCAGCTTTCCAGATGAGCCAGTGCCTCGCTCTTAGGGAACAGAAATGTGGGCGCTTTAGGGCTCTTTGAAAGCCACCTCTGCTTTTCTTTTTTCTTTTTCTTTTTCTTTTTCTTTCTTTCTTTCTTTCTTTCTTTCTTTCTTTCTTTCTTTTTTTTTTTTTTTTTGAGATGGAGGCTCCCTCTGTCGCCCAGGCTGGAGTGCAGTGCATGATCTCGGCTCACTGCAACCTCCACCTCTTGGGTTCAAGTGAGTCCTGTCTCAGCCTCCTGAGTAGCTGGGATTACAGGCATGCACTACCACGCCCAGCTAATTTTTGTATTTTCAGTAGAGTCAGGGTGTCGCCATGTTGGCCAGGCTGGTTCCGAACTCCTGACCTCAGGTGCACCTCAGCCTCCCAAAGTGCTAGGATTACAGGTGTGAACCGCCACACCTGGCCTACCCTTGCTTTTCTGACAGTGCCACGTAGGGAGCCTCTGCAAGCTGGAGGTGTGGTGGGGGTTGGGTTAGGCTGTCATCGAGTGAGGCAGCAGAAGTGTCCCCTCAAACCCACCTGGTTCCCCCACCCTGATATGCACACAAGTTCATCATCATCTTGCAATGTATTCATGTCCATACTTTACCCTCTGAACCAGAAGGCAGCAAACTGCAACCCCGATTGCAGCCCACCTCCTGTTTTTGTAAATATGGCTATTCTCTTTTATGTATTGTCTGGGGCTACTTCCATGCTACGACGACAGCCTCAGGCAGAGTTGAGCAATTGCAGCAGAGAGCTCTGTGTGGCCAGCAAAGCTGAGTACATTTACTGTCTGGCCCTTTACAGACAAACTTTGCAGATCTCTCCTGCTGCAGGAGTGCAGGGTGGAGTCTCCTGTCTCCATGTCCCCAGCACCAAGTGACACAGGGTCTGGCACACACATTGGTCAGTAAACGTTTGAGTATTTGAAGTAGGTGAGGTCGCCTTACTTACGTTAAAGGTTTTTTTGCCAGACATTGATTGGTGTGTTGGGGAAAGATAGACTTCTTTCATCTTGTCCCTGGATTTCGTGGTGATGGTTCTTGGCTGAGACTTAACAAGTAAACTGTCCAGTGGCCACGTCCTTTTCTGGCCCACATTGTTACTTCCTGAAGCGTTTATCCAGCCTGCTATCAATTTCCATGCCTGTGGAATCATGATTTTTGGTATGTTTTGTCTAGCAGTGGGATCTTTCCGTTCGTTCTATAAAGAGACATTCCACCTTTCTCTCTCACTGCCCCCAGCCTCACGGCCAGGGCACGTTGCAGCACTCATTGTGTCCCCCTGAGGTCGGGCCTTGGGCCTTTGTCACTATTGTGAGTGGAGGAAAGAGCCATGAAATCTCTAGGTGCCCACATGTGAAGAGTGAAGTGACTGGATTTGCCTTGGGTGAGAATCTGGCTGTTGGTGGCATGGCGTAAATAAAATGCTTGTTTTTGAAGCTGTCCAGGATCATCATCTGTACAGTTGGCCAGAAAGCAGCTGTTGAGCCTGGGCTGACTTATATCAGAACCCATTGTGCCGCCTTTCGTGTCTGCACCGGTACTCCCACTGGGAAAGCAGATTCCAGGTCGTGGGGCATTCAGTCTGCAGCCTGGTGGCGTCCAGTGCAGCCTGGGCTCCAAGCCTGGCCCTGCACTCGGCAGCCTTGTGACCTTGGGTGCGTTACTTTTCTTTTCTTTCTTTCTTTTTTTTATTTTTTTATTTTATTTTAAGATGGGTGTCTCACTCTGTTCCCAGGCTGGAGTGCAGTGGCATGATCTTGGCTCACTGCAACCTCTGCCTCCCGGGTTCAAGCGATTCTCCTGCCTCAGCCTCCCGAATAGCTGGGATTACAGGCGCGCGCCACCATGCCCAGCTAAATTTTGTATTTTTAGTAGAGACGGGGTTTCACCATGTTGGCCAGCATGGTCTCGATCTCTTGACCTTGTGATCCACCCACCTTGGCCTCCCAAAGCACTGGGATTACAGGCGTGAGTCACCCGCATCCTGCCGGGTGTGTTACTTTTCTATCCTGATTGACTGAACCTTAATGTCCTTCTCTGTCAAACAGGCAGTAGTATCTTCCAGAAAGTGCTGTTATGAAGGGGAGTAGAGCACATGAGGGCTTAGCAGGGTGCCTGGCCCTTGAAGTGCTGGTGGCCACTGATCTCCCCTGAATGCGGAGCCGTAGTGGTTCCTGGTGAATGACAGGTCATCCCAGTGCCCTGGTCAGGCATCTGACACTGGCTGGCACTCAAGTGTGGAGTGAAATTAATCCTGTTACCCGGAAATGGCTTTTGATAAATTAATTACAGGGCAGAGATGTTCCCTCTGGTGGACAGATAGCAGGAACCTGTTGGACAGGCGGGCACTGTCTGGAGAGGCGGGGCTTGGATGTGAAGTTGCCGTTGTTGGCGAATCTTTCTGGTTGTTTTTGTTCCAGCACAGCCTGGGAGCACTTCTTTAGATTATGTGCCAAAATATGCAACCTGGATTCTTTTTCAATGTTCTTTTCTCCATTGATTTGTTCCCAAATCTATCTTCATATGGGTTTTAGGCCCCTTTTTCATCTGCCTAATGGCAATATTTTCTTTTAGGCTGGCAAGTTTCAGAATGCTCTAGCTCCCCGTGGCAGTGTCTCTGAGTGGCTTCTGTGGGAAAGGAGGGCTTACAGCAAGGGGGCACATAGGCTGGACTTCTTTCCAGCAGGCATCATTGGGTTGTGTCTGCTTCATATGTCATACTGAGGTTCCAAGTCAGATTCTGTTGGAGAGAAAACGAATTCTGTTGCCTACAGAAGGGAGAGAAGGTGAGGTAAAGCCGTGGCCATAAGCCAGGTTTGACTTATGCTAACCTGCGAGGACTTGGTGCGTCTATGCCGGGTCTAGTCCCACAGACCTAGGGGTGAGTCAGAGCTGGATGGAAATGCCTCAGACCCGCTGGAGAGCTGTTCTCTTGCCTCAGCCGGCTTCCTGCTTCACACTTGGATGCTCACCGGTGCTTTCTCCCTGCCTCCGGATAGGCTAGTTTAGCTTGGGGTATGCATGTGTGTTGATGGATGGAAACTCGGCAGGTATTTGAAGCCTGGTAAAGCCCTGCTAACAGCGCCCTGGCCTGATGTTTGTGAAAAGCAGCTGGCAAGCAGTGGGGCCAGATGCTTGTGGGCGGGGCCAGCCTCGCACTCAGCCGGTCAGTGGAGATCCCTGCAACGGGAGGAAATCCGAATGATTCTGGTTTATTTTGGAGTTGTGTCCAGTGAAAGATCTCCTGACTGCCGTAAAGCAGGTGTGTATACACAAACTTTGTAAAGGACCAGGCAGTAACTGTTCTGGGCTTTGTGGGCCATAGATGGCCTCTTGCTTATTTCTCTTCAGGCTGCCGGCCCCTGCTCTGATGGAACGTTGAGGCTGGAAGATTCTCCACTTGTGCAGTCTTCACTGTGGAGAGTGTAATTGTCCTCGTAGGGGCTGCTTTCATTCACTGCAGCAGTGACTCGCCTGGTTCCTTGTTGGTATCCCAAGTTTATATAGGAAAATAGGATCCAATCCCAGGCTTGTAAGAGGTGGCTGATTCCACAGTAAGCCATTTCTTTCTGCTACGTTTTTTTTTTTTAGACAGATTTTTCCCTCTGTCGCCCAGGCTGTAGTGCAGTGGCCCAATCTCCGTTCACTGCAACCTCCACCTCCCAGGCTCAAGCAGTTGTCCTGCCTCAGCCTCCCCAGTGGCTGGGATTACAGGCGTGCATCACCACGCCCAGCTAATTTTTTTAAATATAGTTTTAGTAGAGACAGAGTTTTACCATGTTGCTCAGGCTGGTCTTGAACTCTTGGGTTCAAGTGATCCGCCTGCTTCAGCTCCCCAAAGTGCTGGGATTACAAGCGTGAGCCCCGGCGCCTGGGTAGTAAACCATTATTTCTGTGGCTGTCAGTTGTCAACATTGATGGGCTTGATTTTAGGGTCAGTGCTTGTCTAGGCCACTCCTTCAGTAGATGAGGAAACAGGTCTAGAGAGGCCAATAGCGTGCCCAACAAGTGCAAAACTTGGTTAAAAGGTTGGGGGCACTGGCTGGGTGTGGTGGCTCACGCTTGTAATCCCAGCACTTCAGGAGGCCAAGGTGGGCGGATAACTTGAGGTTAGGAGTTTGAGACAAGCCTGGCCAACATGGTGAAACCCTGTCTCTACTAAAATACGAAAATTAGCTGGGCGTGGTGGCGCGCACCTGTAATCCCAGCTACTCGGGAGGCTGAGGCTGGAGAATCACTTGAACCTGGGAGGCAGAGGTTATAGTGAGCCAAGATTGTGCCACTGCACTCCAGCCCGGGCGACAGTGTGAGCCTCTGTCTCAAAAAAAGAAAAGAAAAGAAAAGATGGAGGGCATTAAAGAAAACATTGTACAAGCAGGTTAAGTGCAGATGTTAGTCCAATGTGTTTCTTGTACTGGCTTCACCAAGGCTCTGTGATTGGAAGGGGTGGAAAACATTTCACCTGGAACACAGAAGGTGCCCAGTTAATATTTGTTGGGTGGTTGAATTTACTGGGAGGACATAGTTCAAGGAATAGTTGTAGACAGACTGACATCTCGTAAACACAATTCTAAATTTCTAGGAGAGTGTCTCATGTTTGGGCGAGGTTTTTTGTTTTTTGAGATGGATTCTCACTCTGCTGCCCAGGCTGGAGTGCAATGGCGCAATCTTGGCTCACTGCAGCCTCTGCCTCCTGGGTTCAAGTGATTCTGCTGCCTTCAAGTGATTCTCCTGCTTTAGCCTCCCGAGTAGCTGAGATTACAGGCGTGCACCACCATGCCTGGCTCCTTTTTGTATTTTTAGTATAGACGGGGTTTCACCATGTTGGCCAGGCTGGTCTTGAACTCCTGACCTCAGGTGATCCTCTCGCCTCGGCCTCCCAAAGTGCTGGGATTACAGGCGTGAGCTACCACGCCTGACCTGAGCAAGGTTTTTTTCCTTTTGTTGCCACTAGGGTATGGGGAAGTATGAATCAAACCTTCTCAGAGAAGTGTGGTGTGTGCCAGGTAGTTACACTGAGAGCTGTGTGTGTCCATTCTACCCTTTTCCCTCAGGCCTGGTCAGCACAGAGTCAGAGAAAGTAGAGGCCAGGGCAAACAGCTTTTAAGAGGACTTTTGTTGTTGTTGTTGTTGTTGTTTTTTGAGATGGAGTTTCGCTCTGTCACCCAGGCTGGCGTGCAGTGGCGCGATCTCAGCTCACTGCAAGCTCCCCTTCTGGGTTCATGCCATTCTCCTGCCTCAGTCCCCCAAGTAGCTGAGACTGCAGGCGCCTGCCACCACGCCAGGCTCATTTTTTTTGTATTATTAGTAGAGATGGGGTTTCACCGTGTTAGCCAGGATGATCTCGATCTCCTGACCTCGTGATCACCCGCCTCAGCCTCCCAAAGTGCTGGGATTACAGGCGTGAGCCACCATGCCTGGCCCCCGAGGACTTTTTAAGTAATATTTATATAAACAAATGTATTTCTGGTCAGTTTTCAGAATTAAATGACATTTTAGCTGGGCATGGTGGTTCACGCCTGTAATCCCAGCTACTTGGGAAGCTGAGGCAGGTGAATCGCTTGAACCTAGGAGGCAGAGGTTGCAGTGAGCCGAGATCATGCCACTGCACTCCACCCTAGGTGACAGAGTGAGACTCCGTCTCAACAAAAAGAAAAAAAATCACATTTGATTTAAGAAATCATTCGATGTTGCCAGGCACGGTGGCTCATGTCTTTAATCCCAGCACTTTGGGAAGCTGAGGTGGGTGGATCACTTGAGGCCAGGAGTTTGAGACCAGCCTGGGCAACATGATGAAATCTTGTCTCTACTGAAAATACAAAAATTAGCCAGGTTTGGTGGCACACACCTGTAAGCCCAGCTACTCAGGAGGCTGACACAGGAGAATTGCTTGAATCTGGGAGGTGGAGGTTGCAGTGAGCTAAGACGGTGCCACTGCACTCCAGCCTGAGCTACAGAAAGAAACTCTGTCTCAAAAAAAAAAAAAAAAAAAAAAAGAAAAAGAAAAAAAGAAGAAGAAGAAAGGAAAATCATTCAATGTGAAATCTTGCCATGCCTTTCTTTTTCTTGAGACAGGATCTCGCTCTGCCCTCAAGAGGCTTGCAATCTAGCCCACGGAACGATGCTCTTATTAATTATGACTTTTGGGGAGTGGGACAGCAACTCCCTGGACCTAGCCTCAGGGAGGGAGATTTAAAATGGCCCATGGACCCCAGGGCAAGGAAGCAGCCAGGTCATGGGCACCGCAGTCAGGATTGGGCACGTGGGACTGACTCCCATTCTGAGCATTGGTGCCCTTTGCTCCAGTGCAGGAGGTGAGCTCTGGGGAGGGCTGCTGGGGTCAAGCAGCTGCTGGCAGGTAACTTGGGGGCAGTGAGTGCTTGGAAGCACTTTTGCTGGTATGTTTCTTCATTGTGCCAGACTCTCTTACGCCCTCTAGTACATTCAGCATCCTTGGGCTTGGCCACTGAATGTGGGCAGCAGTCCCATCATTGTGACATCAAAAATGCTCCTGCACATTTGCAAACACCCTGGTATTCCTTGGCCCATGGCAGCAGCTGAATAAACTGGGATTTGGGTGAGGGAAGGGAGTTAAGTAACCAACCAGCATGGCTGAAGCCATGTGGGGCGGAGAGGAGAATTTCCTTGAAGAAGGGCACAGTGTCGGCCCCTGGTTGTGTCCCCTGCTCACACAGATCGGACGTAGGACCGCTTATCCCTCGGCATCCATCTTCCTGCGTTCTTCATGAGCATTTCTTGATACGAATTGCATGCGGATCTGTCCCTCAGTGATTGGCAGATCTTAGGTATCAGTCAATACCTGTTAAATGAATGAAAGGATGGTTTGCGCACTTGCGTGTTTGACACGGCACCAGCTCAGTCAGCGTCTTTTGTCTCACTTTTTTTGGCCCCTGTTTGTAATCGATTTTCACTCCCTATGTTTCATTTGGATCATAATATAGTTGTGTGTGTGTGTGTGTTTTTTTGATGGAGTCTTGCTCTGTTGCCCAGGCTGGAGTGCAGTGGTGCGATCTCAGCTCACTGCAAGCTCTGCTTCCCGGGTTCACGCCATTCTCCTGCCTCAGCCTCACGAGTAGCTGGGACTACAGGCGCCCACCACCACGCCTGGCTAATTTTTTGTATTTTTAGTAGAGAAGGGGTTTCACCGTGTTAGCCGGGATGGTCTCGATCTCCTGACCTAGTGATCTGCCTACCTCAGCCTCCCAAAGTGCTGGGATTACAGGAGTGAGCCACCGCACCTGGCCCATAATATAGAGTTTTATCTTTAAAATCATCCTTTGGGGTACAGATTGCCCCCCACCACATCGCATGTGTTCCTCCTGGCCTGCATGGTGTCAGAACAAGATGGTGAAATGGCAAACCTTGCTTCCGCAGCTACCACCAAGTGCCTTTTACCAGTCAGTGGTAAAATGGGGAATTATAGTTGTTGCCATTATGTCATTGAGGACATGTTAAACATATGCCTTAATTATTGCTTTAGCTTTGTTTTCCAGTGAGAAGTGATGATCACTTATACAAGTGTTTTATTTTTTTGTTGTTTTTGTTCTTGTTGTTGAGATGGAGTCTTGCTCTGTCACTCAGGCTGGAGTGCAATGGCACAATCTCGGCTCACTGCAACCTCTGCCTCCTGGGTTCAAGTGATTCTTCTGCCTCAGCCTCCTGAGTAGCTGGGATTACAGGTGTGCACCACCATGCCCAGCTAATTTTTGTATTTTTAGTAGAAACGGGGTTTCACCATGTTGGTCAGGCTGGTCTTGAGCTCCTGACCTCGTGATCCACCCACCTCGGCCTCCCAAAGTGTTGGGATTATAGGCGTGAGCCACCGTGCCCGGCCTACAAGTTTTGTTTTTTAAGAGATAGGATCTTGCTCTGTTGCTCGGGCTGGAGTACAGTGGCCTGATCATAGCTCACTGCAGCCTCAAGCTCCTGGGCTCAAGTGATCCTCCTGCCTCAGCCTCCTAAGTACCTGGGGCTACAGGTGCATGCCACCATGCCCTGCTAATTATTTTTATTTTTATTTATTCATTTTGAGATGTAGTCTCCCTCTGTCACCCAGGCTGCAGTGCAGTAGGGCAATCTCAGCTCACTGCAACTTCTGCCTCCCGGCTTCAAGCAATTCTCATGTCTCAGCCTCCTGAGTAGCTGGGATTATAAGCATGCACCACCATCTCTGGCTAATTTGTGTAATTTTAGTAAAGATGGGGTTTCACCATGTTGGCCAGGCTGGTCTCAAACTCCAAACCTCAGGTGATCTGCCCACCTCAGCCTCCCAAAGTGTTGGGATTATAGGTGTGAACCACCATGCCCGGCCTATTTTAATTTTTTTAGACACAGTGTCTTGCTGTGTTGACCAGGCTGGTCTCAAACTCCTGGCTTCAAGCAGTCCTCCCACCTCAGCCTTCCTGAGTAGCTGGGATTATAGGCATGAGCCACTGAGCCCATCAAGTGTTTGGTTTTTGGTAAGGAAGCTTAGAACCTATTGCCAAGGTTGGGTATGGAATAAAAAGCAGTGAAGCTCTTAGTCCTCAGTGCCTGGCACACAGGCCCTTGGTCGGCACTTAGTATTTGTTTTTGTTGTGTTTTTTTTTAAGATGCAGTCTCGCTCTGTCGCCTAGACGGGAGTGCAGTGGTGCAATCTTGACTCACTGCAGCCCAGGTTCAAGCAATTCTCCTGCCTCATCCTCCTCAGTAGCTGGAATTACATATACCTGCCACCATGCCTGGCTAATTTTTGTGTTTTCAGTAGAGACAGGGTTTCGCCATGCTGGCCAGGCAGGTCTCGAACTCCTGACCTTAAGTGATCTGCCCACCTTAGCCTCCCAAAGTGCTGGGATTACAGGCGTGAACCACCACGCCCAGCCAGGCGCTTAGTATTTTGAGTGAGTGAGTGAGTGAGTGAGTGAGTGAGTGAACTGATGAGGAGAGCACTAGTAGACTCATGGACACCTGTAGCACATTAGAAAGTGGCAGAGGAGGGAAGCTTCTTTCTTGGAGGGCTTTTCAAGGTTGTCTCTTCAAAGGGGCAAGTGCGGATGGCATAGCCCCCATGTGGTCTCTCCCTTGCTAGCCCTGGGGAGTTCTTGCTTTCTGTTTTCCATGTGTGTAGCTTAGAGAGCCCTTTTGTTGCCTAAGCAGATGTTTTCTCTCTGGGTACTAGTTGTTTATTTTGAAAAGTGTATATACTTGATTATTTCTGAAGGATAATACTCTGGCTGCCCTCCTTTGATTTGGTTTTGCTTGCCCTTGAGATGAACAGCCGTGGTGTAAGTGGGTTGTGTACCTCCCCTATTCTGCTAGCCTTATTTTCAGTGTTATACATGGATGTGTTAAAGTACTGAGCATTTATTTTTCCATCTTGAGCTGTCCTTGACTTGGAGAGGGCTCTGTTGAAGTTTACATGTCAGTGTGGTTGGTGTGCAGTAGACTCCAGCCAACTCAGAGTGAGAGGAATTAACAGCAGGTGGGGGTTGGGGGGGTACTCCACAGATCGCCTCGGGGTGTCTACATAAATGCCCTGTAAATGTGAATGAACAGCCTGTGGGTGGTGAGAGCAGTTTTCTAAGGACAGTCCAAAGCCATCTTCAGATCTTCAAGGAGATCCATGATTCGTGAAGGATTCACTCCTCTGGATCAGAGGTTCTGCTGTAGTGACACTCTTTTTTTTTTTTCTCTCTCTTTTTTTTTTTTTCTTCTCTATTTCAAAGGCAGATCGGGAGCGGTGCCGAGAAAAATTTCCTTACTAGATGACATTTCATCGCAATGTCCGATCGTTTGGGGCAAATTACCAAGGGCAAGGATGGGAAAAGCAAGTACTCGACTCTCAGCCTGTTTGATAAGTATAAAGGAAAATCAGTAGACGCGATTAGATCCTCAGGTAAGGCCCAGGGTTGAAGGCCAGTTCCTCAAACTTTCTCCGAGTGACATATCCCAGAAACCCAGAGTCCCTCACCTGGTTAGACAGATGTGGTCCGTGCACACCAGGCTTCTGGGTGTGCATGTAGAATCACTCTCTACTTCCTACTTGAGGTATGATTTCAGAGCCTTGAGCATCCTGACTCTTTCTGTAGTGGAATTTTCTCCATCTATTACCTTATTGAAGCTGGGGAGATATATCTATAGATATCTATAGATAGATAGATAGATATCTATCTATAGATATCTATAGGTGTGTGTGTATGTGTGTGTGTGTGTGTGTGTGTGTGTGTGTGTGTATATATATGTTTTGGAGACAGAGTCTCACTCTGTCACCCAGGCTGGAGTTCAGTGGCATGATCTCAGCTCATTGCAACCTCCACCTTCTGGGCTCAAGCGAGTCTCTTGCCTCAGCCTCCCGAGTAGCAAGGATTACAGATGTGTGCCACCACGCCCAGCTAATTTTTGTATTTTTAGTAGAGATGGGGTTTCCCCATGTTAGTGAGGCTGGTCTCAAACTCGTGACCTCAGGTGATCCACCCGCCTCGGCCTCCCAAAGTGCTGGGATTACAGGTGTGAGCCACTGTGCCTGGCCAAAGCTGTGGATTTTTATCCTGATGGGTAGAATGGGACTTAATAGGCATTAGTGTTATCCTTTTTTTTTTTTTTTGAGACACAGTTTCGCTCTTATTGCCCATGCTGGAGTGCAATGGCGTGATCTCAGCTCAGTGCAACCTTCACCTCCTAGGTTCAAGTGATTCTCCTGCCTCAGCCTCCTGAGTAGCTGGGATTACAGGCATGTGCCACCACGCCCGGCTAATTTTGCTTTTTGTTTTTTGTTTTTCTTTTTTGAGACGGAGTCTCACTCTGTCATGCAGGGTGGAGTGCAGTGGTGTGATCTTGGCTCACTGTAAGCTCTGCCTCCCGGGTTCACGCCATTCTCCTGCCTCAGCCTCCCAAGTAGCTGGGACGACAGGCGCCCACCATCATGCCTGGCTAATTTTTTGTATTTTTAGTAGAGACGGGGTTTCACCGTGTTAGCCAGATCGGTCTTGATCTCCTGACCTCGTGATCGGCTTGCCTCGGCCTCCCAAAGTGCTGGGATTACAGGCGTGAGCCACCGTGCCCAGCCTAATTTTGTATTTTTAATAGAGATGGGGTTTCTCCATGTTGGTCAGGCTGGTCTCGAACTCCCGACCTTAGGTGATCCACCCACCTCGGCCTCCCAGGGTGCTGGGATTACAGGCATGAGCCACTGCGCCTGGCCAGTGTTATCCTTAATAAAGAATTTTTTTTTTTTTTTGAGACGGAGTCTCACTCTGTTGCTCAGGCTGGATGGAGTGCAGTGGCGCAATCTCGGCTCACTGCAAGCTCCACCTCCTGGGTTCACGCCATTCTTCCGCCTCAGCCTCCTGAGTGGCTGGGACTACAGGCGCCCGCCATCACTCCCGGCTAATTTTTTGTATTTTTAGTAGAGACAGGGTTTCACCGTGTTAGCGAGGATGGTCTCGATCTCCTGACCTCGTGATCCGCCCGCCTCGGCCTCCCAAAGTGCTGAGATTACAGGCATGAGCCACCGCGCCCGGCCATCCTTAAAGAATTTTTTAAATTTTGTTTTAAAATTTATTTATTTATTTAGAGACTGGGTTATGAGACTGGCTAATTTTTGTATTTTTAGTAGAGACAGGGTTTTGTCACATTGCCCAGGCTGGTCTCGAACTCCTGGGCTCAAGCGATCTACCCACCTCGGCCTCCCAAAGTGCTGCAATTACACGTGTGAGCCACCACGCCTGGTGTGTTATCAGCCTTTTTAGCTTTCATGGTTCTTGATATTCTAGAACTTGTTGGAAAGGTTCTTGTTGATCCTTTTCACACCCCATGAAGACTTCATGAATGTCGAAGGGCTCCTGTTCAGTCTTGTTTTGGATCTAGGCAGAGGCTGTCCCTTTAGTCCTGTAATGAGACCAGAGCTGTCTCAACTTGCAGAGAGGTGGTTCCTCTGTAAGCTGGAGGTTCCTGGGCCTGTCTCCTCACCCATGTTGTAAAGTCTGCGAGCCTTGTCCTGCCCATCAGTGAAATGGAAGCCTTTTTACAGGTTTTAGCAGCTCCTTTGTCCCTGTAGTCTTCAGTGAAGAGCTTGTAAAGTGACTAAAGTGACACCAAACACTTGTTTGTCCCACTGCTGGTCTGCCCTTTGTTTTTTGTTGGGTTAGCTTTGTTATGATCACTTAGAGATTGAAAGAACAGCTGAATGCATCAGGCTTCTTTCCTTCTGTGACCTTTTTGCATGGTGTCTGTTCCATGTCCCTCTCCCTGCAGTTATTCCTAGACATGGCTTACAGAGTCTTGGGAAAGTTGCTGCAGCCCGGCGCATGCCACCGCCTGCAAACCTGCCAAGCTTGAAGTCTGAAAACAAAGGAAACGACCCCAACATCGTGATAGTACCCAAGGACGGGACGGGATGGGCAAACAAGCAGGATCAGCAAGACCCAAAGAGGTAAACGGAGGAGGCGGGTGGTGAGTGGGAGCTGGCGCTCCAAGGGTGGTCCCGGCATCCTTCCCTGTGGCAAACTAACCCTAACCCTTTGGCTACTGCAGCGCTAGTCTTGCAGTGGCAGAATTGGAACACTGGGAGATGCAAATGAAGCTGCTTCCTCTCTGGCCCTGGTGCTTCGTATGTTTCTTTTTCCCTGCCTTCATTTTTTCTGGCTTTTAGAGCCGATGGAGCAGCACATCTGTGGACAACCTTGTCCCCAGTGACCACTTTCCCCCTGTGCCTTATTAGGAAAGGCCTCATCACCCCAGAGGAGCTTATGCAATGACTCAGAGCCAATTCCTGTAAGAAACACTGTGGACAGAGCTGGGGCTTGAGGACTTCATTCCTGGTGATGGGTGTCCCTGTGAGCTGAGCTCTGCAGAGAATCATGCAGCTTCCCTAACCATCGGCCCAGCAGCTTCCCAGACAGAGGAGACTTCTGCTGTTGCTCTAAACAGACCTAGTCATCAGTGAGAACAGCACAGAATCCTCCAGGATCACTGTACTGCAGCCTCCCTGGAGGCTCACCTCCTGCCAGCACAGTACTTACAGAAACCCTAGGGGGCAGAGGGTGGCATGGTGCTGTCAATCAGAGAAACAGCCCCTGTGTGGTGGGCTGAAAACACAGGGCCTGGCTGCCTGGGGCCCACTTGGATGGCTGCACCTTTGTCTCCTGCTGCAAGTCCTCTCTGAGTGTTTAGCCAGTGCTAAGACAATTCAGGGAAGGGGATGTGTTCAGGGAGGGACAGGGCCTTGCTGAGGCTGGCAGGCAGAAATCTGCTGCTGGGGTTTGCCTGTTAAGGAATGTGAACAAAGCTGTCTGGCGGCAGCGCCCTCCTGGCCTGCATCTCTGGTGGCCTCCCTGCTGATGTAGGAAACCAGACGGTAAAAGGGACCCAGATCTCAGCCTGCTGACCCCAGCATCCTTTTCTTACAAGTCTGTGCTAGAAATGACCATGGTAGCTTTTGTAAAATTGTTGCCTGTATTTACTTCAGACAGGATGTAGAGAGTGAGCTAGTTTAGTTATTCAGCTAGATGATTATAAAGTAGTAATCAAAATAGGGCCTTAGAAGTTATTTTTAAAACATTTCTAAGAGTTTGCTTAGGGATCATATTGATGGACAGTATAGCATGACTTTTGAAATCTACCAGCCCTAAGTGGTTTCCAGCTAGACCACTTATTAGCTTGATGGAACCTGGAGAATTGTTTGACTTCTGAGCCTCAGTGTCCCCCCCTTGAAATAGGAATGATACCTGGCTTTGCTGGTGGTTACACGGTATCCATGAGGCATTGATGGGCTAGCATAGGTCAAGTGCTTAGCCTAAACCTGGCACAGAGGAGGGGCAGATATTGGCTGCTGTCATCATTCCATTCAAATGGTACTCATTCCATTCACACCATGAGCTCTGGAACGAAATGGATATTGCACATTTTAATGGAAGGACTGAAATCCTCTGCACCACCAAAAGTTCTAGAGAGGACAAAGCATTACTCCCTCCTGTTATCCAGCCTTTACTCTGCCTTTGCGGCTCCAGTGAGGGCTAGTTGTGCTGGAGCACGTCCGCCAGGGAAGAGGTGAGGATGGAGTGTTGGTGAGGGCATAGACCCCCGTGTAGTTCTCTGCTGCCCCAGGCCACATCCTCCCACCAAGGTATCAGGTGGCAAGTGGGCCCACAACGTGGGGACTCAGTGCTTAGTTTTGGAGAACACAAAAGTGCGACTACTTGGAAGCTTCTCTTTTAGGTAGAAGGAGATGTAAGAACCCGATCAGTAGCCTTCTGTTTGTAATAATCACGAATGGTGAGTTGCCTGGGTCAGGTGAATCTTGGAAGAGGGTGTCTGTATAGAGTTTGGCTTCCATTTACAGATAAGCCACTTGTATTGGAGGAGTTCCCACCAGGGGGGTGGCTGCCCTCCTTGAATCTCGTTGAGTGAAAAGTTGCCTACTGTGACCGGAGCGCTGAGTTAGAGCAGAAACCTTCATTCGGCCATTTCTTGTTGATTTCATCACTTCACCTGTGGAGTGTAAATTCACTGACACAGCCTTTTTTTGGAGGGCAGCCTGGCAATCATTTAAACTTCAAAATATCTTTTGATCCAGCATTTCCATTTCTAAGGTCGTATGCTATGGAATTACTTACAGAAAAATGGTGCAAAGATATGTATTAAAAAAAATTCTTGGCCGGGTGCAGTGGCTGACATCTGTAATCCCAGCACTTTGGGAGGCCGAGGAGGGTGGATCACCTGAGGTCAGGAGTTCAAGACCAGCCTGACCAACATGGCGAAACCCGATCTCTACTAAAAATACAAAAATTAGCTGGGCGTGGTCGTGCACGCCTGTAATCCCAGCTACTTGGGAGGATGAGGCAGGAGAATTGCTTGAACCCGGGAGGCAGAGGTTGCAGTGAGCCGAGATCATGCCACTGCACTTTAGCCAGAGTGACAGAGCGAGATTCCATCTCGAAAAAAAAGAAAAGAAAAAAAAGTTCTTATTGTAGGTCGGGCGCAGTGGCTCACACCTGTAATCCCAGCACTTTGGGAGGCTGAACTGAGCAGATCACATGAGGTCAGGAGTTCAAGACTGGCCTGGCCAACATGTTGAAACCCCGTCTCTGCTAAAAATACAAAAATTAGCCAGGCGTGGTGCTGCATAACTGTAATCCCAGATATTCGGGAGACTGAGGCAGGAGAATCGCTTGAACCTGGGAGAAAGAGGTTGCAGTGAGCTGAGATCATGCCACTGCACTGCAACCTGGGCGGCAGAATGAGACTCCATCTAAAAAAAAAAAAAAAAAAAAAAAAAGCCAAAAAATTCTTATTGCAGTTGTATCTGTAAGGGGGAAGAAAAACCCATATGAGAGACTGGTTAAATTATGACCTGTCTAGTTGTGTTGTGTGCTCATTAAAAGCAAAAGGAAGATCCGTTTCTATGTTGATGAAAAGATGTTCAGATGCATGAAGTAAAAAAGTCATAGAGCTTTATGTATGGGGTCACTCCACTTCTGTTAGAAAAATACTGTATTCCTGCAGTGTAAAACTCTGCTGGTTAAAAACAAAACTGTATTAACAGGTATAGAAAAGTCTGCTTGGAGTTTCTCTCTGGATGATGAGATCATGATGTTCTGTGTTACCTAGTTTTATTTATAAGTTTATTTTTACTATGAGCATGTATTTCTTTTATAAACTCAGAGAAGGTTAAAAAGTCAGCCCTCTGAGTAGGTATGGGCTCTGGGTCTGGGGTAAGGGGCACAAGCCCTTCATTCCAGTGATTGAATTTCCCTATTGGCAAATCCTTCATTTGCATTGTTTACAGTGAGCTTTTAGTTTTTGCAGACAGAAGGCTCTACAAGAAGGCAGAAAAGTTTCATTTTTAAAAAAGAAAGGCCAGGCAAGGTGGCTCAAGCCTGTAGTCCCACCTACTCAGAAGGCCGAGATGAGAGGATTGCTTGAGGCCGGGAAGCAGAGGTTGCATTGAGCCAAGTTTACCCCACTACACTCCAGCCTGGGTGATAGAGTGAGACCCCCTGTCTCAAAAAAAAGAAAAAGAAAAAGTCAGAGGACTGTCTTGTGCTAATTTTAAATGTCAGTGACTAGAACTTAAGCATGGTTTGTTTTCTTATTAGTTTTTGCCAGCATAAGAATCTACTGGGGAAAGTCGTATTTTTATTGGCCAGAGGAGGTCTGCTTCCTGTGAGCAGCTGAACAGCTGTGGCTCCTGAGAACGCAGAGACCTGGCCAGCGCACTCTGTGCGGTGCCTGACCCCACTGCCCTGCCTTTGTCTAGTTCCAGTGCGACGGCCTCTCAGCCGCCGGAGTCGCTGCCGCAGCCGGGTTTGCAGAAATCTGTCTCCAATTTGCAGAAACCGACACAGTCAATCAGTCAGGAGGTAGGTGCTGGGACCCCATCCCAACTGTTTCCTGGGCATGGTAGCCCCTAAATCTCTTTGTTGCTGGGGGATGGAAGGAGTTGCTACTGAGAAGTGTGGTTGTGCATGACCTGTCTATTCCAGAGGCACACCCGATGAGTGACTTTAGAAAACCGTCATGGGAAACCGTCAAGGTCAGTGGTTAAGAAATTTAATCTGCAGCTTTTAGAAAAAGACCTCAGATACAGACTAGGATACAGGCACCTACTTTGGTTCCTCTTGATTTACCGTGAGGCAGGGTCACTCAGGCTGGACTGCAGACTAGTTCAGGGTGAAGCTCCATGGAAGCGTCACGTGAGCTCCATGGAAGCTTGGGTCACAGGAAGACAAAAAGTGGCAGGTCACAAAAAGGTTCACTGGCCAGGTGAGTTTGAAAAACAAAACGAAGCGAGCTCCTTTACTGCGGTACTTCTCAGTGCCTTTCATATGCTAATACCTAATGTGACTCTCTGAGAAGAGGATATAATGGGCAGCAGTCCCTGAATTTATTTGTCCCAGGAAACATTTCTTTACCGAATGTCTCTAGGGACTAATGTCTCTCAGAACACGCTTTGGGAAATACGAAGCTACAATCCTTCATTTGTTGATATGTTTTAAGTGTTTTTCTAAGCAGAAAGTAATGATTTCACCAAGCAAGAGCTCATAACACACTCAGTCCATCAGAGCCTGGCTACAGGTTTCCAGAGATTGGCAGGAGGATATACTTAGCCAGAACTAGAAATCTAGATGAGAAGTCTATGAATTTTTTAGAAGACTAAAAGTAGACGTAGATATCTCATATTCACCAGCTCTCTTGACAGCGGGAATGAACATATTTTGGTTTTGCTTTGCTGCATGGGCAATATAAGGTCTCAAATGTCATCCCCTCTCTGCTTTAACCATACTCAGGGAAGTCTGTGGCTTTGCCAGGGCACCCTCTCCCCACCTAACACTGAACCGTGCTTTTAAAATTAAAGACAAGAAAAGAGGTCTATAATCATGCAAGATGCCCTTTTCCTTGGCCTAAATCCACTGGGACCCATAGGCTAGTCAGAGTATTTAGAGTTGAGTTCCTTTCTGCTTCCCAGAATTTGAAAGAAAAGGAGTGAGGTGATAGAGCTGAGAGATCAGATTTGCCTCTGAAGCCTGTTCAAGATGTATGTGCTCAGACCCCACCACTGGGGCCTGTGGGTGAGGTCCTGGGCATCTATTTGAATGAATTGCTGAAGGGGAGCACTATGCCAAGGAAGGGGAACCCATCCTGGCACTGGCACAGGGGTCACCTTATCCAGTGCTCAGTGCTTCTTTGCTGCTACCTGGTTTTCTCTCATATGTGAGGGGCAGGTAAGAAGAAGTGCCCAGTGTTGTGCGAGTTTTAGAACATCTACCAGTAAGTGGGGAAGTTTCACAAAGCAGCAGCTTTGTTTTGTGTATTTTCACCTTCAGTTAGAAGAGGAAGGCTGTGAGATGAATGTTAGTTGAGTGGAAAAGACGGGTGAGCTTAGTGGTTAGAGACTCGAAAGGGCACTGGACATAGGCAGGCTGGAGACTGGTCCTGGTCCTGCTGTTCTGCATCTGACTCAGTCACTCTTCTCTGAGCCTCAGTGGGGGATGTGACTAGAGCCTTCTCAGGGGGTGGTGAGCATTCAGTCAGGCTGGGTGTGCTTCGCATAATGCTGACCCTGGCGAGTTTTCAGCAGAGGTGACCTCCTAGGGTTCTCAGGAGGGGAGCTGTGCCTTGTAGAGTCACGGTCACTACAGAAAGTGCTGCAGCCAGCCCACCCAGATCAAGATCTGGCATGTTGGCCTTCTTTGTTCACGTTCCTCATTAGCAGCTGCGCAGTTTTAAAGACACATGCCGGAACTGGGCCTTAGTCTTTGTCGCTGGAGCAAAATAAAGTAGCTCTCTGTGGACACGGGAGGTTCCAGAGCACCGAATGGAGAGAAACAGGTTTGGGTCCTGGCTTTGCTGTGTCACTGTCTGTGTGACTTGAAGCTGGTCACTCCCCAAATCCTGCTCCTTGTCTGTAGAGTGGGCCTGGCATTTTCTCGTCCCTGGGACCGCTGTGTGGAGTGTGCGTTACAGGGAAGGTTCAGGGCTTTGCTGCTGCTCAGAAAGTGGTGGTGGATGGATCCGTATAGGGTTTGAATCTAAGGTGCTGGCCTCTCAGCACCTTGTTGTAATAGGCTGTTATTGTACAGTGGAATAAGGGAGCTGGCCCTCTTCTGATTCTCTTCCTTCTTTCAGAATACAAATTCAGTGCCAGGTGGACCAAAGTCATGGGCACAGCTGAATGGAAAGCCAGTAGGACACGAAGGTGGTAAGTGCGCACGTGTGTGTGTTGTTTGGGGACGCTGGGGAGAGGGAGGTGAATGCCTTTTCCAGAATGTCTGGTTGGGTCTAGGCACCCAGAAGCTTTGAGGACTCTCTTCCACAAAGAGGTACCGTCTATGGAGCCCTTGCCTGTGCACAGCGGGCGCTGACTCTGTAGAGGTGCCAGCTCTTTGGTTTCTTTGGATGTGTGCTCTTGCTGAGACAGAGGAGTGCTGACTGGGCTGTGCTGCTGGTGATTTTTGATGATAGCTTGAATGTTTCTAGCATACTGTGCTTCAGACCAAACTAGGCAGCAGCTCTGAGTGGGAAGGAGAGTGGTCGTGGTGTGGGCAGACGATTCAAAGGAATGTACTGGGGAAAGCCCACAATTCACTTTCTCCTGTAAAGCAGCACTGGCTGCCCTTTATTACCCTTTGCCACCATCCTGATATCGCCTTCTGCTTCCTGCACTACCCCTGCCAGCCAAGGCTTCACCAGACTTGGTCTTTAGTAGCCTGTATTAGAAAACCAGCTGCACATCCTTCGTTACCTGAACCTCACCCCCAGCCTGCCATGCCTAGGAGGTCCTGCCCCTTATGGGTTGAAATCCCTGTGCTCAAAGGCTCTTCCCTCAGTCTCCAACGGGAAATGACCGATCAATGTGCCAATTGGATTTCAGTGCCCCAGCTTCTCCCAAGGGGCTGAGGGTACAGATCGAGTGCCAGCAGGAGTGCAGTGGCACAATTATAGCCCATTGCAGCCTCGATCTCCCGGGCTCAAGCAATCCTCCCACCTCAGCTTCCTGAGTAGCTGGGACTACAGGTGTGTACCACGACATCTGGCTGATTTTTTTTTTTTTTCTTTCCATTCTGAGTAGAGACAAGATTTCACTATGTTGCCCAGGCTGATCTCAAACTCCTAGGCTCAAGAGATCCTCCCACTTCAGCCTCCCAAGTAGCTGGGGCTGGGATCACAGGCGCATGCACCACCACGCCTGGCTTATTGATTAATTGATTGACTGAGTGATTGATTGGTTGCGACGAGATCTCACTATGTTGCTCAGGCTGGTCTCCAACTCCTGGGCTCAAATGATCCTCCTACCTTGGCCTCCCAGAGTGCTGGGATTACAGACGTAAGCCACCGTGCCTGACCTCAAAAGGGTCTTTGAAGATGCTTTATGAAGAGCATTCACTGGACTTGTAACTGGTTCTTTGGCTTTCCATATCTTATATTTCTGTAAGGTTAGAATTTTTTGTTTTGTTTTTGTTTTTTTTGAGACAGAGTCTTGCTTTGTCACACAGGCTGGAGTGCAGTGGCACAATAGCTCACTGCAACCTCCATAAGGTTAGAATTTTTAAAAATAGATAGAATATATTAATTTTTATTTAAAAAGAACTACAAAAATTAAAAGAAAAACTTCTGTATAAATTGGCCCAACTCCTATGGAAGCCAGTTTGGCGCTGCCTGGCAAAATAATAACACATAATACCCTTTGACCTAGCAAGTGCACCCTGAGGAAATTGCTCTACAAATTATACTCGCCCGTGTGTGAAATGACTTGCGCATAAGATTATTCACTGCAACATTATAATAGCAAAAGATTGCAAACAGTCCCTTGAAATGCCTGTAAAATTATGGTACTTTAATGAAATGTGATTTGGCTATAAAGAAAAAAAGCAGAAGTTTTCTATTGATTTGGCAAGATCTTCAGGTGAAAAAAAGTACAGAATGGTATGTATAGTATCTTAACCATTTGTGTAAAAAATGGGGGTGAGGGCTGGACACCTGTAATCCCAGGACTTTGGGAGGCTGAGGCAGAAGGATTGCTTGAGTCCGGTAGTTCGAGACCAGCCTGGGCAACATGGTGAAACCCTGTCTCTACAAGAAATACAAAAAATCAGCCAAGTGTGGTGGCAGACACCTGTAGTCCCAGCTACTTGGGAGGCTTGAGGCAGGAGAATCACCTGAGCACCAGAGGTGGAGGCTGCAGTGAGCTGTGGTCACACTCCTGTACACCAACCTGGGTGACAGAGCAAGACCCTATCTTAAAGGACAAAACAGAAAAATGGGAGTGAGAAAAAATACACTTCTAAAAAATGTTGTATATGCATGTTTTAAAAGCCACCCATCTGTATACTGATGTATATGTGTTTAAAAATCTCCAGAAGGTAACAGAAAACTGCCAGTTTTTTTGAGGGAGTCAGAAGGGGGCAAATGGGCATAGGGGTGAGAGGAAGGCTTCTGTGTCTACCTTTACATGGTGTTCACTTCTGAACCATGTCACTGTGTTACCTATAAAAAATGTAGGTAATGTAACTGTATCACAATAAAGCTTGATGGAGAAAATAATTTTAAACTGGACGTGGTGGCACACACCTGTTATCCCAGCTACTTGGAAGGCCAAGGTGAGAGGATTGGTTGAGCCCAGGAGTTTAAGTCCAGCCTGAAAAACATAGCAAGACCCTTTCTCTACACAAAATTTAAAAAAACAAAGAAAATAATTGCAGGCAGAAACCTGCCAGCCCACAGAATCGACACACTGGGCAGGGTGGGGGCCAAGTGTAAAAGTCAGTTTCAGTTCCCCCTCTCGTGCTAGAGTCATGCATCTGTGACACTGTCAGGAGTGTGGGGATTTGAGGGTGTTGCCCACAAGTGTTTTCATGACTCTTTGGAATTCAAAAGGACTTTTCCTGAATTGATAGACTCAGTTGATAGGTCACCTGAAACAGACCCAGGAGACCTGATTGCATGTTTGGGCAGAGGTCAGAGGCTCAGATACCAGCTGCTGCCCCACCAGTGGCTCAGCCTGTGACCTCGGAAGAAGCCCCCTGACTTTCCTGCCTCAGTTTCTCATGGCAGAGAACAGATGGCAGGTGAACATCATAAAACATTGGGACCTTATGAATACTGGTATTTTGGTGTGAGATTTTTTTTTTTCCTACCCTTTATCCTTATTAAGATTAATTCATGCTTACAATAATATATTCATGATTCTCGAAGCAGAAGAAAGAGATGGAACAGCAATGTTGGACAGGTGCTGGTTTTTTTCCTAATTTCAAATCTACCTTTTTTTTTGTTTGTTTGTTTGTTTTTTTTTAGGCAGGGTTTCATTCTGTTGCCCAGGCTGGAGTGCAGTAGTGCAGTTTTGGCTCACTATAGCTTCAGTCTTCTGGGCTCAAGCAATCTTCCCGCCTCAGCCTCCCAAGTAGATGGGACTACAGGCATGCACCACCATGCCCGGCTAATTTTTGTGATTTTTGTAGAGATGGGGTTTCATCATGTTGTCCAGGCTGGTGATACTGTATTTTAAAAATACAGTTTTTATTTGATTCTTGCCAGTGACCTTCTACCATAATGAAGCGACTCTGAGTCAGAGCCCCCTTCACAGAGCACTGGAGCTCCTTCATGACACTTAGAGTCCATCTCTGGCTGGTCATTGGTGAATGGTGTCCAGTCTTACCGTCAGGTTTATTTGACCCTGGACCTTTTTACTAAGGGAGTGGCAAGCGAATTGCTGCCACGTGCTTGTGTGGTGATCCAGCCGCGCCTTTCCGGCACAGTCGGCTTTAGTGAACAGGCCCGTGGATCAGTGGTGCTAAGAATAATTTAAACTACTTAGGGGAAGATTTGGGTTTAGCTGTATAGGGAACAAGGCATTCCACAGGGGGCCATTTGTTGTGTGGTGTCGCCACTGTTCCTAGATTGCTCCTGTCTGGAGTGTGCTGCATATTCCAGATCAAAAGACGTGCCATTTTTAATCTGTTCATCCAAAAATGGTGGCAGAACCTCTGTGCTAAGTTTTCTGTGTAAGGGAACAACATTAGGAAAGGCTTCTTCTCTAAAGCAGGTTGTAATGTCAAGGAATGAATGAAAGAATGAAGAAATAAACTGTTCCCAGGATTATAAGAGTGAAATGTTTGGCCTTGTAGGGCTCAAGGAACTTAGTACAAAATGCGGAAGGACAGGTGAATGAGGAGTTACTCATGTGTATAAATCTAATTTCCACCTGATCTTACCACATTTGATGGTAGAAAGCAGCATTTGTTTATTTTATTTTATTTATTTTATTTTATTTTATTTTATTATTTTTTTTTTTTGAGACGGAATCTCGCTCTGTTGCCCAGGCTGGAGTGCATTGGCACGATCTCGGCTCACTGCAAGCTCCATCTCCTGGGTTCACGCCATTCTCCTGCCTCAGCCTCCCGAGTAGCTGGGACTACAGGCGCCCGCCACCACGTCTGGCTAATTTTTTTTTGTATTTTTAGTATAGATGGGGTTTCACCATGTTAGCCAGGATGGTCCCGATCTCCTGACCTCATGATCCGCCCGCGTCGGCCTCCCAAAGTGCTGGGATTACAGGCGTGAGCCACCACGCCTGGCCTATTTTTTTATTTTTAGAGAGAGGGTCTCACTTTGTCACCCAGACTGGAGTGCAGTGGCACGTTTTCGGCTCACTGCAACCTCCACCTCCCGGGCTCAAGTGATCCTCCCACCCCAGCCTCCTGAGTAGTTGGGACTACAGGCGCCCGCCACCAGACTAATTTTTTGTATTTTTTGGTAGAGACAGGGTTTTGCCATGTTGCCCAGGCCGGTCTTGAACTCCTGAGTTCAAATGATCCACCCACCTTGGCCTCCCAAAGTGCTAGGATTACAGGTGTGAGCCACTGTGCCAGGCAAAAGCAGCATCTTAATCCTTTTGGGGTGGACTGGGGCAGGGATGGCAGCACACTCTGTAGGTGTTGCCTCCACAGGAAAGCAGTTGCCTTCTTGGCCTCCCCTGGGCTGATTTTATAGGAGGCTGTGCTTGTCTGTGGCCCCAGGCAGTCAGTAGAACCTTCCCTGCTGGGGCAGGCTGTGGCCTGGAGCGGCTGTGATGTCTTACCTCTTTCCATTTGTAAGCAGGCACTGGTCCTTGCAGGTCAGCTGGGAAGGGGCATGATGCTGTCAGCAGCAGTCTCCCTTGCCACCCTCAGCACCCTCGTGGCATCTGCCAGCACAGAGCACCCTTGTGACAAGACTCCCTTCAAAAGCCCACTTCCAGGCAACACGGCTTTCAAGGTGTGGAGCTGGGAAGCAGACGACTGTTGACTCCATCTCACTTCCTCCATGTCTACCCCGTCTTCTTGACAGGTTTAAGGGGCTCAAGCCGACTGTTATCCTTCTCTCCCGAGGAATTTCCGACGCTGAAAGCAGCTGGAGGGCAGGACAAGGCTGGCAAAGAAAAGGGCGTCTTAGATCTGTCGTATGGGCCAGGACCAAGCCTCCGCCCTCAGAGTAAGTGACTGCAGCCTCTGGGCACTCGATGGAGTAACAGAACTTCCTCCTCTCATCTCTCTGCACTCCTAAAAGGGTGCTGATGCCACTGGGGTCTCCGGTTCGAGCTGGAAACGTGGCTCTTTGACTCGCCACGTGATCTGTGCATCCATTGGACTTGCTGCCTAGGCCATTGGATTGGGCCTTGTGCCTTTTTTGTCTCTTGGGTTGGGCCAGGCCTGTCCCCTCCCCCTCTGTCATCCGGTTGTTAATTTTGCTGTGCCTGGTGGCTGTGGCAAGGATGGACAAAGGACCAATTAACTTAGGTCCCCGGTTCAAGAGCTTGTTTTCTAAAGCTCCCAATCCTAGCTACATCTAGTCGGAATCACTGGGGAGTTTGTGAATGAGTCTGATTTCCAGTCCTCCCCTCCCCCAGCCCAATTAGGACCTGTATTTTTAACCCATTCCTCTGGGGATTGTTACATAAATCAGCCTGGTACTGGTCTCTACTGGCCCCTCATCTTAGGTCGGGCCAGGGAAGTGGCAGGATTGTGTAGCACTGGCTGGAAATTTCTCCTTGGAAGCCGAGGGTGGCTGGAGGTTAAGGTGGTGTTTAGGAATGTGATTTTCCACGTGTTCTACTCAGGGATTTTGAAGTGGCTCATGTAGTCCAGGGGTCTTGATCAGGTCTTAAATTGTGAGGCCTTTTGTTTGCTTGCCTTGATGTATCCCCAAGGCCTCTCCCATTCAAGTCATAAGTGATGTCCTGTAAGTCAGTGATCACTGTGGATGTGTCTTACTTAAACCAGCACTCACTGCCTTTCCAGTGGCCCACACAGGACTGGTTTATTTTGCTGCTTTTTTTTTTTTGAGATGGAGTTTCGCTCTTGTTGCCCAGGGTGGAGTGCAATGGTGCGATCTCTGCTCACTGCAACCTCCGCCTCCCGGGTTCAAGTGATTCTCCTGCCTCAGGCTCCCGAGTAGCTGGGATTACAGGCATGTGCCACCACACCCAGCTAATTTTGTATTTTTAGTAGAGGCGGGTTTCTCCATGTTGGTCAGGCTGGCCTTGAACTCCTGACCTCAGGTGATCCGCCTGTCTCAGCCTCCCAAAGTGCTGGGATTACAGGCGTGAGCCACCGCGCCCAGCCTGTTTGCATCATTTTAAGGGACACGAATTATGTCTTTCTGGGGTTAATTAAGAGGAGCTGCCTTGTGGGACTATAAAAACGTAGACATAGAAGAAGCTTCTAAGCATCAGTTTAATCTCCTCATTGGAGAAGATGAGAAAACATGGACAGAGGGGTGACCTTGGCTTGCCCCAAATCACACAGCAAAGGGGTTGAAGAGCTGGGATCAGACATGTCCTGGGTCTCTTTCCCTTAAGGGTCGTGTAACTCAGAGACCTTTGTGCTTCAACTTCTAACCAAAAGGTGACCGAAAACAGGGGTCTGTTGTCTCATTTGATTTCTTGTTGGCCTCTAATAATTTCCACCCGATCTTACCACATTTGGCAATAGAAAGCATCATTTTAAAAAGACAGGTCAGCAGGTTTCCGTCTGTGAGCTACGCAAGTGCCCCACACCTCCACTGGAAGGACAGCAGCTGCGCCTTGCCTGTCTTGTGGGCTGGGGGATCTTTATTAAAAGGTGCCACTGCTAAACAAAGCCTGAAACCACTGTGCCCGGAACTTGCTCCTGTTTTAATGTGTAGTCCAGTGCTGACCCTAAGTGGGCTGGTCAGTGTTTGTTGAAGGAATGACCCAAGGCTGGTTTCATCAGGGCCATCTTCATCTCTCTGGGTTGTGAGACTTGGGGAAGGGTGGTGATTGTTGCTTACTGATGAAGCCTTCTCTCTGAGTAGATCTCATTTTATATTTCACAGTCAGACTTCCCTCAGCAAGTTCATCCTCATTGGCCAGGGGTCTGCCCCAACCTTCCCTGACAGATTTAACAGTTCTTCACTTTTGGTGTTTTTTGTTTTTCATTTTATTTTTTTGGTGAAGGAGGGGGTCCCTTGACCTTCAGAACCTCATACGATCCCTCCTTCCCCCTCCTCTTCCCTCTCCCCTTTTGCCCCCTTTCAATTTCCAGATGTGACAAGCTGGAGGGAGGGCGGTGGGCGACACATAATTTCTGCCACGTCTCTGAGCACCTCCCCAACTGAGCTGGGCAGCAGGAACTCGAGTACGGGAGATGGAGCCCCCTCCTCGGCATGTACCAGCGATTCTAAGGACCCCTCTCTCCGCCCGGCTCAGCCTGTCCGAAAAGGGGCTTCACAGTTCATGGGAAATGTATACCACCCACCTACATACCATGACATGCTTCCTGCTTTTGTAAGTCTTCAGAGTGTACTTTTTTTCCCCCCATGAAGTTGGATTGTGTCCAGCAGATAGGTCAAGTGGTTGAATGTCCCCCTTGGGGTCTCCTCTTGGCCCTGTTACCCTACTTCTGAGGCTTCCACTCGTTTTGCATTTTCTCTCCCTGCTTTTTAAATCTTCAGGGCCTCTGACTTCTTTCCCTGGTGATGTGGATATGATTTTAGCCTTTGGTTCTTTAGAAACAGGAGAGGCAGGTTTTCCCTGACATAGGTCCCCAAGTCTACTTACTGGCAGCAGGAATGAAATGGGGGAGATGGTGGTAGGATTAATTAGGAAACCCCATGACTTTCCTGTTTCTTTTTCCCATTTTCCACTTTATAAAACACATTCTGATTTAAGTGGAAATTGCAGTTTCAGCCATTACCAGCAAATCCTGTTCATTGATGTTATGTTTCAGATGTGTTCGCCGAAGTCATCAGAAAACCAGGGTACAGTGGAACGAGGCTCTTTTCCCCTTCCTCAGCTCCGCCTTGAACCTCGAGTTCCTTTTAGACAGTTCCAGATGAATGACCAAGACGGGTGAGTCCATTGCATTACAGTCACGTGTGTAGAGATGAGTGCGGTGGTGATTCTGGTCAAGATGAGGGGCTGATGAATAGAAGTGCTGTGTCTCCTGGAGACCACAGAGAACTTAACCAGCTCAGCGTGGCAGGGTGTGTGGGGTGGTGGCTGGGATTTGGAGCTGGATGACAGATTGAGTCATGATTTCAAGTGCCTGGTAGAGTTGAAGTTCTGGCACGTGTGTGTTGCTGCTGCCCTAGGCCTTAGCAACCAGCATGTAAAACTGCAGGACAAGGCAGAACTTCTTTCTGGGATGTACTCGTTTGCTCATTATATATTTCTTTTAAAGGAACTGATAGAAATAATTAAATCAAACATGAACCTTTGCAGTGTGGAATTTATTTTTGGAAAGGTATTTGATTTTGCTTCCGTCTGTATACTGGACATGATTCCATCATCTTTTCTTTTATCAGAAAAGAAAACAGGCTGGGATTGTCTCGCCCACTCCGCCCACTAAGGCAGCTGGTGGAGCGGGCACCACGGCCCACCATTATCAATGCGGAAAACCTGAAGGGCCTTGACGATCTGGACGCCGATGCCGATGATGGCTGGGCAGGTGGGCAGAGAAGCACGGGTGGTTTAGACGGGCAGGACCAAAGTCCATATGTACTTACCAGGGATGGAAACCCCCTGGCACCACCGTGTGTTTTCCCTTGGCAAGATAGGGATGAAGAGCCGGACAGGGAAGCAGACCTGATGCCCTCCTTCCTCATTTACTCCCTGACTAGAGGTTCCTTCCTGGCCAAGCCATTAGCTTCTTTTGGTCTTTAGTCTTGATCTTAGAGTTTTGTTGTTAACTTTTTAAAAATTATTGATGATGCAAAATTTAAACAAAAAAGAAAATAGCTCCCAACCACTGATCACTCAGGTTCAATAAGTACCAATGTTCTGCCATTCGGTTTTTGTTTGTTTTAATTTAATTTTTTTCCAAGAGACAGGGTCTCAGCTACTCTGGGCATACTGCCTGTGGGTTAGCCCTACTCTGCAAGGAGCAGTAAAAAATATAAAGATAAAAAGGAAGGCTGGGCACGGTGGCTAATGCCTATAATTCCTTTGGAAGGCTGAGGTGGGCAGATCACAAGATCAGGAGATCGAGACCATCCTGGCTAACATGGTGAAACCCTGTCTCTACTAAAAATACAAAAATTAGCCAGGTGTGGTGGCGCGTGCCTGTAGTCCCAGCTACTCAGGAGGCTGAGGCAGGAGAATCACTTGAACCTGGGAAGCAGAGGTTGCAGTGAGCCAAGATCGCACCACTGCACTCCAGCTTGGGCGACAGAGGGAGACACTGTCTCAAAAAAAAAAAAAAAAAAAAAAAAAAAGGAAAGAGAAAGAGTCTGGCTGTGTTTCCCATTCTGGAGTGGAGTGGCTGTTTGCAGGGTCCATCATGGTGAGCTGCAGCCTCAAACTCTTCCTCCTTCCTCAGCCTCCGGAGTAGCTGGAACTACACGCGGGTGCCACAAACCCAGCTTGTTCTGCCATTCTTATTCGTTTATCTCCCCCCACTCCCCATCCCCCAACCTGATTATTTTCTTTTATAGTTCTTTTTATTTTCAAGTAGATTTAAATTATAGTGAAAGGTACCCATATCACATTTTACCTGTACAGTTTTACAAATGGATACGTGTATATCACACACATCCATATCCAGAGAAAGAGGGAACATTTCCCTCACCACCGCAGGCTTCCTCATTGCTTCTCCAGTGCTCTGCCCTGCCACCGCTCAAGGGCCTGCTGCTCTTCTGATTCACTTTACCCTAGATTAGTTTTGCCTAGTTAACAGACTTCAGATGAGTGGAGTCATACAGTTTTTACTCTTGTATGGTTTTCATATTCATCAATGTTGTTTATATGCCAGTTGCTTTTAGTTGCTGAGATATGTTCCAGTGCATCAATATACTGTAATTTGTTTATTCATTCAAAAGCCCCACTATATACATCATACTTCTATTTCTCTTGGGTAAGTATCTAGAATTGTTGGGTCAAAGGGTAGACATAGGATTAAGTGTTTAAGACCTGTCCAAACCTTTTCCCCTGGTGGTTGTGCCATTTTACATTCCCAGCAGCAGTGTGTGAGAATTTGGTAGGTCTGGATCTTACATTTTGGTGTTCATCTTTTTTTTTTTAAAGAGACAGGGTCTCACTTTGTTTCCTAGGTTGGAGTGCAGTGGTGTGATCAAAGCTCACTGCAGCCTTGAACATGTTTGTGTTTTTAATTTTAGTCATTCTAGTGGGTGTTTAGTGGTATCTCATTGTGCTTTTAATTTGCATTTTGCTGATGACTAATGATGATAAACACACTTTTATGTGCTATTTGACAGCTGATATATTGTCCTTTGTTTGGTATCTGAATTTTAAAAAATTGAGTGGTAGGGTACCAGCCCAGGATACAAATCCTTTGCAACTTTTATTTTGCAAATATATTTCCTTATTGCATTCTTTGTCTTAATTTTTTTTAAACACTGTTTTGGTGAGCAGAAGTTTGAATTTTGAAGTTTAATTTACAAATTTGGGTTTTTTTGTGGTTATTATTTTTGTGTCCTGTTTAAAAAAATGTTTGCTTCCCCTTGGTGGTAAAGATGTTCCTAGATGTTTTATAGTTTTAACTATTAATTTTAGGTCTTTGATCCACATTGGATTAATTTTTGTATATGGCATAAGATAGGAGTCAAGGTTTGTTTTTTCCCATACGGCCAATTCTCCACAACATTTGTTGATAAGACTTCACTTTCCCTATCGAATTGCTTTGGAACCTTTGCCAAAAGTCAATTGACTATAAAAGCATTGGTCTATTTCTGGACACTGTTCCATTGATCTAGTTGTTCCTCATACCAGTACCACACTGTGGGTTTATAGTAAATCTTAAATTTCAGTAGTGTAAGTTTTCCAACTTTGTCGTTTTCCAAGATTGTTTCCACATAAATTTAGAATCAACCTGTCAGTATTTACAAAGGGCCTGCGGGCATTTTGGTTAGGATTATGTTGAATCTGTATCAACATCGATAAGTGACATCTTAAATTTTTTTTTTTTTTTCCCGAGACAGAGTCTTGCTCTATTGCCCAGGCTGGAGTTCAGTGGCATGATCTCGACTCATTGCAACCTCCGCCTCCCGGGTTCAAGTGATTATCTTGCCTCAGCCTCCCGAGTAGCTGGAATTATAGGCGCGCACCACATGCCCAACTAATTTTTGTATTTTTAGTAGAGACAGGGTTTCACCATGTTGGCCAGGCTGGTCTCGAACTCCTGACCTTGTGATCTGCCCACCTCAGCATCCCAAAGTGCTGGGATTACAGGCGTGAGCCACTGCACCCCACCTGACATCTTAACTTTGAAACTTGGTGGTGTTTTTTTTTTTGGATATGGGGTCTCACTCTGCCACACAGGCTGGAGTGCAGTGGCATGATCTCAGCTCATTGCAACCTCTGCTTCCTGGGTTCAAGTGATTCTCATGTCTCAGCCTTCCAAGTAGCTGGGATTACAGGTGTGGGCCACTATGCCCTACTAATTGTTGTATTTTTAGTAGAGACGAAGTTTCACCATGTTGGCCAGGCTGATCTCGAACTCCTGACCTCAGGTGATAGGTCCGCCTTGGCCTCCCAAAGTGCTGGGATTACAGGTATGAGCCACCATGTCCAGTCCTTAATTTTGAATCTTTAGGTCCAGGAACCTGGTGTATCTCTTTATTAGGGCTTTCATTTCTCTCAGCAGTGTCTTACTTACAGTTTTCATGTAGAGGTCCTGAATGTCTTTTGTTAAATTTATTCTCAGGCATTTTACGGTTTTTTGATGCTATTAGAAATGACATTGATTTTTAAGAACAATTTCATTTTTTAAGGGTTTGCTGTCATTATATAGAAAATACAGCTGAGGCCGGGCGCAGTGGCTCACGCCTGTAATCCCACCACTTTGGGAGGCTGAGGTGGGTGGATCACAAGATCAGGAGATTGAGACCATCCTGGCTAACATGGTGAAACCCCGTCTCTGCTAAAAATACAAAAAATTAGCCGGGCGTGTTGGCACGCGCCTGTAGTCCCAGCTACTTGGGAGGCGGAGGCAGGAGAATTGCTTGAACTCGGGAGGCGGAGGTTGCAATGAGCCAGGATCGTGCCACTGCACTCCAGCCTGGGTGACAGAGCGAGACTCCATCTCAAAAAAAAAAGAAAATACAGTTGATTTTTTTGTGTTCACTGGTACCAGACACTTTGTTGAATATACATTAGTTTTACTAGTTTTTGTTGATTTCTTAGAGTTTTCTACATAAACCCTTATGTAGTTTGTAAATAAGGAGTTTTACATTGTCTTTTTCAGATTACGTGCCTTTTATTTATTTATTTGTATTTTGCCTTATTGCACTGTGGTATACTTCTAGTATAATATTAACCTCAAGTTCTTTCTGGTCTGAGGAAGAAAATGTTTCATGTGTCAGCATGAAGTGTCAGCTGTGGGTTTTTCAGAGATGCTGTTTATCAGGTTGAGGATGTGTTGCCTTCTGTGTCTAGTTTGCTGAGCCTTTGGGTTTTTTGTTTTTGTAAATTATGGGTATTGCATTGTGTTCAATGATTTCCTACATCTGTGTTCATATTATTTTTCTCCTTTATTTTGATAATAGATTGCATTTTTTTTTAATGCTAAACCAACCTTGCATTCTTAGAATAAACCCTCCCTCTTTGTATGCCTAGACTCAATTTGTTAATATGTTTTAAAGTTCTGTCATGAGGGATATTAGTTTGTAATTTTCTGTTCTTTTAATGTCTTTGTCAGGTTTTGGTATCAAGTTATGCTGGGCTTATAAAATGAGTTGTGGAGTGTTCTTCTCTACTTTCCTAAAGAATAAGATTGGTATTTTTGTAAGATCAGTATAAGATTGGTATTTTTGTAAGATCAGTATTATATATTTTTCTTTTTCTTTCTTTTTTGAGACAGGGTCTCTCTCACTTTGTCACCCAGGCTGAGTGCACTGCTGCAATAATGGCTCAACGCAGCCTCAAACTCCTGGGCTCAAGTGATCCTCCTGCCTCACCTTCTGAGTGGCTGGGGTTACAGGTTTGGGCCACTGTGCCTGGCCAGTATTACTTTACCAGTGAAACAATTTTGCCCCTTCAGTTTTCATTGTGGAAATGTTTTCAGTAATTTATTTTATTTGATTAGTTATGAGACTGTGCAGTTTCCCTATGTCATTTCGTGTGAGTTTTTCGGTAAGTTGTGTTTTTTGAGGAATTTGTTCATTTCTTTTGAGTTGTTGAAATTATTAACATAAAGTTGTTGAAAATATATTACATTATCCTTTTGATGTCTGTAGGATCTGTAGTGATATCTTTTAATTCCTGATAATTTGTATATTTCTTTTTCTTCATTTCTGCCAAGGAATTGAATTGTTTTATTAATCTTTACGAAGCAGCAGCTTTTAGCATTGTTCATTTTCTCCATTGTTTGACTTGTTTTCTGTATCTATTTTAAATGATTTTTTAAATCATTGAGGCAATTTTTTATTACGGGGACATTTCTAGATTGCTAATTTAGTTGTCTTACAGCCAGAGAGCACATTCTGTATGATTTCAGTTGTTTTCAAGTTAGTAAGACTTGTTTTATGACTAGGATATGATCTGTCTTGGAGAATATTTCAGGTGCCCTTTGAAAAGTATATATTCTACAGTTGTTGTTCAGTGTCATGTTTTGTATGTTCCAACTTAGTCAAGGTGGTTGATGGTGGCATTCAGATCTTACTGTATATTTACTGATGTTTTTGTCTGCTTCTATGAGTTAAGGAAAGTGAGATGTTAAACTCCAATTATGGATTTATCTGTTCCTCCCTTTAATACTGTTGGTTTCTGCTTCATTTATTTTGAAGCTGCTATTAGGCATACACACATTTATAGTTTCTATGCCTTTCTGGTGTGTTTCCACATTTCCCTCGTTATCTCTAGTAGTCTATTATCTTGCAGTCTGTTTTGTCCTGTGTTCATACCATTGCTCTGACTTACTGTTTTCAGCGAAAATCTTTTTCCATTCTTTTCCTTTAAGCTCCTTTATGTTTGTATTTAAAGTGATTATTTAGTAGACAGCACGTAATTGCAACTTGCTTTTTCAGTTCCTAACTCTGCTTTTTAATTAGATTGAGTTTTTGTTGTTACCTTTTAAATTTTTTTAATTTTAATTTAATTTATTTTTTCTAGAGTTGGGATCTTGCTCTGTTGCCCATGCTGGTCTTAAACTCCTGGGCTCAAGCAGTCCTCCCACCTTAGTCTCCTGTGTAGCCAGGACTGCAGGCATACATCATGGTGCTTAGTTAGCCTTGTGTTTGAGGCAAGATCTTGCTCTGTTGCCCAAGCTGGAGTGCAGTGGCACAGTCACAGCTCACTGCAACGTCAACTTCCTGGGCTTAGGTGATTCTCTCACCTCAGCCTCCGGAGTAGCTGGGACTACAGGTGTGCACCCCCATGGCTGGCTACTTTTCTGTATTTTTAGTAGAGATATGGTTTCGCCATGTTGCCCAGGCTGGTTCAAATTCTGGGCCTCAAGTGATCCTCCTGCCTTGACCTCCCAAAGCGCTGGGATTACAGGCGTGAGCCACTGTGAATTATATGATTATATGATTCACATAATTTTAATATAATTATATGATTGACATAATTGTCATATAACATAAAATTTACCCTTTTAAAGTCTATAGTTTAGTGGTTTTTAGTATATATTCACAAGGTTGTACAACTACCACCACTATTCAATTTCAGAATGTTTCCATCACTCAAAAAAGAAACCCAATACCTGTTGGCAGGCGCTCTCTCCCACCTCCTAATCCTGTGGCAACAATAAATCTACTTTCCATCTCTATAGATTTGCATATTCTGGACATTTCCTATCAATGGAATCAATATGTGGCCTTTCTTGTCTGGCTTCTTTCACTTAGTATAATGTTTTCACAGTTAATTATGTTATAGCATGTGTTTGTATTCATTCTTTTTCATGACCAAATAATATTCCATTGTGTGGACCTACCACACTGTGTTCACACAGTCCTCTGTGATGGATACTTTCTGCCATCTGAGCCACTTGGGCTGATCAGTGCCTGGGGCAAGTGGTAACTCACAAATCTCACAAGTCAAGCTTCTGTATTCTAAGGGTAGACAACTACTTGGTTTCTGCCTGCTTTGTTCATCCTCTTGGGCCTTGAAATAGATTTTAAAGATATAATGTTCAGATTTAAGAATTGTTACCTGTGGGAGGGTTAGTCTAACCAAGCTGCCCTGCTCTTACCAGAAGCCAAAACTGCCCTTCAGTCACAGGGGTAGGCAGCCAGGTGGTTGACTCAGCTCCTCTGCTGGGATAGCGAGATTTCTGGCCAAAAGAACCTCTCCGATGGTGCCTGGGTACCACTGACCTTTTCTTTTTCTTTTTTTTTTTTTCGAGATGGAGTCTCGCTCTGTCGCCCAGGCTGGAGTGCAGTGGCATGATCTCGGCTCACTGCAACCTCTGCCTCCTGCGTTCAAGCGATTCTCCTGCCTCAGCCTCCTGAGTAGCTAGTATTACAGGCACACGCCACCATGCCCGACTAATTTTTGTATTTTTAGTAGAGACGGGGTTTCACCATGTTGGTCAGGCTGGTCTCAAACTCCTGACCTCATGATCCGCCCACCTCAGCCTCGCAAAGTACTGGGATTACAGGCATGAGCCACCATGTTGGTCAGTCTGGTCTCAAACTCCTGTCCTCATGATCCGCCCACCTCAGCCTCGCAAAGTACTGGGATTACAGGCATGAGCCACCACGTCCGGCCACCACTGACTTTTTCATTCTTTCTCATTCTTCCTGGGCCCTCCTGCTGTTGTAGGCCTCCATGAAGAAGTGGACTATTCTGAGAAACTGAAGTTCAGTGATGATGAAGAGGAGGAAGAAGTTGTGAAGGACGGCAGGCCAAAGTGGTAAGGACCCGTTCCTGCCCTATCAGCATGAGTGCATCCCTGCTTAGTGTTGTTGTGTACCCAGAGCATTTCCCAGTTTCCATAGCAACCTGGAATGGCAGACAGATGCTGTTTCCACTTTGTTTTGAGGGTGACAGCTATTGATGATGGCTGTGAAGGAGGGGAGCCAGGGTTTGCCTGCAGGTGTGACTGTGTCCTGTGCATAGTCGGCCTCTTCACCACTGCATCAGTGTGTCCCCAGGTGTGTTATGCAGACCACGTCTTCATGGATTGCTTGTGGCTGTCGTGCCCAAAAAGGCTGCTGTGGCCAAGCAAGTTTGGGAAACCTCCCTGGGTTCAACTTCTTTTTTTTTTTTTTTTTTTTTTTTGAGACAGGCTCTCACTCTGTCACCCAGGCTGGAGTGCGGTGGCATGATGTCAGCTCACTAAAACCTCCATCTCCTGGGCTCAGCGATTCTCCCACCCCAGCTTCCCAAATAGCTAGGACCACAGATGCACGCCAGCATACCCAGCTAATTTTTATCTTTCTGCTGGAGATGGGGTTTGCCACGTTACCCAGGTTTGGTCTCAAACTCCTGGGCTCAAGTGATCCACTGTGCCTGGCCTCAACTTCTTTCTTTACTCCAGATTCCTCGGAGCCTTGAACATGCTAAAGTACACTGGGGGCCGGGCACGGCGGCTCGTGCTGTTAATTCCAGCACTTTGGGAGGCCGAGGCAGGTGGATCTCTTGAGGTCAGGAGTTTGAGACCAGCCTGCCCAAGATGGTGAAACCCCGTCTCTACTAAAAGTACAAAAATTAACCAGGTGTGGTGGCGTGTGCTTGTAATCCCAGCTACTTGGGTGGCTGAGGCAGGAGAATTGCTTGAACCCAGGAGGCAGAGGTTGCAGTGAGCCAAGATTGTGCCACTGTACTTCAGCCTGGGCGACAGAGCAAAACTCTGTCTCAAAGGAAAAAGAAAAAAAAAATTAAGTGCACTGGGGAGGTGAAGAAGCAGAATGCATGCCAGCTTTCCTGAATTTATTTGACCATGTTAATTTTGTCTCTTTTTTTTTTTTTTTTTTTGGATCATTTCCTTGGACTAGTTTAGTTTTGTTTAATTTCCTTTAGAAAATACTGCATTGTACTCTCATCCCTCTAGTTTTTATAATGTTAGTAGCACTTTTAAAATAATACCCCACAATGGCCAGGCACGGTGGCTCACGCCTGTAATCCTAGCACTTTGGGAGGCCAAGGCGGGCGGATCACGAGGTCAGGAGATCGAGACCATCCTGGCTAACACAGTGAAACCCCGTCTCTACTAAAAATACAAAAAACTAGCTGGGCATGGTGGTAGGTGCCTGTAGTCCCAGCTACTCGGGAGGCTGAGGCAGGAGAATGGCATGAACCCGGGAGGCGGAGCTTGCAGTGAGCCGAGATCACGCCACATGCCACTGCACTCCAGCCCGGGCAACAGAGCGAGACTCCACCTCAAAAAAAAAAAATACCCCACAATTAGTTGGGCGTGGTGTGCACCTGTAGTCCTAGCTACTCAGGAGGCTGAGGTGGGAGGACTACTGGAATCCAGAAGGTCGAGGCTGCAGTGAGCCATGATTGCACCACTGCACTCCAGCCTGAGTGACAGAGTAAGGCCCTGTCTCAAAAAATTAATAATAACAATCATACCTATGGTTGTCATAATTTGTATTTTTTGAGTACTAGCAAGTAAGACTTTTTCCTTTGCTTCCTTTGTATAATGCCTGTTTCCTTCACATTTATCACTGCTTTCCGTTAAAATGTAATGTTTTATATTGTTTAGATGTTAATGCTTTGCTGTTGGTCTTGCAAATATTTTTCTCTGTTTTCTTGTCAATAACTGAATATTTGTTTAGTCAAATCTGTGAGTCATCTTTTTCTTTGTTATTTCATCCTTTACTTAAAAGCTTCCTAAAGTAAGTGCCCATCTTCTGGAAAGAGTTGGTAATAATCTTTGCTACTCTTTTTCTGATGACACACAAAAAATGAAATTCTGTAATTTCCTTTCATGCTGTTTGATTTCAGCTGAAGCTTTGGATGCAGTCGGGACATACCTATGGGTCAGTTCCTGGAACACTAAGCTCAGAAGGAGCTGTGATCAAGAATTAAAATCAAAGGCAAAGACATAAACTCTTAGAGACTGATTGGAGCAGTAGGACACTCTGTGTTCCTTGTCTCTTTGAGGCGATGGGAACTGCATATTCCCCTGAAGGAACTGGACATTGGTTTTGGAGACAGTTTTGCCCCTGACTTTGACCAAGGGCACTTCAAAATCAGAGTGCCCGAACGATCTCCTCCTGAAACCTGCTCTTTTTCTTCATGTTCTCTGAGCTGGTTGGTGACCTGGTAGAGACTTAGTGCATGCATCCATGTCTTATTTGGCATCTTTATTTCCTCATACACAATTGGCTCCCAAAACTTGCCCTGACTCTGTCTCCTCTTTTCATTTTCTCTGGGGCCACTGGGACCTCCTCCTTTTCCAGACCATCCATGGGTCCACCAGTTCATCTCCATCCTTTCAGCCTGTCCTCCATGGCCCGTCCTTGACACCCTGCCCATAGTCATCTTCTAAAAACACAGGTCTTTTAGACAGGTCAGCAGCTTTACTGTGGTCTCCATTTCTGACAAAGTCAGATAGGAATCACCGTTGTCCCCTCTGTAATTGTTGTCCCCTCTGTAATTTTCCCCTCTGTAATCTCCTAAGCTATGTTACCTGCCTCGTCTTCCCTCCCTCGCCACGTACGTGTGTGGGTAGACACACAGGCCCACACATCTGCCATCCCTGATTCCCGCTTTTCTCTGATCTGCAGTATTACCGGGCCCTTGCAAATGCTTTGCCCCAGCACCATTGCTTCCATTGTGAGGCGTCCAGACGAGCATGGCACCCATCCCCTTCTTGTCCAGCCACCCCTGCAGCTCTGTTTGGAACACCTCCTCCTTTTCCATGCTGTGTCGGCTCTGCTTGTCTCCTCTTGCTCTTTTTATTGTGGCACTGTTTAGTAGTCATCTTTTGTTCTTTTGAGGGGCATTTATTGAGCAACTGGCTTGTGCAGAGCATAGGGAGGGAGATGTACCAAAAGGAGACGGACACGCACCTGGGAGTCCTGGTTCAAATCTGTGAGCTCCTCCCTGTGAGGGGTGCCCCGTTAACCTTGATGAGACTCAGCTACTGACTTTTTAAATCAAGAGTGTCCAATCTTTTGGCTTCCCTGGGCCACACTGGAAGAGTTGTCTTGAGCCACACATAAAATACACTAACACTAACGATAGCTGATAAGCTAAAATGAAAAAGTTACGAAAAAATACCTCATAATGTGTTTTTATTTTTTTTTTTTTCTGAGACGGAGTCTCTCTCTGTTTGTTGCCCAGGCTGGAGTGTAGTGCCGCGATTTTGGCTCACTGCAACCTTCACCTCTGGGGTTCAAGCACTTCTCCCACCTCAGCCTCTAGTAGCTGAGATTACAGGTGCCTGCTACCACACCTGGCTAATTTTTGTATTTTTAGTAGAGACTTGGTTTCACCATGTTGGCCTGGCTGATCTGGAACTCCTGACCTCAAATGATCAGCCCGCCTCAGCCTCCCAAAGTGCTAGGATTACAGGCGTGAGCCACTACGCCCAGGCCCTCTTATAATGTTTTAAGAAAGTTTACGAATTTGTGTTGCGCTGCATCCAGAGCCCAGGGCCATCCTGGGCCACATGTGGTTGGACAAGCTTGCTTTAAAGTGAGGATCATGAGGACTTTTTTTTGCATCGGTGAAATAGTGTGACATATCGTGCCTGGGGCTCTGTTTAATGAGAGTGACTTGATAAATGGTGGGGCTGAACCGTGGAATTCACATGGAAGTAGTGGGAGTGGTGGTCCATTCTAATGAAGAAAATGATTTGGACAGCTGACTTGGGAATTCTCAAGGCCTCTGACCAGTGAGATCAGAAATGCTTGGCCTGAGTGCAAAAACTTAACATCAAATGTGGTTTGTCCTAGGAACAGTTGGGACCCTAGGAGGCAGCGGCAGTTGTCAATGAGCTCTGCAGACAGTGCGGACGCTAAGCGGACTCGAGAGGAAGGGAAGGACTGGGCTGAAGCAGTGGGTGCGTCCCGTGTGGTCCGAAAGGCGCCAGACCCTCAGCCACCGCCCAGGAAGCTTCATGGCTGGGCACCAGGCCCTGACTACCAGGTACCAAGGGCCCTTGGCTGTCCTGTGTATTTGTACTTCATTGAGTTGGGTGGCTGGGTTTCTGAGAAGTCCTAAGTGGGCATTTCTTTTTCATTTTTATATTTCTTCTTTTGTTAAAATGTTTTTTCATAGAGACAGGGTCTCACTATGTTGCCCAGGCTTGTCTCAAACTCCAGCTCAAGTGATGCCAAAGTGCTAGGATTACAGGTGTGAGCCACCATGCCCGGCTGTTCTTACTTTTTTTAAGATAAGGTCTTGCTCTATCCTTCACCTCCCACCCTCAAGCGATCCTCCCACCTCAGCCTCCTGAGTAGCTGGGACTACCTGTGTGCTGCCACACCTGGCTCATTTCATTCATTTTTTGTAGAGACGAGGTCTTACTATGTTGCCCAGGCTAGTCTTGAGCTCGTGGGCTCAAGGGATCCTCCTACCTCAGCCTCCCAAAGTGCTGAGATTATAGGCATGAGGCACTGTATTTGTCTTCTTGTTATAGTTAAAAAAAATTAAAACAGCCAGGCATGGTGGCTCACACAGTTTGCAAGGCTGAGGCAGGGGGATTGCTTGAGACCAGGAGTTCAAGACCATCCTGGCCAACACAGTGAAACCCTATCTCCAAAAAAAAAAAAAAAAAAAAAAGCCAAAGAAATAATTAAAACAGCTTCAAAGTGATAGAAAAGTTGGAAGTACATTACAAACAATATTTTTTCTAAACTGATTGAACAGTAAGTTGACAACCTGATGAGACTCTTTACACTGTGGTACTTGTTTCCTACCAAGATGGGGACATTCCACCCAGGTAACTACAGTTACTTCCAGGAAATTAGCCTTGATAATTGATTGTCGTTTAATCTGCAGGCCCCATTCAGCTTTTACCAGTTGTCCCATTAATGTCCTTACTCGAAATAATCCAGTTCAGAATCACACACCTCTAGCCTTCTTTATCTGGATCAGTTCCTCAGCCTTTCCTTCACTTTCATGACTTTGAGGCTTTGGAAGATTACAAGCCAGTGGAATGCCCCTCAAATTGGGTTTATCATCATCTTTCTTGTGAAGAAGTCCACAGTTTCCATCCTTGGCAGGGATCTTCAGGCATGACCTGACTTTTCTCATTTCATCCCACCAAGGCAACCACGACTTCATCCTGTCCCCCTCTGGCTACGTGCACTTTGGTCTCTTGATTAATGGGGTGCCTGCCAGGTTTCATGCTGTAGAGTTACTCTTTTCCCTATTTGTAGTTGATAAGAATTTTGTTGGGAGAAACTTTGAGACTGAACATCTCGTTTTTGATCAAGCTTTTAGTTTACTCATTTATTTACATCAGTGGGTGTAATCTACTCTCACCTGGTTGGCCATTGGGTGTTCCTTCAGGCCAGTGCGTGTCCTTTTTCCCTGTTCTCCATCCTTTTTGGAGCCCTTCCTTCATCTTTCCCGGATGCATGACCTGTCTTGTCCTGGGTCCGCCCTTTCTCCATGAAGTCCTAGTTCCTCTTAGTGAAGGATGATATTTAGAAACCAGTGTCTGAGACCCAGCAGGCTCCTTGCTGCTGGGGTGTCACTGCTTCCGGGCCTCCTCAGCGGACAGTTGCGGGGAATGTATGTAGGTATATGTGTGTGCACAAATACACACTTTCATATTTGTATTATTTCTGTACCTGTCCATATTGGAAACTGTGTTCTCATTGATACCTCCAGTTCCACAGACTTTGTTCCACTTCCTCCCAGTGCATGTTTGCACCTCCTTTCTGTGACAGGGAGAATCTATCTCTCATCGTCCCTCGTATTTATACTCACTTGGTCAGTCTCCCCATGTATGACCAATCTCATTTCTGCTGCCACACTCTCTCCCTTGCACATATGCTCTCCTTGCCCACTCAGATGTCATTGTCCCCACTCCTGGATGCCCTGAATGTCCCTGCTGGGCCAACTCTGCCTATGAATGTCCCCCTCATCTAGCTTGGGCTTTGGCCCCACACCTCTACCTGCATGCCCTCCTCCCCTTGCCTGGGCTCTAACCATTTGGAGTGCAGTCAGCCGCCAGGACTCCCTGGCACCAGGCTCCTGGCTTGCATTGCCACACCTAGTGACTCTGGGACTGGACTGTTGAGGAGTGGGAGGGCTGGGGAAGGGGGAGTCATGACTTTGAATACACTTGGTAAAGCCTGCTATTTTCAGTGCTCTTTGCTATTTATTTATTATTGTTTTTGGAGATGGAGTCTCACTCTGTCGCCAGGCTGGAGTGCGGTGGCGTAATCTTGGCTCAGTGCAACCTCTGCCTCCCGGGTTCAAGCGATTCTCCTGCCTCAGCCTCCCGAGTAGCGGGATTACAGGCGTGCACCACCATGCCTGGCTAACTTTTGTATTTTTAGTAGAGACAGGGTTTTGCCATGTTGGCCAGGCTGATCTACCCTGATCTACCCACCTTGGCCTCCCAAAGTACTGGGATTTCAGGTGTGAGCCACTGCGCCCGGCCTGCTCTTTGCTATTGAAAGGGCTTCTATTCCACATTCTTATAAAATGAAAATGCCCCTCAGCTACAGTCTTCTTATTGAATATTTATTGTATGCCAGGCACATACATATGTGCTGGGTACAAGAGATACAGAAGTGAAACAAAATAGACACAATGCCACTGCTCTTGGAAATTATTCTGCAGTTAATCCACATTTTCATTCACATGTTGAGGTTGCTCCGTATTCCTTTTTTTTTCCTTTTCACCAGTCAAGAAGTAGTGCTGATCAGTATTCAAAAGGTTTCACTTTAACCTACTCATAACAGCACTGTAAATTAGCTGAACATCAACAGTGATGAAATCTATATACTAAATTTATGTATCCAAGGCATCTTCTGACCAAATTTCTTTCATTCTTTCTTTTTTGAGACAGAGCCTCACTTTGTCATTCATGCTGGAGTGCAGTGGTGTGCTCTCGGCTCACTGCAACTTCTGCCTTCCAGGTTCAAGCAGTCCTTCTGCCTCAGCCTCCCAAGTAGCTGGGATTATAGGCATGTGCCACCACACCCAGCTCATTTTTGTATTTTTAGTAGAAATGGGGTTTCACCATGTTGCTTTGGCTGGTCTTGAACTCCTGACCTCAGGTGATCCACCTACCTCGGCCTCCCAAAGTGCTAGGATTACAAGCATGAGCCAATGCACCTGGCCTCTTCTGACTGAATTTTTAAGAAAATTTTTAAGAATTCTCAATTTGGCCAGCCGCAGTGGCTCACACCTGTAATCCCAGCACTTTGGGAGGCCGAGGCGGGTGGATCACGAGGTCAGAAGTTCTAGACCAGCCTGACCAACATGGTGAAACCCCATCTCTACTAAAAATACAAAAATTAGCCAGGCGTGGTGCCGCACGCCGGTATTCCCAGCTACTCAGGAGGCTGAGGCAGGAGAATTGCTTGAATCTGGGAAGCAGAGGTTGCAGTGAGCCGAGATCATGCCACTGCACTCCAGCCTGGGTGACAGAGTGAGACTCCGTCTAAAAAAAAAAAAAAAAAAAAGGTCTCAGTGCAAATTACTTTGCAGAACATTTAGTCTATAAAATGATTGCTAATTTCAGGGCCTTTTAGGAAAGCACATCAAAGGTCTTGACGGTGTACATGTGCCCTCTGAGTCTATTATTTCCTTTCCAGGAAATTATCTGAAGGAAGTAATCAGGGCTAGGCGTGAAGGCTATGTGCAGTGGTGTATTGAATCCCATGGGATAAAGGCAGATAGGCAGATTTTGGTATGAGCCATGAACTGATCAATACACAGCCGTTAGAAAGGTATGGATAGACCCTCAGGTTCGATGGCAAAGTGAAAGGAAACTGCACGCTTCGGTTCCAATGATATTATATAAAATGTACCTTCATGCCTCTAAATTGGAAGTTTATAATCTTATGATTACAGTACTTACCTCTGGCTTATGAGAAGTTAATTTTTAGGAAACTCCTTGACTACAGTAAATTTGTTGTATATTTCTTTTACTGAAGTATAACTCACCTACAAGAAAAGGCCTAGATCCTGTTTCCTTGATTTGATTTTTGACAGCTGTATACATTTGTGTTACTAGCATTCAAAATAGGAAGTTCTGTCTTTTTCTGGTACTCAGATCTCATTAGAATTTCAGTGGCCAGAGCTCAGGTGACAGCTGTCCATCATTTGTCCTGTTGCCAGGTCTGCATGCTGCTTGACCCCTGCAGACCAGTAAGAAAGGGTCCCAGTAACTGGCAACCAGCAAGAAACTCAGAAACGGATAAAGAATCCAAAAGAGATTTTTTTTAGGCATGCTTTTTTTTTTTTTTTTTTCTTAATGGGATCTAGCCTTGTCCCCTGGCTGGAGTGCAGTGATGTGATCTCAGCTCACTGCAGCCTCCTGGGCTCAAGTGATCCTTGCCACCTCAGCTCAGTAGCTGGGACCCATAAGCATGTGCCCATCCCCAACTAATTTTCGTATTTTTTTGGGGGGCTGGGGGGTAAATACGGGGTCTCACCATATTGCCCAGGCTGGTCTCGAGCTCCTAGGCTCATGCAGTCCCCCACGTTGGCCCCCACAAAGTGTAGGAATTACAGGCATGAGCTACCGTGCCTTTGCTAGACATGCTTTTTTTTTTTTTTCCCCCAGATGGAGTCTCGCTCTGTTGCCCAGGCTGGAGTGCAGTGGCGCGATCTCGGCTCACTGCAACTTCTACCTCCCAGGTTCAAGCGATTCTCCTGCCTCAGTTTCCCAAGTAGCTGGGACTACAGGTGCACTCCGCCATGCCCAGCTAATTTTTGTATTTTTAGTAGAGACGGTGTTTCACCATGTTGGCCAGGCTGGTCTCGAACTCCTGACCTCAGGTGATCCACCCGCCTCAGACTCCCAAAGTGCTGGGATTACAGGCGTGAGCCACTGCGCCCAGCCAACATGCTTAATAAAGATCACTTCGAAGCTTTATGTCTGACAGTGAATTTCATTTTCCTAGGGCTCTTTCTACCCAGGGGTTTATGTATTGTTGTGCGGGCAGGAGTAGCAGTTTTCGTGACCCAGGAATGATCAGTGTGTGGCTTCCTGTTCCGGTTCTTAGCCTTGGAGGCCCTTAGCTTGCATGCCCATCAGCAGTGGTGGGAGTGTTTGTCGTGTGCGGGTCGCATGTTGCTTTGCAAACATGGTTTTCACCTTCACAATCCTAAGAGCTTCCTTTGTTGTCCCCATTTTAAAAACAAGGAAGTGAGATATGGAGAGTTGGCACTTGGCCTAAACCACATTTCACATACAGCAGAGGCCAGAGCAGGATTCGAACCCAGCTCTGTCTGCCACACGCCTGTGCTGCCTCTTGAAGGTGCTTGAGGATCTTGGGAGGAGAACTGATCCCAAAGTGGGAGTGGTTCCTGTATCCCGGGTCCCGGACCCACCGCCTTATCTCAGAGACATTCTCTTGGCAGAAGTCATCAATGGGCAGCATGTTCCGGCAACAGTCCATCGAGGACAAGGAGGACAAGCCCCCACCAAGGCAGAAGTTCATTCAGTCAGAGATGTCCGAGGCGGTGGAGCGAGCCCGAAAGCGCCGGGAAGAAGAGGAGCGCCGAGCCCGGGAGGAGAGGCTGGCCGCCTGTGCTGCCAAACTCAAGCAGCTGGACCAGAAGTGTAAGCAGGCACGAAAGGCAGGTGAGGCCCGGAAGCAGGCAGAGAAGGAAGTGCCCTGGTCTCCAAGTGCTGAGAAGGCATCTCCCCAGGAAAACGGCCCTGCTGTCCACAAAGGTAAGAGCTGGGCCGTCTTCCCACCAACTGGAAACCCTGGCCTGTTGTCCTCGTCTTGTTACTTGCAACTGCCTTCCTTCTTAGCTAGCAGAACGTATGGCTTACAACGAGATCGTATTGGGAAGCATCAGTTATTAAGAGCATAGGCCTGGGTCAAATGCCTGGGTTCTGATCCTATTTGAACTTCTTTTTTATAATTTCAACTTTTACTTTAGTTTCAGGGGGTACATTGTGTGATGCTGAGATTTGGGGTATGAATGATCCTATCACCCAGGTACTGAGCATAGTACCCAACAGGTAGTTTTTCAGCCCTTTTTCCTTCTCCCATCTGAACTTGTTAAACTAGCTGGTGAGCACCTCACCTCTCTGAAGCCTGTTTCTTCATCTGTGAAATGGGATGAGTATGTACCTGCCAGCACGCGGAGGGGTGTACAGCACGCTCCAGTTTCTGGGACATTGAAACCATGCATCTACTCACTGATGATACTCATCATCGTCACTATTATCCTCGCTATCCCTGCCTAATCAAAGACACGTGTGCTCTAGGACTTTAATAAAACCACAGATCCTTTAACATGGAATAAAAATAAGCCCACTTGCTTGGTAGAATACATTTTTTCCTGGTGTTGATTCTAAAAGGAATGGATCACATGGCCCTATTTTTTTTTTGAAATGGAGTCTCTTTCTGTCACCCAGGTTGGAGTGGTGTGATCTCTGCTCACTGCAACCTCTGCCTGCCGGGTTCAAGCGATTTTCCCAGCTCAGCCTCCTGAGCTGCTGGGATTACAGGCGTGTGCCACGACGCCCAGCTAATTTTTGTATTTTTAGTAGAGACAGGGTTTCGCCATGTTGGCCAGGCTGGTTTGGAACTCCTGGCCTCAAGTGATCCACCTGGCTTGGCCTCCCAAAGTGCTGAGATTACAGGCGTGAGCCACTGTGCCTGGGCAACACGGCCCTATTTAAGAGTAATGAAGCAGTGCTCTATAATGCAGAGTGTCTCTTGTAGCAGTTTTGAAGAATATAATCAGCTGTTTTCTTTATAATTTTCTTAAATAAACTCAGATCAGCTCTTGTTAGGAGACAAGGGGATGTTTGAGGCTCTGAAAGCTTCTCGGGTTAGAGAGTCCTAGTGCCCTTCTGGCCAGGGAACTCATTTCTAGTTTTTCTTCTGCCCTCCTTTCATTAAAGGTTGAGTGAGGACTGTGCCACTCTTATAGGAAAGTTGCACTGAGCATTTTCTGCCTGTCAGGCACTGTTTTCAGTATATTATTGTAATTAATTCAATTCTTACAGAAACCCTTGGTGAACACATGGTAGTTATTCTTATTTGCAGATGAAGAAATGGCCAAGGAGAGCCTGAAAAATGTGCCTAGGTCACATAGCCTTTCTCTTGTTTTTGTTTTTTTCCTCTTTTAAAAAAATGTTTTTTCCTTTATATCCTTGCCAGCAGGAAGTCATACACAGCATTTCCATATGTTGAGTTCCTGCTGTTCAGATGTTGGATATGTGGGCTGTCACTGAGTTCATGGCTGTTCTCTATCAGTCCTTTTTTTTTTGCTGGGGGGAGATGGAGTCTTGCTCTGTCACCTAGGCTGGAGTGCAATGGTGTGATCTCACTGCAACCTCTGCCTCCTGGGTTCAAGCGATTCTCTCACCTCAACCTCCCATATAGCTGGGATTACAGGCGAGCGCCACCATGCCTGGCTAATTTTTGTACTTTCTTTTTTTCTTTTTTTTTTTGGAGACGGATTCTCACTCTGTCGCCCAGGCTGGAGTGCAGTGGCACGATCTCGGCTCACTGCAAGCTCCACCTCCTGGGTTCATGCCATTCTCCTGCCTCAGCCTCCCAAGTAGCTGGGACTACAGGTGCCCGCCACCACGCCTGGCTGATTTTTTGTATTTTTAGTAGAGACGGGGTTTCACTGTGTTAGCCAGGATGGTCTGTATCTCCTGACCTCGTGATCCATCCGCCTCGGCCTCCCAAAGTGCTGGGATTACAGGTGTGAGCCACCGCGCCTGTCATTTTTTGTACTTTCAATAGAAATGGGGTTTCACCATGTTGGCGAGGCTGGTCTTGAACTCCTGACCTCAAGTGATCCACCCGCCTCAGCCTCCCAAAGTGCTGGGATTACAGGTGTGAGCCACTGCACCCGGCCTTATTAGTCCTTTTTAATAAAACATCTTCCACCTGAAGTCACATCTCAGCTCTGCCACTGACCGTGTGACCCTGGACGTCATCTAACCTCTTGACCCTTAGTGTCCTAGTCTGTAAGGTGACAACAGGTGAAGCCTCCTCACATGTGTTGTGGGGAGTCCCTGAGCTTGTGTACGTGATGCGTTTGGCACAGGGCCAGGGTTCAGGGACGTGACTGTTCTAGCAGTGGAGCGTACGGGCCAACAGGAAGAAGTACTTGTTTGTAAACACTTGGTTGGCTGAGCTTCTGTGAGCTCACTGTGTCATTTCTCTGCTGGTATATTCTCTAGGCTCCCCAGAATTCCCTGCCCAAGAGACCCCCACCACATTCCCAGAAGAGGCACCCACAGTGTCCCCAGCAGTGGCACAGAGCAACAGCAGTGAGGAAGAGGCCAGAGAGGCTGGGTCCCCTGCACAGGAGTTCAAGTATCAGAAGTCCCTTCCTCCCCGATTCCAGCGCCAGCAGCAGCAACAACAGCAGGTAAACAGATGAGATGGTAAAAGACTGTGATAAACAGGCCTGAGTGCCGAGCAGATGTTTCCCCTCCTCGTCCCCATGCCCCACCTCCAACTTAGAAAAAGGCCAGAATATCCCTTATGTGCCCCCAAGACCAGTGGGGACGTCAGGAGTTGTACCTCAAAACTTGTGACCTTGGTAGATCAGCCCCTGGCCATTATTTATTTCTCTGAGTGGTGGAGGTCCCTGGGAATGAATACAGTCTTTGTGGTTTATTGAGCTTGTTTTCTAATATTGTTAAGGAACCTATTCAGTGCTGTTTGCAGTGAGCTCCATTTTTCTAGTGTGCAGGCTGGTTGTTTTATTTCAGAGCAGTGCACCTTGGACGTTCCTTAGAGGACAGTGTTTCCCACCCTGGGGTCCTCCCAAGGTGTAAGGGAGGCCTGTGAGCTGTTTGAAGAGCTGCCCAAGAGAGGCACGTCACCTTTGGGTTACAGATGTAGGTTTGCAGGTTTCAAGTTGGACAGCTCCCTTCCTGATGTTGCTGCTGAACTAGTTGTGCATGGCCTTGGAGGGGTCAGTTATGCCCCTCTCACCCATATTTCTTCATGTGTAAACCAGGAAGAATGAATACCTGCCTTTCAGCATGGCAGAGTGTTTCATGCCATATCGCCTATAAACTATTTTATTGGTGTCACCGTTATTGGCTTTTTATAAACTTTATTTTTATTTTTTTATAAATTTTAAAAGGGACCTACTTTTTGTCCTAAAGATCATGTGGATAATGGTTGTAATTCCACCCATCTCTCCTAGTCCTGATAGTCTTGAAGCACTCATCAGCAATCGTGCCTACTAGAGTAGTAATAAGTAAGGGAACACAGTAGTCAATACTAAGGAATAGTGCATTTTGGTGGGACACTGAGATGATACATAGACATTACTTAGTGCACACCAAACAGCAAGGTGTGCAGTAAATTATTACTAATATTAATTGAAAATATTTCAAAACGTGTGTGCCATGGAGAAACAAACCAAGGACTTAAGGCTTTTCCCAGTATCTCACTTAATTACCTTTAAACTTCTCACCTCAGCCTCTTCTCTCCTCTGGGCACCTGGGAGCCTTCCAGGGACCGCCTTTAATGTGATTTTAGAGCATGGGAGTGTAGGCGAGCACTGCACAGTTACTCATGTTCTTGGGGTATAGAATTACTGATGGGGGAGAGCTCTGGAATTACTTGCGCCAAACCTAGCAGCGACAATTGCTCTAGGTAACTCCTTGGGGTGCGGAGGAAGTGATGGGTAAGTCCTTCCTTAAGAATAGAAGGAATTGCCGGGCGTGGTGGCTCACGCCTGTAATCCCAGCACTTTGGGAGGCAGACAGATCACCTGAGGTCAGGAGTTTGAGACCAGCCTGACCAATATGGTGAAACCCCATCTCTACTAAAAATACAAAAATTAGCCAGGCGTGGTGCCGCACACCTGTAATCCGAGCTACTCAGGAGGCTGAGGTAGGAGAATCGCTTGCACCCAGGAGGTGGAGGTTGCAGTGAGCCGTGGTCGCACCACTGCCTTCCAGCCTGGGTGACAGAGCGAGACTCCATCTCAAAAAATAAAATAAAATAAAATAAATAATAGAAGGAAGTCTGAAAGCACCAGGGCAGCCTGTCTGGTCATATTCCCTGGAGACCTAGGGTGTAGACAGGAGGTGGAGCTGGGAGATGGAGGCCCACAGCCTTCTCTGTGGACTGGGAGAGTGAATGACTCAAGTCTCTTGATTGATGAGCTATATTTATTGAGTGCTCTTAATAGGCACTGGGAGTGCCAACAGAACTGTCCAGGGAATCAGCTCAGGATGTGCTGTAGACTGCCAGGCAGGTTGGCCGCCTTTTTGTTTGCGGAATGGAAGGGTGTGTGCTGGAGGCCGTTTGGGTGTCCTCAGAGTGTGACGCAGCAGTGAGTCCTGCCTCAAGGCCAATTCAGGGTTCCTTTAGGAATTAGCGCCCGAGGTCACTGATGGGATAGAGCAGGGTCTGAAATGAACCCTCCTGAGTCAGGCAAGGGCCTTGATTTTGAATAGTTACTGATAATTTGTTTACCCATTTGTGCAAATGTTCTGTATCCTGAGTGTGGTGCTGTGGGCAAGGGTGCACAGGGAGTCTCTTAGGGTTCAGTGAGGGTTACCAGCAGTAAAATCCATCAGCTGCTGTGAGTGCAACAAAGGAGCACTGGCCATTCTGTGGGAGCAGAGGACCGGGGACCTGGTCTCGTCTGGGGGTTACGACAGGCTTTCTAGAGGAGGATGTGTTTAAACTGAAAATCTGCGTTTAGGGATGGAGGGAAGAGGCGCTTACCTAGGGGTCCCAGTGTGTTCCCGTGGCCTGAAGTGCGTGGCAGGGATATATGGAGCAGAAAGTGGAGGGCCAGTCTTGCGAGGCAAAGCTAGAGAGGCAGACTGGGCAAAGTCACACGGGACCCAACCCTCACTGTAACACCGTAGGTCACGAGTAGCCTCGTAGGATTTAGGCGTCGGGTGGAGAGCGGTGGAGAACCACTGAAGGCTCTTTTGAGCTAGGGGTTGACATATTGGGCGTGGGGTGTCTGTGTGAAAAGATCATCCTAGTCAAGGATGGAAAATGGATTGAAGAGGCCTGGAGGGAGCAGGGAAGGGATGCTGGTGTATTATTTAACCTCAGATGGTAGCTGCAGACAAGGAGAGAAGTGGCCAATGTCCAGACATTCTGTGGGAGGCTGCTGTTCGGTTCCAGGAGTGTCTGATCTAGGTGAAAACCTAGCCTGTCTCGTGTAGCACAGGCACAGATGAGCCTCCATTGTGATAATGGCATGGCTGTCCACCAGCCTTGGACAGGGACCTGAGCTTGCAAGCTGTAACACACTGGGGGCTTCCCCTTGAGCAGCTGCCCATCCCTCCCCTCCTTGGTCTTCTGTTCTAGGTGGGCTTTCTGTGCTGCCAGCTGGAAAGCTGGAAGGGCGTGTGTTGGGTGGCATCTCTGTCCCTGGCCGCACCAGCCTGACCAAGTCTCTCTCTCTCTGTGGGCAGGAGCAGCTGTACAAGATGCAGCACTGGCAGCCGGTGTACCCCCCGCCGTCCCACCCCCAGCGCACCTTTTACCCACACCACCCCCAGATGTTGGGCTTCGATCCCAGGTGGATGATGATGCCTTCCTACATGGACCCACGTATCACGCCCACTCGGACCCCGGTGGACTTCTACCCCTCCGCCCTGCATCCCTCAGGTAAGCACTGTGGTCTGACGGTCCATACCTGTATCACCCAGGATAGCGTGGTGGTCAAGGGTGTCCTCTCGAGTTAAACAGATACACCTGGATTTTGGTCTGGCTCTTTGTCAAGTACACAACTGGTCTGAGTTTCAAAGTAGTCACTTGCAAAGTGTAGGTACAATAATAGTTCTGTCATAAAGATTTGTTGGGAAAGTCATGAAGATCGTGTATCATAAATTGCTTTAATTAATTTTAGATTTCTGCTATGTCGTTTTGTCCTTCTTCTCATTCTTAATGTTCTTTGTGCTGTCTCTTTTTTCTTTGATTAGTCTTTCCCAAGGTTTGTCTAGTGCCTTTTTAAAATCAGTATTTGGGCTTCTTCATTCCTCTAACTTATTTGGGTTTTATTTTAATAATGCCTGCTTTTTCTTTTCTTATTTCCTTTAAAATATTATCATATACTTAGTTTATTAATTTTTGGCTTTTAAGATTCTCTTTGCAGTACTAATTTCTAATGTAGTTGCTCTGTGGTCAGATAATATGGTCTGTGTGATACAGACCAGGGGTCAGCAAACTTCTACTAATGACCAGATAGTAAGTCTTTTAGGCCTTGATCAGCTAGTCAGTTTTGGTGTTGTAGGACAAAAACAGCCATAAACAATAGTAATTGAGTGAACATGGTTGTTTTTCCATAAAACGTTACTTGTAAAAACTGGCAGCAGGCTGAGTTTTGTTTAATGGCTGTAGTTTGCTGACCAACTCCTGACTTAGGTTGCTTGACATTTGTTGGGTTTTCTCTGTAGCCTCTTCCATGGCAATTCTTTTTTAACATTCTACATTTGCCTGAAAAGACTGTATTCTCTGGTTGGAGATAGTCCATTAAGTTGAGCATGCTAATTGTGTTGTGCAAATGTCTTCATCATTGCAAGTTTTTATCCCTTTGACCAGTTACTAAAAGGTGTTTTAAAATGTCCCACTATGATGATGGATTTGTCAAATCTTCTTTGGGAGCCTGTCAGTTTTTGCTTTGTCTATCTGGAGGCATACAGGTTTAGAATTTCTGTATCTTGTTCCTTTTATCCTTATGTAGTACCTTTGTTGTCATTAATAGTGCTTTCTATCTTTATTGCCTACTTTGATAGCAATATAATAATTATAGTTTTCTGTTGATAAGTATTTGAAGTCTTTTGTTCCAATTTTTACTGTTAGCCTCTTTGAGCCCTTATGTTTTGGGAGTGTATCTTTGTATCTACAAGATGTGTATAGCTTTACCACTCTGAAAGTCTATGACTTTTAATTGCAAAAGTTGGTCCTTTTAGATTTATTGGGATGATGATTATTATTATTATTATTTGAGACAGAGTCTTGCTCTGTCATGCAGGTTGGAGTGCAGTGGTGCAATTTCAACTCACTGCAACCTCCGCCTCCCGGGTTCAAGCGATTCTTCTGCCTCAGCCTCCCAAGTAGCTGGGATTACAGGCGCCCACCACCACGCCCAGCTAATTTTTTTTTTTTTTTTTTTTTTTGAGACAGAGTCTTGCTCTGTCACCCAGGCTGGAGTGCAGTGGTGTGATCTCGGCCTACTGCAACCTCCACCTCCCGGGTTCAAGCGATTCTCCTGCCTCAGCCTCCTGAGTAGCTGAGATTACAGGCACCTGCCACCATGCCTGGCTGATTTTTTTGTATTTTTAGTAGAGACGGGGTTTCACTATGTTGGTCAGGCTGGTCTCGAACTCCTGACCTCAAGTGGTCTACCTGCCTTGGCCTCCCAAAGTGCTGGGGTTACAGGCATGAGCCACCATGCCCAGCCTTATTGGGATTATTATATTTAGATATTCCAACTATGATATTTCATGCATTCCATTCTTATTCTTCTCTTTCTGTGCCTTTTCTTCTAATTCCTGCCTTTTCTTGGTCCTATTGTTTTTCTTTTGCTTCTACATTTCATTTCTATATGTTAGTGGTTACGTGAAAATTCTAACATGCACCTTCAACTTAGCAAAGCATTTGGGGAGGTAGAAATCTGAAGTCTTTGTCCCTTAAACCTCCATGAAAGTAAGCATGTGAGTCTGAATTCCTGGGAGGGGGACAATTGTTTCCCTGCCCTGGTCCAGGCCAGACAGACCCGCCAGTCTGTTCCTGGTAGTAAAGCGCATGTGTCTATCTAATGTGCCTTTTGAGGATGTGGCCCTTTTGGGTCTTTGTTTTAAACAATGTCTCAGTTGTATCTCCCTGCCCTGTATAGAAAGGCTTCATCCCCTGTCCTGAGTGTTAAGGACCAAGCCTATATCTGACAAATGTGCTTTTCTTGCCCCCTTCCTTGGACAGGTCTTTGAACCAGGCAGGGTGCATGTGTGTGTGCCTTCAGAGGTCCTCAGGTCAGGAAAGATTAAGAGCCCTATGATGTGTAGGTGGGTGGGGTGCTGTATCCACATGAAAGTCAGGGTAACTGTTAACTTCTTTGGGCCTTTGGTTGACCCTGAGATTGGAGCAGGGCTTTCTAAATGAGATGATGTAGATCAGTCTTTGCCTTCTTCAGGACTGATGAAGCCCATGATGCCCCAGGAGTCCCTCAATGGGACAGGCTGTCGCTCTGAGGATCAGAACTGTGTGCCCCCACTCCAAGAAAGAAAAGTGACCCCCATCGACTCACCCCCTGTGTGGAGCCCAGAGGGCTACATGGCACTGCAGAGCAAGGGCTACCCGCTCCCGCACCCGAAGTCGAGTGACACCTTGGCTATGGACATGCGTGTCAGGTGAGATGAAGCCTGGTCCTGCTGCCTTGCCACTGAAGGAGGACTCCAGGTCCTAATTGAGAGGGCCCTGGGATGAGCTACCATCCTAGGAGACACTGCCCACGGGAGACGTGCTCCTTGAAGGGACTCCTGGTTCCTCTGGGGAAGGAGAGTGTGAGGAGGATTGCTTGAATGCTTTGTCCAAGAGGCTCTTTTCAGATGGTGAGACGTAAGGTGAAGGAGAAGTCCCGGGGTCCTCAAATCCTGGGCACAGGGCAGGCGGGTGGGGGCTTCACAAGGCAGGTGGGGTCCAGAGCATGGGTCTTGGCTCATTTCTGTGGAAGTAAACAGAGTTAGCCCTGCCACCCCCATAGCCCCAGACTCTTCACGGCCTCCCAGGCTCCAGCTTGCTCTTGCTCTTTGACCCGGAGGATTGCCTGGCTCCTCTGTCTCCAGGGGGCACACCGTACCCAGCCTGCGGCCACGACAGTCTTCACTCTCAAGGACTCCAGGGGCCACCGACCAATTCATGGCCTGGCATTTCTGAGACGTGTTTAAAGATAGAACAAATGTTGATGCTTATGTTTTTTTTTGGTTGTTGTTTTTTGTTTTGTTTTTCTAGCTTTCTTTTTAAAAAGTGTTTTAGTTTTTGTTTTTGTTTTTTCTTTTTAAAACTAAGCTCTGTGTTCAGCATGGAAACCAGGAACCAGGCTCCAATCGCATTGACTGATTTTTCTGGTTCCTTTTCAGGAATGAAAGCTCTTTCTCTGCCTCACTCGGAAGGGCAGGGGGCGTAAGTGCTCAGCGCGATCTCTTTGAGGAGAGAGGGGAGGAGTACTTGAGTGCTTTTGACAAGAAGGCCCAAGCAGACTTTGACAGCTGTATCTCTTCTCAAAGAATAGGCCAGGAGCTTTTGTTTCCACCCCAAGAAAATGTTCAGGATGCAGGTGCTCCTGGGGGTCACACCCAAAACCTCAGGTGTTCCCCATTGGAGCCTGACTTTGTCCCAGATGAGAAAAAGCCAGAGTGTGGCAGTTGGGATGTTAGCCACCAGCCAGAGACCGCTGACACAGCCCATGGTGTTGAGCGGGAGACACCCCGGGAGGGGACGGCCTTTAACATCTCCTCCTGGGACAAGAACGGGAGCCCCAACAAACAGCCATCCTCGGAGCCTGAATGGACTCCCGAGCCCCGGAGCTCCAGCAGCCAGCACCCGGAGCAGACGGGCAGGACCCGGAGGTCGGGACCCATCAAGAAACCAGTCCTGAAAGCCCTCAAGGTGGAAGACAAGGAGAAGGAGCTTGAGAAGATTAAGCAGGAGCTAGGGGAGGAGAGTACCCGGCTGGCCAAGGAGAAGGAGCAGAGCCCCACGGCAGAAAAGGATGAGGACGAAGAGAACGATGCCTCTCTGGCCAACTCCTCCACCACCACTTTGGAGGACAAAGGCCCTGGCCATGCCACTTTTGGCCGCGAGGCCACCAAATTTGAAGAGGAGGAGAAACCTGACAAGGCCTGGGAAGCCAGACCCCCACGAGAGTCCAGCGATGTTCCCCCCATGAAGAGAAATAACTGGATCTTTATTGATGAGGAGCAAGCCTTTGGGGTCAGAGGACAGGCCCGGGGCCGGGGCCGTGGTTTCAGAGAGTTCACTTTTCGTGGTCGGCCTGCTGGCGGAAATGGGAGCGGCCTCTGTGGTGGGGGGGTCCTGGGGGCCCGCAGCATCTACTGCAGCAGTCAGCGCAGCGGCCGTGGCCGGGGCCTGCGAGAGTTTGCGCGGCCAGAGGACTGCCCCAGAGCCAAGCCCCGACGGAGAGTTGCCAGTGAGACCCATAGCGAGGGCTCAGAGTATGAAGAACTTCCCAAGCGCCGCCGGCAGAGGGGCTCCGAGAACGGGAATGAAGGCTCGCTCCTGGAGAGGGAGGAGAGCACCTTGAAGAAGGGCGACTGCAGAGATTCTTGGCGGTCCAACAAGGGGTGCTCTGAGGACCACAGCGGTCTAGATGCCAAGAGCCGAGGCCCTCGGGCCTTTGGGCGAGCCCTCCCTCCCCGGCTGAGCAATTGCGGGTATGGACGGAGAACCTTCGTCTCCAAAGAGTCACCCCACTGGCAGAGCAAAAGTCCAGGCAGCTCTTGGCAGGAATATGGCCCTTCCGACACATGCGGATCCCGGCGACCTACAGACAGAGACTATGTCCCAGATTCCTACAGACACCCTGACGCATTTGGTGGCCGGGGCTTTGAGGACAGCCGCGCGGAGGACAAGAGATCCTTCTTCCAAGATGAACACGTGGCAGATTCTGAAAATGCAGAGAACCGGCCCTTCAGGAGAAGGCGCCCCCCACGCCAAGATAAGCCCCCTCGATTCCGGCGCCTCCGGCAAGAGCGGGAGTCCCTGGGCCTGTGGGGACCCGAGGAGGAGCCCCACCTGCTGGCAGGTCAGTGGCCAGGCAGGCCCAAACTGTGTTCTGGGGACAAGAGTGGCACTGTGGGCCGCAGGTCCCCTGAGCTCTCCTACCAGAACTCCTCCGATCACGCCAATGAGGAGTGGGAGACGGCCTCCGAAAGCAGCGACTTCAGCGAGCGGCGGGAGCGGCGGGAAGGCCCTGGGTCCGAGCCCGACTCCCAGGTGGATGGTGGCCTGTCGGGGGCTAGTTTGGGTGAGAAGAAGGAGCTGGCCAAGAGGAGCTTCTCCAGTCAGAGACCCGTGGTTGACAGACAGAGCCGAAAGCTGGAGCCGGGAGGGTTTGGGGAGAAGCCCGTTAGGCCAGGTGGTGGTGACACCTCCCCTCGCTATGAGAGCCAACAGAATGGGACGCCTTTGAAAGTGAAAAGGTAAAACCAGACACCATCTGGGCCCTTTTTGTTGTTGTGTTCTGTTCTCAGCAGCACTGAGTTCACGCATGCATGCCGATGCCGCCGTGTGTCGGGGCTGGGGGCCTGCCCCCAGGCCGTCTGTGCGCGTCTCCATTGCCTGCCCCCACATTGCCTGTCTGCTTCTCGTGGTGGTGTTATTGTGGCTAGAGCTCCCACCCCCACCCCCACCCCAGTGGTGCTCTTGAGGCCACTGTCCAGCACCTGACCTGAGAGTCCAGTCATGTGTCCCTGGAGCCCCGCCGAGGGGCCGCTGCAGCGAGGAACGTTGCCTGTGCACAGTGCCAGGTGCCGGTCAGTCCACCAGAGTCCTCTGCTCCGGAGTTGCTGCCAGGCGGCGTCCTAGGGGGCATCGCTGGCCTCGTGGCTGCATGGAAGTGGCTCTTCCTAGATGGTTCTGCTTCTCCACTGTGAGGAGACGTGGCCCCACGGTGGGGTTGCCACCTCAGCATGGCAGGAGCCCAGCAAACGCAGAGGGGAGCAGGCTGCACATGGTCTGGCGAGCACCTCTTCCACAGCCAGAGGCATTCGGGTGATGACCTCTGCTCAGGGACCAGGAGAGGGTCCCCTGCACAGTCTGGGTTGACTGACTGCACTTGGCTTGTGCCTCGGACAGGGAGGTGCAGGGGCTGCTGAGGCCTTCCCTGTCCTCAGCATACTGAGGAAGATGGCTTCACACCTCCACTCTCCTTAGAATTCAAGGCAGAGAAACTCCCAGAGAAGGAGCCACAGGGAACACCGACTCTTTCAGGTGGCATCTAATCCAGCTTTCCAGGCGCCAGAGGCTGACCCTTGGCTTCACCTCAGTTTTCTGCCCCAAGGGCCCTCCGGCAGGGCAGTCCTGGAGAGGAGCAGAAATGCTGGCGTCTCCATTCTGAGCATATTCCCCTTGTCTCTCTCCCCCCTACACTCTGAACATAGCATGTGGGAGAGCCCTGGGGAGCCACTTTCCCCAGGAGCAGGCAGAGCCGGTGGGGGCAGCCTTACACGTATGTTTGCACACGGACATGGATGCACTGTGGCCAGCCTGCCGCTCCTCCCCACCCGAGGAGTCAGCTAGAGGAAGTGGGCCTAGATCAGGGTGCCGGGCTTGTGTGCAGGCTGTGTGCACGTGCGGTGTTTTCCCTCCTTCCCCAGCTCTGGTTAACAAGATCCTCTTTCCCTTACAGATCCCCAGACGAGGCCTTGCCTGGAGGTCTTAGTGGCTGCAGCAGTGGGAGTGGCCACTCCCCCTATGCCCTGGAGCGGGCAGCCCATGCCAGTGCTGACCTTCCCGAAGCCTCCAGTAAAAAGGCAGAGAAGGAGGCCAAGTTGGCTGCTCCGAGGGCAGGTGAACAGGGAGAGGCCATGAAACAGTTTGACCTGAACTATGGAAGTAAGTCATCCTCATATCTTCAGGGGAAAGAACTCAGGCAGAACCAGGGGCCATGCAGTCCTCGGGCCTCCCGAGTTTGCCCTTGCACTGAGTACCTTAGCTTTCGGAACAGCTCGGCCAGGCCCTGGGCTGGGTTCTGGGGCTGTAGAGGTGAGCAGAGTAGGTAGGATTCCCACCGAGTGTTGCTCACAGCCCGTTGAATCCCCGTGACACCCTGCAGCTTCCGGGCTTTAAAGAGAGGAAGCCTGGGGCCCAGAGACGTTCGGTGGTGTGTCCGAGGTCACACACAGCTGTAGGAGCAGAGCTGGGGTTTAAGCTCTTTGCGTGTTCTCTCAGTTGTGCCCTTGGGCCTCTTTGGTTTGGGGTAACAATGTGTTAGATCAGAGGCGGCCTGAGAAAAGTGCGGAAGTCCTGTCCAGGTTTCTGTCGAGCCTGATGCTAGATCTCAGGCGCCTGTTGAATTGGGTTGTTCTTGTCTCCTGGTGAGTGGAAAGACTGTTCCTTCTCGTGAAATCTTGGTTCAGGTGCCATCATTGAAAATTGCGGGTCCAGCCCCGGGGAGGAGAGTGAGGTGGGTTCTATGGTGGGCGAAGGCTTCATCGAAGTCCTGACCAAGAAGCAGCGCCGCCTGCTGGAGGAAGAGAGAAGAAAGAAGGAGCAGGCCGTGCAGGTGAGGGGCGGAGGGTGGGGGGGCATGGGGCTGGAGGGCAGGCTGGCAGATGCCCAGGAAACCCAGAGCCAGAGGGTAAGGGAGTTCTCGGTCAAGCTCAAGGTGGCAGAGAGGAAGAAAGGAGTATTTAGCAAGCACACATTGTCTCCCCGTTCCTGCTATTACCAAGGCCCTTCTATCAATGTAGGAATAGGTGGTGGCATCACTGTTATGCAGTGGAAGAAACCGAGTCTTGAAGAGGGTGACTTCTCTAGGGTGATAACAGTGGAAACTTGTCCAAGGCAAGATGCAGACCTCCGTCACCTCCCAGCTTCTCCTTCCTCCCCACTCCTCATTCCTGAGTGGAATGAGATTTGTCTCCCTCAAGTCAAGTGGATCGTGAACGCTATACTAAAATGGAGTCAGGGCTGGACCTGCACACAGATTACAGTCCGTTGGCCTTTCAGGTCTTTCTTGGGGGGTGCTTTGCTTGGCATCGCAGTTCTGCTTGAGGTTTTGGGAGACGAGCGTTCCACACATCTCTGGAGCATTTTCAGGTGGTGTGATTTTTGGTACCTGGGATACTTATCCTGGGGAGAATTTGTCAGTCTTGGTGCCTTTGGCTAGACTACAGCATCCTTTCTTCCCCTCAGGTGCCTGTCAAAGGTCGAGGCCTTTCCTCCCGTATTCCTCCTCGATTTGCAAAAAAGCAGAACAACTTATGTCTGGAGCAAGGTGACGTGACCGTGCCTGGCAGCAGCCTGGGCACTGAGATCTGGGAGAGCAGCAGCCAGGGTGAGAGTTGGGGGTGTGACCCCAGCTGTGGCACCCAAGGTCACATCACACACTGGGTTTGCTTCTGGGGAGGATCCTGCTTTTGAGCTACGAATATAGATGGAATACAGATGGAGTACCTGTTTGCTGTGTTCCGCTGCTGAGCTAGTCGCTGAATGCCGTCTGAGTGATTTGCTGCTGCAACCCCCAAACGGATACACAATTTTCCTTGCCTAAAATTGGTAGAAGAGCAGAGCATTCATTAGTCTGGTGATCTGGAAAAGGATGGCCCCTTGGGCTTAGATCACACAGTAGTGGGAATGGCCTTCTTTGTTGGTCGTCGTTTTCTCCCACTAACTTATGGAAGAGAAGCAAATGACAGATAGACCAGCCGCAAGAGTTCAGGAGCTCTCTTCTGTGCTGTGCACCCTTTTCTTAACATGGGGAAGGCTCTGGAAACCCCTCCCTGAATGCTCTTCTGGAAAGGCAAACTGAGACCAGAAGACGGTATACGTTACTTCTTAGAACATTTGTTGCCCTGAAAACTTTTTTTTTTTAATTCTATATCAAATGTAATTTTTCTGGGAATTTTTCCTTATAAAATAGAAAACTATTTTCATAGAATAGGTTCTTCTTGAGGTTTAGGTGAGGCAGGGCCCTGCGCTGTTAGCCCAGAGCATGCATAGATGAATAAAAACATGGACATTCGATATTTCACAGCTCAGGCCCATGAGGGGAGCTTGGAGAGGTCACCTAGTGCCAGCTCATTTTTCTGCAAAGCAGCTGAAGCTTCTAGAGGGAAGGGACTTGACTCAGGGACTCCAGGGTCATAGGACAAGCACCCGAGACACTGAGTTCTGGGCCTTGATTCTTTCACTGTTTCCACATAGCTTGTCCTCATGTGCTCGGTGAAAACTTTGGTTCTTGCAAACTACAAAATAACATTCAACATGCCCAGCTTTGATGGAAAGGAAGCACAACCATTTGATAAAACATCAATAACACTACATTTGGTAGTGGCTGAGTGACAGGTGTCATAGTATTGGTGTCCAAAAATGCCCAGGTGCCAGATTGGTTGAGCTGCCAGGTGTGAATCAGATGTGACTCTCAGGTGTGAGTCATCATCCCCTTTTGTCAGATCTTTTACTCCAGAATTCTGCAGGGGCTCATTGGTTTCTCAGACCAGGGGTTGTGTCCAAGGGATGGCTTCAGAGAGCCCTTGGATATTAAAATAGCATGTGAAAGGATTTTTTTTTTTTTTAAAGATGGGGTCTCACTATGTTGCCCAGGCTGGACTTGAACCCCTGGGTTCAAGCAATCCTTCTGCCTCAGCCTCCTGAGTAGCTGGGATTGCAGATATGTGCCCCCACCCCCTGCTAGCATGTCAACTTTTGCATGCATATCTATTTTTCTGGGCTCCGGATCCATGGCCATTCAAAAAGTGGTCTGTGAGCTTAAAAATTTTTAGTAATACCCGCTGGGATCTTTCAAAGACTCTGTAGAAGCCACCAACTTTGGCCAGGAGTGGTGGCTCACACCTATAATCCCAGCAGTTTGGGAGGCCAAGGCTTGAAGATCACTTGAGATCAGGAGTTCAAGACCAGCAACAGAGTGAGACCCTGTCTCTATTGTTTAAAAAAAAAAGAAGGCCAGGCCTGGTGGCTCACGTCTGTAATCCCACCACTTTGGGAGGCTGAGGCAGGCAGATCACCAGGTCAGGAGATCGAGACCATCCTGGCTAACATGGTGAAACCCCGTCGCTCCTAAAAATACAACAACAACAAAAAATTAGCCGGGCGTGGTGGCGGGCACCTATAGTCCCAGCTATTCGGGAGGCTGAGGCAGGAGAATGGCGTGAACCCGGGAGGCAGAGCTTGGCAGTGAGTGGAGATCGCGCCACTGCACTCCAGCCTGGGCGACAGAGCAAGACTCCGTCTCCAAAAAAAAAAAAAAAAAAAAAGAAAGATATATTTTTTAATGTAAAAAAAGAGAAGCTACCAACTTTTAGAAATAGTATAAGTGAAAAGAAGCATGAGCATAGCGGAAATAACGACAGAGAATCCAGATTGGCAGGAGTGAGGGCTCTGCCCTGCTCACTCTCTCCTGTAATCCATGAGATGTTGAGAAACACGTTGGGTGAGGATGTGGAAAGTTGGGTAAGGCTGTCAGACCAGCTCTTCCACGTCAGAGCCGTTCACTGGGTGTCACGGGTAGGGGGCTGGGGTGGCGGGTGCAGGGGAGGCAGGGGAGTTGGATTTCTGCAAGCTGTGCCTGTGCTTGTTCTTTAAGAGCTCATAAACTCTCTAGACGGGTTGCTCTTTGATGCCCTGACTCTGTCTTCCTCCCCTGGCAGCTCTCCCTGTGCAGGCCCCAGCCAACGACTCCTGGAGGAAAGCTGTCACTGCCTTCAGCAGCACCGAGACTGGCTCTGCGGAGGTGAGTGTGGCCGCTGCCCACATGCTGCCCCTGGGATGAGTGTGTGAGTGTGTGCTCACCATCCACACGGCCAGCTTGCTGTGGCCCACCCAAGCCCCTGCCACAGCAGCTGAGCTTGGAATTAGGTTGTTTCCATGGGGCCAAGCTCATCAGTGGTTTTCCATCTTGATTTCTGGCCTGTGCATGGGGCGTGCATGAGCAGGAGAAAGAGAAAAGGGGTAACAAGGGAGGACCCAACGCTGGGTGGGAAGAGGGATTCAGGGCCTCCTCTGAACTGGTGTCAGCAGCCACGTAGTCTGGTTTGGGTCACAAGTGAGATGGGTTTGGCAGCCTCGGTCTGGGGCCCATAGAAGATCCTGTGGTCACGAGCTCTATCGGGGTTGGTGTGTTTGGCCACACGTAAGTTGTCAGGCATCCTCAGCAGGGCAGGATCAAGATCAGGACCAGACTTGGCAAGGGACAGGCAGCTGGGGTAGAAAAGTCTCTGTGCCACATGCAGTTTTACTCTCTGGATAATCGAGTTGGGAGTTTGAGGCTATAACCCATTTTGTGCTCTGCACAGCAGGGTTTTAAGAGCAGCCAGGGAGATAGTGGCGTTGACTTGAGTGCCGAGTCTCGGGAGTCGTCTGCGACCTCCTCGCAGCGCAGCTCCCCATATGGGACTCTGAAGCCAGAGGAGATGAGCGGGCCCGGCCTGGCGGAACCCAAGGCCGACAGCCACAAGGAGCAGGCTCCAAAGCCATCTGAGCAGAAGGTAACCTGGACGTTCCAGTCACAGTGGCCAGGGCCTGGGTGGAAGGGGCCATCGTCTCATCATCTTCCTCAATTCCTGGGACAGTAGAAGCTAGAGAGTGTGGTCATTCCAGTCTGTGTGTCTCCACCTCTCTGCTTTTTTATCAAGGATTCAGAACAAGGCTCTGGACAGAGCAAGGAGCACAGACCAGGACCCATCGGCAACGAGCGTTCTCTGAAAAACAGAAAGGGCTCGGAGGGGGCCGAGCGGCTGCAAGGGGCTGTCGTCCCGCCTGTTAACGGGGTGGAGATTCACGTGGACTCCGTGCTGCCTGTGCCACCCATTGAATTTGGAGTCAGTCCAAAAGTGAGGCTTTGATTTGTTTTCTTGCTTGCTTTTTTTACTTTTTATTTTGGTACTTGGAGAGGCTGGGGGCTCAGATGGGATTGTCTCCTAGAAGGAATAGAAGGATGGGAGCCAAGCAGTCTTCCAGCGGCTAGAGTGTTGGTGTGGAGTCCTGCACATGGCCAGTGCTCTGTTGAGTTGCTTTAAAGATTGCTTCACTGACACCAGACAGGCCAGTGATCTTCCCTGTTTCTGTCAGGCCACCCAAGGGACAGGGAGAAAGAAGTGAGGCTGGCGTCCTGTCTCCTGTGCCGTGGGGAAAATCTGGCCATCTCGCTCATATGTGGCTCCAGTGAATGCTGCTCAGTGGAGTTTTTGAGTCGGGGAAACTGCATCACGTTAATGTATGCCTCTGGGGAATGTAGGGCCAGGAGGATCTCAGTGGGCTGTGTGGCCTTTTTTATTTTTTCAGGACTCCGATTTCAGCTTGCCACCTGGTTCTGCCTCTGGTCCTACTGGGAGTCCAGTTGTTAAACTTCAGGATGCCTTGGCCAGTAATGTAAGTCCACACTTCCACTTTTGGCTCCACTCACTGCTTGGGGCTGGCAGGCCCTGGGTGAAGGAGACAGCACATGTATTTCAGGCTGACCTGGGCTGGCACGTGACTCAGTTGCTAGCAGCTCCATGTCCTTAAAAGGTGCTTAAATGTTCCTGCCCAGGTTTTGTGACCTTCCAGTGGGGATCATACAGTTCCTAAGGGCTGGTTTATTTGGCTCTCTTTGGTTCCATTGTCTCCTCTGTGCCAGGTGCGAGCCCAGACTCAGGCTGCCTTTTCTGTGGCCAGGGGTAAGGGGCACAGATTGAGTAGGAGAGCCCTCCTCAGGAGGCCCCATCTCACCATCCAAGGGTCCCTGCCGCCTGCAATCTAACTGTTGTGATCCAGAAGACCTGCTGGCGCTCTACCATGGGCTCAGGAGCTGGCAGTTGCATCTGTTGTGGCCACTCGGGGCTGCAGCTGAGGCTGTCGCAGTGACATCTGGTTCACTGCTCTGTCCTCACCACCTGCAGGGGTGGGTGCTAGTGCATATGCTGAATGAACGAGTATCATTTGGGCAGCGTTTCCCAGAGGATTCCAAGGAATGTGAGTGCTGTACAATATTCATAGGTGTTGAATGAAAACAATGTTTTGGAAGTGCTGGGCTCTACGAGGTTCTTTACTCGAGAGTCTGCGGTCTCTGTCACATGCAGATGGACACCGGGGATCTGCAGGAAGCGGGGGCACTGTTGCATTTCCAGCCTCTGTTACCAGAGCCCTCTTTTTCAGTTTGCTGAGGGGCACAGCCTTCCCTGTCTGGCCCAGGGCATCTCCAGGCCAGGTGGCAGGTGCCTTCTGAACCAGATGTTTGTGTGCGGGCTGCCAGTCCATATTTATACTGCCGGGACATGGCTCTCCCTGTCTGGAGGGCACTATGGAGTGTGGATATGGGGGTGGCTCTCTGCAGACTTGTGTGGAGGAAACTGATGGAGGCAGCCATCTCCAGGAGATCAGTCATGGTCCTGGCTGCCATCAGTTTCATCTGGGTGGTCTTGGGTACATGTGGCCAATACTGAAGATGCATTTGGACAATTCATAGACACGGAGCTGTAGGTGCTTTTGGGAAAAGCCATGGATGGGTTTGGGCAAGTCATAGATACATTTGGACGAGCCTTGAGTGTGTTCAGGAGAGCCATGGATGGGTTTGGGCAAAGCCATCTCTGCACCTGTTTGTGTTCCATGGTTTCCTTTTCCTCCTCTCCAGGCAGGGTTAACACAGAGTATCCCCATCCTGCGGCGGGACCATCACATCCAGAGGGCCATCGGTCTCTCCCCAATGTCCTTCCCCACCGCCGACCTTACTCTGAAGGTAACACCAGCCCTGAGCTGGGTGAGGGCCCACCCAGTACCTTAGCTTACAAAGAGGCAGAAGGGAGGAGTCCCCGAACCCCTAAAGCTTAGATTGGCTCTGTCCACTGCCAGCGTGATAGTAATTTTCATCCCTCCCCCTCCCCTTGCTTCTGAAGATGGAGTCTGCGCGCAAGGCTTGGGAAAACTCCCCCAGTTTGCCGGAGCAGAGCTCTCCAGGCGGCGCTGGCTCAGGCATCCAGCCTCCATCCTCTGTGGGTGCCTCCAGCGGGGTCAACTACAGCTCCTTCGGTGGAGTGTCCATGCCACCCATGCCTGTGGCCTCTGTAGCACCTTCTGCTTCTATGCCAGGTATCTCATCCCCTGAGCAAGGCCTTGGGGTCCTTCTCCATTTATTATCAAGAAAAACGGATTAACAGCCCCGAATGTCACCTCCTGGCCTTGTCTTAAGTAGCATGTAGAAGTAGCAACTTGTTTTTAGGCCCAGTGGTCGTAGCTCCCATGTGCTGCAGGTAATGTGCACGTCCTGCTTCCCCACGCTGGGAAACAGAACTGGGGGATAACAGCGAGGCACTCCTGCCTACTGGTGACAGGAGCGAGCAAAGGCTTGACTTTGAGTCAGACCTGGGTCATGTGCTGGAGCCGTGTCGCCTCGGCTGGTGAGCAGCTCTTGCCGAGCCACAGTGTCCTCTCCTCTCTTACATGAAACTCCGTGGGGTGGCCACACCCGTGAGGCCAGGTCTTACCTGGAAAGGGCTTTGTATCAACAGAGCCCTCAGTCACTGGCAGCTACTTTTGTCCTGATTGCTGCCATCCTTATCGTGTGCCAGTGTCCCCAAGGGGAAGCGTGGGGGTTTTGAGGGCCCAGCTGCCAGTCTCAGTGATGTAATTCCAATAGATCCTTCTGACCCTCCACTGTGGACTCAATAGCAGGGAGATGAAGAGGACAGTGACTGAGAGACCAAGGCAGCCCTGGTTAAAGTAGAATGCCCCTTCGAGTGTCTGGGGTAGTTGGTGAGTGGGAGGTGGGAAGGGTAGGCCAGAGCCCACCTGCCTCCTCCCTCCTCCTAGGTCTGACGCTGCACCCTCCCTACGTTCCCTGAGGTGCGTGCCAGGCGTGTTGTGAGCAGGCGTGTGCTTCCGGCACACAGGGAACCTAGCAGCCTCTGTACACACGCCCTCGTCCCCACTGAGTCCCCTGGGTAGAGCAGACCTGTAGACTGTTTCCCTCAGGGACATTGAGAAGTAGTGAGGCTTGATCCTCTTCTACGTCCCTTTTGCCGCTCTGTTTCCAGGCAGCCACCTCCCGCCCCTGTACCTGGATGGCCATGTGTTTGCAAGTCAGCCCCGGCTGGTTCCTCAAACGATACCTCAGCAGCAGAGTTACCAACAGGTGACAGCAGCTAGCCAGGTGGCCTGGCTGGGGGTGGTGGGGAGGAGCCAGTGCAGGGCGGAATTGGCTTGCTCATCTATTTCTCATTGTCTGTCTGGTTTTCCATCCCCCTCACATGTGGTGACCAGCACCTGGCCCGCCACGGCAGCCAGGAGGCATTTGTTAAGCGAATAATCGAGACAGGGAAGAGGAGTGGAGTTGGCTGCTCCAGACTCTGCTTAGTTTTCCTTTCTCAAAGTTCTCCCTCCTGTGTCCTAGCCGGGGAATTAGCTAAAATGGAATTTTCTTTGGTGATCAGGTATCCTTCTGATGAAGAGAAGAAAGGCCTAAACTCCCAGGCATGGATGCATTAGAAAGAGGTAGTCTTAGAAATGAGCAGGCGTTGGTTATTTATGCAGGACTGGCATACTTTCTGTGCTGCCAAGGGGTGATTTTTGGAAGTCTCCCCTCTAATGCTGGTGCTGGGCCTTTGGGATGGTCTAGCCGCCCCTCAGACCCATGTGCCTCCACAGCCACGACAGTGGACTTCCAGGCAGAATCTGCTCCAAGTGCAGGCTTGCTGATGGAGGATGTGGCCTCTGCTGACCTCTTTTTAAAAACATGTTCTTAACTGCTGTATTGTTTGGTTACCAAGATTTTGGTTCTTGCATAACTGGGTCAGACTGCATGTATCTTTCTTTTTGTGCATTGTTAAATTCAGCGTTATGTTTTTGGAACTCACCTCTGTTGACGTATGTGCTAGGATCCATTTTTGTTGCTGTGTAGAATTCCAGGGTAGGGATATGCTGTGGTTTGGGGTTGCTACCAGTTTTTCATTATAGGCTTTATCCCAATAGCAAGGGAAGCCCAGGAATGACATGCTGGCATTTGAATTTTGGGCAGTGTTCCAGCAGCCATGTGGAGAGGGGCAGGGGAGGTGGGAGGGGAAGAACCACCTGGATGGGCCTTGCGGTTACCTCCCCGACCCCGTTTTCCCGTTCACAGGCCGCCGCTGCCCAGCAGATCCCGATCTCCCTTCACACATCTCTGCAGGCACAAGCTCAGCTTGGACTGAGGGGTGGGCTTCCTGTGTCCCAGTCCCAGGAGATCTTCAGCTCCTTGCAGCCCTTCAGGTGAGCTCATGTACCAGCTTGCGGAGCTGGCAGCTCACAGCCAGGGCCTTGGCCCTGTGTGCAGCCTTCGTCCTGCAGCTGTTTGGTGCTTGTCTGCTTTGGGGCCAGTGGGGCGGGGAGGGGTGGGAGTTTGCTCTGAATCACTCTTCAGTCCGTTGTTAACTGTGCTCTAGGAGAGGCCTGGGGCGAGCTGATATGTGGTGGGCCGTGTTTTGCTTTTCCATGTCATCTTGCCTCCTTTCCTTGCTCCTTCCTCCTCCTCTCCCCTTGACTCCCTGTCTCCTCCCCACCGCGGGCTTCTCCGTCAGTGTGGCTGCCAGTCATTGTGGCTGATGTCCTGTGCCTCGTACAGCCTGGATGTCTTCACTTGTTTAATCCAGCAGCATCAGCGCCATCTAGGAGCTTGTTCTCAGGCCCCATCCTGGACCCTCTGAGTCGCGCTCTGGGGGTGGGGCCGGGGATCTGTGGTTTAGCAAGCTCTCCGGGGATCTCTGAAGGGTGGGACCAGATCCGCAGCTGGACTCATCCACCTGATCCCGACCATCTGTCTGGCTTTTGCAGATCTCAGGTGTACATGCACCCCAGCCTGTCACCGCCCAGCACCATGATCCTCTCTGGGGGCACAGCCTTGAAGCCTCCATACTCGGCGTTCCCAGGCATGCAGCCCTTGGAGATGGTGAAGCCGCAGTCTGGCTCACCCTACCAGCCCATGAGCGGGAACCAAGCCCTGGTCTACGAGGGCCAGCTCAGCCAGGCTGCTGGCCTGGGTGCCTCCCAGATGTTGGACTCCCAGCTCCCACAGGTCAGGAATTCAGTCACTCTACCCAAAGCCCTAGGCTTCTTTCCTTCACGACCTTGCCTTTTCTTTTCACCCGCCTCTCAGTGTGTGCTGGCCTATCGTGCTGTTGGTTGGTAGCCACCGTGCCCATTCCTCAGCGTGCAGGAAATCAGCCTCTTCTGAGTAGCCCCATCACCTTTTTTTTTTTTTGGACAGAGTCTCGCTCTGTTGCCTAGGCTGGAGTGCAGTGGCATGATCTCGGCTCACTACAACCTCTGTCTCCCACATTCAGGCGATGCTCCTGCCTCAGCCTCCTGAGTAGCTGGGACTACAAGTGTGTGCCACTGTGCCTGGCTAATTTTTGTATTAGTAGAGATGGGGTTTCACCATGTTGGCCAGGCTGGTCTCGAACCCCTGACCTCAAAGTGATCTGCCCGCCTTGGCCTCCCAAAGGGCTGGGATGACAGGCGTGAGCCACCACCCCTGGCCCCTCATCCATCTCTTTATTCTTGAGACCTGGCTGTCCCCTAAGCACTGCCTGCTCCTGCAGCCCCCAGACGGGGGCTCCTTCCTTTCTCCCTGCCCTTGTGCAGTAGGGTGTGGAATGGGTTAAGAGTCCTCTTTGTGTAGTTGTTGATGCTTCTAGACTCCTCTTCTTCCTTCCTCCCTGAAACGCCAGCTTTGAAGCCCACACCATAGACTGTGCCTGACAAGCCCTTCACTCTGCTATGGTGCCATCACCACATCCAGTGTCTGCTGAGAAATCTTCCTCTCCGTCAACCTGTGGGCAGTATTTGGCACCTTTGAAGGTCACCCTCCTTGTCTGGTCTGGCTTGCAGTCTGTCTCCACTCTCCTGTTCCAGTTCCTAGTGGTTTTGATGTCTGCAGAGATGACCCCGGGTCTCTGTGCCATGGACCCTGTCCATGCAGTTTGTGCCCTCCTCGCCACTGGTGCCCTTGTTCACATGGGCCCCTGCTCTGTGCACTCCTGTCTAGGCTTGGCTGCTCCCAGTAGCTGTGGCTCTCGCATAATCTCAACTCTCAGTGTCCCTCTCAGTTGTCACCTCTGGCTTTTTCAATTCACTCCCTCTAGTGACCCAACTCCAAAATTCTTTTTTTTTTTTTTTTTTGAGATGGAGTTTCGCTCTGTTGCCCAGGCTGGAGTGCAGTGGCGCAATCTCGGCTCACTGCAACCTCTCTGTCTCCTGGGTTCAAGCAATTATCGTGCCTCAGCCTCCCGAGTAGCTGGGATTACAGGCGCCCACCACCCACCGGCTAATTTTTGTATTTTTAGTAGAGATGGGGGTTTCACCATGTCAGGCTGATCTCGAACTGCTGACCTCAGTGAGCCACCCACCTTGGCCTCCCAAAGTGCTGGGATTACAGGTGTTAGCCACCACACCCAGTCTCTGCCACCCATGTTTTTGTCATCCTCCCCCTTGGCCTGGCTTCTTCCTCCCCATCAGCAGATCTGCCGAGCCACATGGCCTTTGCATTTCATCCAAGCTGTGGCTCCCAGTCAACCCCCACCCTCCTAGCAGCTTTTCAGACTTGCATCTTGCCCCTCGCTGCCTCCCACCCATGACCTCCCTTTCTGTGTCACCCAGGAAACAGGAGCAGTGACAGTCTCCAAGCCCCTGTGGCCACATCCCTGCCTAGGTGCTGCCTGTGCCCCTGGGGGGCCCTGCCCCAGCACATCTCCCTCTCTTTCATGCATCAGATATCCCTTCCCGTCAGTACACAGACGAGCTGCAGTGCTGACCCCGTAATCCCGCCCCCCACACCCCTCGAACCACTTTCTTCACCCAGTTTCCAGGCCGTCGCTCCTGGCTTTCCTGCTGCCTCAGGCCTCCTCCTCAGTCTCCTTTGCTGTCCCCTCTCCTTCCCAGTCTGTAATGGTCAGCATGCCCGTGGGCCCTGCTTTGGGTGTGTTTCAAGAGTCATGGCTCTAAATTCCTTCATCTTCTCCTCACTCCCAAATGGACATCTTTAGCTCAGATCTGTCCCTGGAATTGAATCTCAAATCCAATGGACTTTCCAGCATGTCTGCTATGGTGTCTTATGGCATCTCAAGACTCATCATATTCAAAACTCGATTTTCCTCCCGGTCCTTCTGCTTGTCCAGTCCACATCCTCCTTGGCTCCCTGCTCCCCCTCACCTCACCCCCTTACCCTTCAGCAGGCCTGTCAGCTCTGGCTTTAAAAGGATTCAGAATCCAGCTGTGTCTCATCCCCTCCACACCCCTGCATGCTGTCCAGCTCCTGTAGGGACTCCTACCTGGCCTCCCTGCAAGTCAGATCATACCCCAAGTCAGCACTCTATAAATGGCAGCATCTTCCCATCATTTTCATCCTGCACCATTTTGGTGCTCCAAGGAGGAGCATGGTGTTTTGCGGCTCTGGCCACCACAAGTCTCAGTGATGTAATTCCAATAGATCCTTCTGACCCTCCACTGTGGACTCAATAGCAGGGAGATGAAGAGGACAGTGACTGAGAGACCAAAAGTGGCCCAGCCCCCCTACCCCATCCTGTTCCCCTGTCCTTACAGTCTCTGGGCCCACATCCCCACCTCGCATATCTTGTTCTAGTTAGTTAGGCCCTGCAGCTACCCTGTTCTCCTGTCAGCATGCTTCAAAGGACCCCCACAGTCTGGAATCCAGCCCAGTCTTGTTTTTACCACCACTTGATGCAAAACAGTAAGAGTCTTGAACGTGTGTGCTGTACAAAGGAATGCAGAGATATACGTCCGATGCAGCTTTCATCTTTTGGGACTTGGCTTCGCCATTACTTCTGACTTTCCTCACTCGTCCTCTCCTTGCCCACCCCGCCCCGTGTGCACCCATAAATCTGGTGTGCACCCACAGATCCTATGCCGCTCTGCATCCCGAGTGTCCTGCAGCTGTGTCCAGTGTGTGACACACTATCCTGGCAGTGTGCAGGCCCATGTTGGACAGGGCCCTGCCGCTTCCTTGGCACCTTGTATGCTTTCAGTAAGCACTTGCTGGACAAAGGCAGAAAGGGCTGAAGATAGACGCAGCCCTTAGCAGAGATGTGGATGAGACACACTTAACGCTGTTAGTTCCCATGCCTGCAGCCAGCTTAGTCTTGCCCGTTTTCTCACCACCTACTCTATTCCAGCAAGAAGACGTGCCTCTGCCATCGAAGGTGTGAAATCCTGGGCGATCTCTCCTGTGCTGCAGTAGAAATTAGAGCATGTCCTGCTTTATGCAGGCTTTGCTTTAGTTCTTCTGAAGTGTATGAATCTGAAGTGCATGTGCGGTCGCTCTTTGGTGCGTTTGGGGTTTCTCCATAGCATCATTCCCCCTCCTGACTGTCATTGTCGCCCAGCAGCTGACCATGCCACTGCCTCGGTACGGCTCCGGGCAGCAGCCACTGATCCTGCCCCAGTCTATTCAGCTGCCACCTGGGCAGAGCCTCTCCGTTGGGGCCCCCCGAAGGATTCCTCCGCCCGGGTCCCAGCCGCCAGTCCTGAACACCAGCAGAGAGGTAAGGGGACCCCATCTGCCTCTGACCCTAGGGAGGGGGCCTTGTGTCACCAACTTTTTCTAGCAAGCTAAGTACCCCTGTGTGGTAGAAAGAGCCAGTGGCGTGGGACTGCCAGGGCAGAAAGGAAGGTGACCATGTGTGGGGCCATCACAGAGGCAGGTCCTGGGGACTCTGAACATGTCGAGGGCTGAGGGCCAGGAATCAGCATTCCTCCCCAGCTCCCCAGGAGGCCCTGCTATGGACGGCCATGTTTCATTGGCTCTCCCACTTCACTTTAAAAAGAACAAAATATTGTGATGGTTCTTGCTTCTAAGAAGAAGCCCTCTTGAGTCTGGCTTAGAGGGAAAGGGCTTGCAGATTTCTCTAGAACAGGGGTCCCCAGTCCCCGGGCTGCAGAGCTGTACTGGTCTGTGGGAAAATTGTCTTCCATGAAACTGGGCCCTGGTGCCAAAAACCACTGCTCTATAAGATGCCTCCCTGGGAATTCCCATGGCCCTCACCACCTCTGCCCTGGGTTGTTCAGTAAGTGTGTGGTCCAGCTGTCTCCAGGGCCTCAAATGACAGCTTGTTCCTGCTTGGTCTCTCTAGCCCTCTCAGATGGAGATGAAAGGCTTCCACTTTGCCGACAGTAAACAGAATGTCCCTTCAGGAGGCCCCGTGCCATCGCCACAGACCTACAGGTAAAGCCACTCCCTGGGGACTGCGTGCTGTGTAGCTGAGCAGTTGCCAGAGCTGCGGCCCAGTGACTCAGAAGAATCTGGGCCCAGGGAGAGCCGCCAGAGACCTGGTCCCTCTATGGGCCATGTGTCACTGTGGTGTTTCAGCACTGGGATGCACTTGTGTTCCAGTTAAATTTGGGGGAGTGAGGAGTCAGGAGAGTGGTTTTGGTTTTAATCATTATAATAAGATGCTCTGGATTGGGGAGCTTTCTGGAAAGGTAGGAAAAGGAACGGCTGACATTTAGTAGGCATCAGGACTGACGTGACTTCCCATTAGATCCTAAAAACAGGACCCACTGGCCACAGGGCTGCATCCTGGCAAGGGGAGGAGCGTGGCCTTTCCCAGCGTCTCTTTCCTCAGACTTGCCCTATGACCCCTGCCAGGGGACTTTTTATTGCTGGGCTTATGGGGCCATTCCTTCCATGCTACAAACCAGCACCCTCTTTTTGCTTCCTTTGTGTCTGTCTCCACCTCCAGCAACTGTCTCAGGTCCCCTTAGCTGGATACTCAGGTGGCTCTGTCGGATGTTGGCGAGAGCCTCTGGTCCACTGCCTTTTCTGCCCGTGCTGGTGTGTGAAGGCAGCACGCTCTGGCCCTGGGCTCCGAGGGCTTGTACAGTCCACCCTTGTTACATGTGGGAGATTCCTGAGACCCCTCTGTGTTTACAAATGAGTGAAACAGACCTGCCTGACCCATGGTGCCCTGTGAGGTTAACACCATCGCTGCAGACGCCATGAGGTATCCCCACGACTACACAGGTACTTGTGGGCCTGAGGAGCGCTCTGCAAGCCGGGCCCCCATGGTCTGCAAGTTGCTCCAGCTGCACCCCCTCTGCCTTGCTGCCCTCCCTCTGCCCCACCGCCCTTTGCCTGTCCTCCATCACAGCATTCCACTCTTGTACCTTCATTTCCAGAGAAAGGGGTTTTTGTAGATTTTCCTCCCATTCCATCTTTTCTGTTCTTATTTTCACTCTCCTGGCTTCATTTATTTCTGTTTTTAGTACGTTTCGTTTTCCTACCATGTCTGTCACATAGACCAAAACATCAGGACTGTGTGAAAAAGATAGCTGGACAGCACCGACCATGGAGCGGAACTGGAAGGAGGAAGGCGGCTGCAGGTCTCAGCAGACGCTGTCCCGCTGCTGCCACAGGCAGATTCCAGCAGCCTCTGGCTACAGAGCCTTCCTCAAAAAGCAAAACCCAGAGACAGAGCCTCACGGGACAAGAGTCGCCTGTGTCTATGTAGTTGTAGGAATGAATGGCAGCAGATTATTCTTTGGAGCATATTTAGAAAGTGGAAGCCTTAAACTAGTAGCTTTGTTTCTATGGTGTTTTAGGGGGGTTGGGGAAATTGCTATAATTGTATAAAGCAGTGTTTGCCAAAGTGTTCTGGAAATAGAGCTGCTGAGATGTGCGCTGCAAAAACAAGGGTTCCCTGGTCAGGTCCTTGGGGGAGTGCTGTCCCCAGGGTGGCCTGCTGGGGAGGGTACTCACCACACAGGCTGAGCGGGCCTAGGTTGAGAGTCCTGTTGAACTCTGCACACGGCACTTAGGCTTTTTGACCGCAGACTTTTTTTTTTTCCACGTAGCACCTAATTAACATCCCTGGGAACTAACTAGTGGTCAGTGGAACACATTTAGAAGCATGTTGTACATTTTGGTTCCCCCATCCCCTTTTCTGAAAAGTGAAGACTAGAACAATACTCGGCACAGTTCTGGCTCAGCGTCAGGCTTCTAGGCCTTTTGTCTGGGGCACTGCATCGTGTTGGTCCAGACCCTGAGACGGCCAGTGTCGCTTTCTGCACAGCAGGACAGCCATGCCCATCTGTACAGGGCCTCAGCCTCCCTCTCTTGCGGTGCGTCTCCTTGAGCTCTGTCCTGGAGGTGCCAGGGTGGTCAGTGACAGCCACCCCCTCACCCTTCTGCGTTCTGGGCTGTCTTAGGTCTGTGGTTGTTTTCCATCCAAGAGATCCACGGACCGTCCCGAGTGAGCGCCTCTGGCCGCAGGCCCTTCCTTCCTTGTGCCTCCTCCATGTGCTAGGCTTTGACTCCATTTCTGTGGTGACACGTTGTGTATTCTCAACCCCTGCCTTTGGTTTTTTCAGGCCTAGCTCTGCTAGCCCCAGTGGGAAGCCCTCTGGATCAGCAGTTAACATGGGCTCTGTGCAGGGACACTACGTGCAACAGGTAGAAGATGGCTTTCCAGACCCTTCAGCCCTGGACACTTAGGCCCGTCTCCAAGCGCCAAAAGAGAAGGGACTGTCCAACCTATCTGAGCGCCCCCTGTCTAAAGACAGCCATGCCCTAGCGGTTAGAGCACAGAACCGGGAGCTGGGCCGCCCGCGTCCCTCCTGGCGAAGGCATTTCTCCTCTTGACGGGCGTCTGGATCCTTCCTTGTCCTGCAGAGAAGGGAGGATGCTGATTCCTCTGAGGAGGTGGTGCTGGAAGGTGGACCAGCCCTGGCAGGTCGGGGCTGAGGCGCCCTGGGAGACTCGGTTAGGTTTGGGGGTCGGCTTTAGGAGCCGGGGTGCGCGCGCTGGTTCTAGTCAGTGGTGTGTCTCATCTTTGTCTTGGCTGGGTGGGAGCACAGGTGAAATTAAGTTTTCCCATTTTATAATGAAAAGGACATCGCAGTGTCTTTTCCTGCACGCACTATTCTCTTCTCTATTCTCTAAAACGTGCTGGGGCTCAGAGCTTAAGCCCCTCAGACGTGGGTTTTTAATCAGTCACTGTGCCTGGCTGGTAGAGATGGGAAGTGATTGCTCTCATTGGTTCCCCTAGGGGTCATGAAAGTTGTGTGGAATGAGCTTCTAAAGCTTTCTTCCAGAGTTCAGACCTGGTGGGGGGCAGATGCGCTGGCTGCTCTGTGACTTCCCCACCCCACTCCCCGTGTAGAGCCACAGACCAGGGGAGCCCTGACTAGGAATGGGGCCCCAGGGAAAGGTTACAGAGTGGGAATGGTGGGGGGGTTGGCTGAATCGCGGCCAGAGATCTGTGGGGGCCAAGTCTGCCTAGGGCCCCAGCAGACAGTCGGGGGCTCCGAGACGTGCAGGGGGCACTTGGATCTACTTGAAGGGGCCTTTTTTGCCTGTGGGGCAGGAGGTGCACTGATTTGAAAAGGTTCTTCCAGTTGGCCTTGGGACCAGAACTGCTTCCGCCCTGGGATGTGCCATCGCGGAATTCTTTGTGGAGGACCCGGTGTCTTCCTGCCTCTCCGAATCACTGCACTCAGGGCTTATGGGGAGGGAGCAGAGACGGCACTCGCGCCACTTTCCTTACTAGGAGGGGGGTTTCTAAGTCTGGTCCTTCAACCAAGGGACTGACAACTTAGGGGAGCTTTCCCTGCAACTCAGGAGCAGGAAGGGAGTGGTGGGAACTATGTATCCAAACACGTTTCAGCGTCAGGGTCACTTTGTTTTTCCCATTCATCTGTCCAAAGGCAAAACAACGAGTGGATGAGAAACCCAGCCTGGGAGCCGTGAAGCTGCAGGAGGCCCCCTCGGCTGCCTCCCAGATGAAGCGAACCGGAGCGATCAAGCCTCGGGCTGTCAAAGTGGAGGAGAGTAAGGCCTGACAGTGCCTGGCTGCCACCTCGCCTCTCCCTACTGAGGACGGTGCCGCCATGCGGCCTCGACACAGCCGACACTCGGGAGCCTCACCAGATCCACCGTCCAAATGCGTGGCCCAGACTGAGAGACCTCCCTCCTCTCCACTCCCGAAAGCTCCGTTGTCAACCAGCTTGCACCCGTGGATATATGGCATTGACCCGCTTGCTTTGATACGAAACAAAAAAGCAGACGACTCCTTCATCCCATCTGCTCCTACCGTGACTGTGGAGTGACGCCTCCTGTGCAGTGCAGATTTGCCCTCCCTGCCTCCTCCCTGTCCTGCCGCGCAGCCAGGGCGCCTTCTCAGCAGTGCTTCCGGCCCAGCCGCCCATCCCTAGGCACAGTGATTTGGCAGCAGGGTCATTTTACTTTGAGGCTTTTTGTTTTAAAATGTAGCCAAGGTTTTTACAAAGGGGAAAGGAAAAGAAAACAAAAACGCAAGCTCCATGTGTATAGCTGAACTTTTATATGTTTCTTGCCAGCCCCTCCGCTCCCTTCCATCTCTAGCCTCTGTCCTGTTTAGTTTGATACGTCACTGCAGTACCTTAAGAGGTGACTCTTAAGAATGCATCCCCTCCTGATTCCTCAGCTGGTTCACCCTTGAGGTTATTTGCAAAAAGAAAAGGAGGTTCTTGAGGGCACCGATTGCGAGCATTCTGGTGCCTGGCTCCCCGCCTGGGAAGCGATGGGGTGCTCAGAGCAGCAGGCAGGTTGGGGGAGGGGGGGGGTCATAGTTGGGTTCCAGCTCCTGGCTTGATGAGCCCAGGGCGCTTACAGGCAGCCCATGAAGTTGATGACAGTTTTAGCATGAGAATCACACAGGGTCCCTGTCCTGGGCTCCTCTAAAGCCAGTGGATGTGCTGGGCACCAGAGACAAATCATGGAGATGGCTGCTGGTGGCTCCCAGGTTGGCCCAGATGGGGTGAGCTGACATACCACAGGCCCATCCCAGGCCCCGTGGGCTCTGCTTCTGGGGCTCCATACCCTGCCCTGCAGGGGTGCTGTGTTTTTCACACATTTCTTTCCCTGAAGCCTTCTGTAACCTGTCATTTTCCTTCCTTCCTCTTCCGGAGCCTGCTGCTTTCTCTGGACCTGTCTCCACCTCCCACACAGCTCATCGTGAACACCACTTGGTGATGGAGGGAGTGGACCCGTGTGTGGTCCCCAAGTGAGGCCACTGGGAGTTTGTCCTTTTCCTCCTTTGCTTCACTCCCAGCAGCAGACCCAGGTTGTCAGGACAGGAGGGCCTGAGCTAAGCAGTAGGCATCAGTCTCGTTTGTCTTCAGACGGCGGGGGCAGGTCCAGGGTGAGGCTGGGTGGAGGGCTGACCAAGGTCCAAAGGGCCTGCGCAGCCTCCGGGAGGGCAGCTTCTCCAGCCAGAGGCTTGTGTGAGCCATCGTGTGCTGGGCTTGTTTTTAAGTAAGAAACAAGGAAATCACTCCAGATTCTGTCATTCCAAGGAAAGGGAAGGGGACAGTTCAGGTTTCTCAGCTGTTCTTAGGGGTCACTGAGCGTCTACCTCCTCCTCCAGAGGAGGCTGGCTCAGAACACCTAGAGGAGGGGGCCGGGGATGCACCCCCCACCAGAGGCTGCCTTCAGCGTCTCACGGGTGCAGGACAGCGCTCAGGCTTGGGCTCTAAGCTCTGTGTCTAGTGTAGAACATGGGGAAGGAGCATCTTAGGAACTGCTGAAGTAACTTCTTACTGCTCTCACAATTCTAAGGAAGCGGGAGAACGGCCTCCTACCAACAGCGCCCACCCCAGAGCTGCCTGGGAAAGGGCAGTTTTACTGAAAGGTGCTTTACTGTTCACCTGCATCTTTCAGCAGCTCCCCTCCTGCCCTCACCTGGTCTTTTCCCTCTTTATCCCAAGCCTTTATGCTTGAGTCCCTTCCCCAGGGGCTGCCCACCCGACAGTTCCAGGCATTCCCTACCTGAGCTTCTTGTCTGCTTTTCCTTCTCCCACTGCAAGCGGCTGCTTGTGGGGCCTGGGATGAGCCCTCTCTGTCCCCACCGGCCCTCCTTGCCAAGCCATTCCTGGGTGAGTTCAGGCCTGCGGGAGCCACACATTCATCTCCACCTGGACACTTGAGCCGCATGGCCAGACCCCTCCCACCTGATGCGGTGGTGCGTGTGATTTGTCAAAAGAAAGCCTTCTGGATGCTGTTAAGATGTACCCTTCAGGTGAACCTGGTATCAGACCCACAGTACTTGCTGTTTGAGAAAAAATAAAAACAAAAAGGTCACCTGTTCTCCAGCCCTTTTCTCTTACCTGGTATTTCCTTCCTTTCTCCTCCCCCACCCCAAATAAAAAAACAAAAAACACTAGAATTTATTTATATGTATTGATGTTGTAGGTCTAGGTGAAAAAAAAAGAAGTAAATGTTTCACTGCTCTATTTATATATAATGTCTGAATTAATTCTGTGCAGGAAAGGCCAGGAAATTGCATGTGAAGTTCGGTGCAGTCACCACCTGTGTGTGACCTGAGCTGCAGTCTCTTCGCTGAGATGCAGGTTTTAAATGAGACTTGGGGGGCTGAGGGCAGGCCTCAGGCCTCCCAGCGCCCCAACCCCTCCTTGGTCTAATGAAATGCAGTTCTTAGTGCAGAGATGTTTTAAGGTGCAATATATCTCTTCCTTTCCCGTGGTTTTAGAGCCAAGCTCAAGGTAGTAGGACGTAGGGTCTTATTTTGTTTTCAAACCCCCATCCTCAGAGCGCAGATACATGCAGAGGCTTCTGCCAGGATACCACGGGGCCTTAGTGGGAACAGGTGGAGACCAGCACTTCCCTTTCCTGCTGCTGAGGTAGGGATTGGGGGGTCAGAACCCACTCACTTTTGCCTGTTAAAGTTGCCCTCCTGACGCTGGCAGCTCTGCCTTGGTCACTGGGGATGCGGCTCGTTGCTCAGCCACCAGTGGCCTTGCGGTATTGTCCACCATCCACTAGAGTGGGATGAAGTCCAGAGTGTGGGTATACATCTCAGATGCCCATCTACCCACTGGGGACTTCAATGCCAGCTGCATTTGGTTTGGTTTTCTTAACTGTTGGCTTCTCCCCACAGCGTTTTTTGTTTTTTTTTAAACATTCATATTGTTTTCAAACTTGGAATTCATAGACACTCTGGCTCTAGGTTCCTTAAGGGGGAAAACAAAAGATGACTTTATTTCACATTCAAGAAAATCAGTTCAGTTCCAAAGCTGTGGTCCTTCCAGCCACTTCTAGGGACACTGGGGAACCTTGTTAAACGTTGACATCAGTGCTCTCCAGCCGTGCTGTCACCCTCCTATCTTCTGGATCTGCCTTCGCGATGGTCAGTGACAGCTTCTGGAAGCTGAGCACACACAGGTGCACAGCCATGCTGTGGTCTGGCCTGCTACGGCAGCATGGCAGCTCTGGTGGAGCCTTCTCCCTTGCCATTTGGTTCCCCTGTGCCAAGTAGCTGCAGGCTGCCCCTCAAATCTTCATTTGTCCCTTTTCACTTCCTGCAGAACAAGCCTGGGTTAGAGGGTCTGCTGGAAATGGCCTTTGAAGACCAAGGATACCAGGATGTGTGCACTCTGTCGTGTTCTGTGATGAATGGGAAACGTAGGCTTCCAGAAAGCCAGCTCTCTTCTGAAATGTGACGGACCTAAGCAGGAAGTCATCCAGGACAGGAGTGGCTCAGTGTTGGGGATGGACGCTGTCGCCCAGCCATGCTCCACCAGGGCCACCAATGTGTAGTTGGCTGGTGGTCTTCGGGCATGTGAGACCTGCTCTTCACTGTTTCCACCCCACTTGGTGGCCTCCAGGATGGTAGTGGCACCCTCAGAGCCCCATCTTCAGCATGTTCTGAAGCCTCAGAGTGGAAATTCCTGCTAAGGCTCTGTGTGGACGCCTTTCTCCCGTGATCTAAAGGGGACACTGTACTCAAGCTTTTGACCTCATGCCTTGTGTAGTAAAAAAGGATTTGGGGGTTTTGTTTGGTTCCTGAGAGGGTTGTGTTTTGTTTTTGTTTCCTTTTGTTTATGTTTTGGCCTTTCCTCTTTGTCTTTCCATGTAGACCAGATATTTGAAAGGGCAGACGATGGCTAGAGGTGTAATGTGCAGCTTGTTTATACGGTATTTTGGGAAACTTACCTTGGATGGGAAATCGAATCGTGGATTCACCAGGCCGGTGCTGGCACACTCACCCTCGCCCTTTCCCTCCGGTTCAGTACCTATTGTTTCTCCTTTCAAATATGTGATTGTACTAGCTCTTTCCATATGAAAGAATTCTCCTTATTTAAATAAAAAAAGTTTAAAAAGATAAAGCTGAACGTGCTTTCTCAGGTTGTACATCCCTCGTTTCTTGGTCATTTGACCAGAGAGACCTACAGATCAAAGAATTCTAATTTTACAGAGTTCACACGGAAATTAGGAGTGGCACGGCTGAAATGCCTTAACAGAAGCTGTGTGGGTAGAGAAGGGATTGAAACCCGTGGCTAAGAAGCATCTTCCAAATGCGGCAGCATCAAGCACTCCACCCTCTTCCCACGGATGGCATCTGGTTGTGCACAGTGCCTGCCTGTGGCCCCGTCACTTGCCGTGAGAAACGAGCTGGTCAGAGGAGGTAAGCATTTGATGTGGCGTGTTGTGTTGTCACTTCTAGCGGTGCTTTTGCAGGAAGTGGAGGAGGATTATGCTGTGCTTTGGGGTGGGGAGGGAGCAAGCCAGGCCTGGGGTAGCGAAGGGTAAAAGGTAAGAATGGGCTGAGGCAGCAGTTCTCGGTTTTGCCATTGCCTCACTGACCTGGGGAAAGACGTTTCACCACCTGAGTCAGTCTCCTTAATCATAAAACACAGATTGTAATGGTATCGACCTCATGGCGTAGTGTGGATTCAAAGTCACCAGTAGCTTTTAGCTTAGTGCCTAGAACCAGCTAAGAAAACTTATAAATTACCCCCAAGAAATAAAACGCTGTTTCCATGAGGAACCCCAGTCCCTCAACTTCCTTCTAAGCCTTTTGACTATGGAAGAGAGTTGGGGACCTGGCCATGGGCATCTCAGCTTTAACTAGCCACACTCACTGCCCTGATTTACTGCTCCCTAGGGACAGGTGGCTCACAAAATCTCAAACGGAGACCAGCCCTGAAAGAGGCTAGTCCTAAGGTTGGGGGCTTGCAAGATGGAGGCTGTAAGTCCTGAGGCACCACCACTGTTAGCATGGCATGAACCAAAGCTTAACAGCCCAGCCCCACTCCCTCCTGGGGCCCAGGGAACCCTCCCTGCCCACTGTAAATACAGTTGCCTGCAGGCTCTGGCCACAAACCCAGGTGAGCCCCAGCTCCTTGCCTCTCTGTGGGATCTTGGGTGAGTCACATAACCCCTCAAGGGTAAGCCATAAAGAAGTAACCACGAAATTCTAACTGGTGTCATCTAATGCTATGTTGCCCAACATGGAAAAAAAGTCTTGCAGGCAGCCAAGAACCATAATGAAGGTTATTAAACCTGCAGTGTGCCCTTTTGGTCTGTATAGATTAACATACAAATAGACCAGGAGATCAAGAAGGAGCGAGGCTGAGAAGAGTGATCCATCAGCCTGGTTGCGTTGCTGTCAGTTACCCTGCTCTGGGTGCCGACTGTTCAGGGAAAACATGGGAAGGGGTGCATTGACCCAACCAAAAGTACCATGTCTGCTCCAAAGCAGGCCTTTGGGAAGGCTCTTGACCCTCAGCAGAGGGGGCTGGAGAGGCTGATGGATGAGGAGGAGCCCTGGGAATGGAGGAAGAAGCCTCCAGTCTTCTGCCACGGAGTTTAGGGGAGATGCCCCCACTGGAGCCTCTGATGGTCATGCAGCCCCCACTGATGTCCAGGTTTTTTTGGTTTTGTTTTTTGTTTTGAGACGGTCTCACTTTGTAGTCCAGGCTGGAGTGCAGTGGTGAGACCAAGGCTCACTGCAGCCTCGACCTCTCTGCCCCAAGTGATCTCCTGCCTCAGCCTCCCTTGTAGCTGGGACTGCAGGCAGACGCCAAGGGGCCCCGCTAATTTTTGTATTTTTTTGTAGAGACGGGGTCTCGCTGTGTTGCCCAGGCTCTCCTGGACTCAAGCGGGCTCACGGATCCTCCCACCTCGGCCACCCAAAGTGCTGGGGTTACAGGCGTGAGCCACCGCCCCCGGCCCTAGGTCCGTTTTAAATGCCCTTACCCTCAGCCACTTCACCGCTAGATGTATGTGCAAGCAGGATCGTGGCATCGATGTTTTTCGGCAAGGAAACTAGGAGCGCCCGCGGGCGTGGGGGCACGTGCCTGTGGTCTCAGCTGCTCTGGAGGCCGAGGAGGGAGGATCGCTTCGGGCAGAGAGGTCGAGGCTGCAGCAAGCCGTGGTCCTGCCACTGTACTCCAGCCTGGGCGACAGAGCGAGACCCCGTGTCTTAAAAAAAAAATTAAGGTCGGACGCAGTGGCTCACGCCTGTAATCCCAGCACTTTGGGAGGCCGAGGTGGGCGGATCACTTCAGGTCAGGAGTTCGAGACCAGCCTGGCCAACATGGTGAAACCCTGTCTCTACTACAAATACAAAAATTAACCGGGCGTGGTGGCGTGCGCCTTCAATCTCAGCTACTCGGGAGGCTGAGGCAGGAGAATCGCTTGAACCCGGGAAGCGGAGGTTGCGGTGAGCCGAGATCGCGCCATTGCACTCCAGCCTGGGCAACAAGAGCGAAACTCCGTCTCAAAAAAAAAGAAAAGAAAAGAAAAGAAAAAAACTAGGAGCAAACTGGCGCGCCCGGCAGAACGCCGTTGTGCAGACGCAGAATTAAGATCTTCACGCCAGATGGAGTGAAAAAGCAAGGAGCAGAAGATGGGTGGGAGCCCACTGCGCTTTTTAAAATCTGCACGTCTGCTTAGAGTACACAGAAATCCTGGCACACAAAACAGTAGCACCCGAGAGAGGGGAGGTCGCCGCGTTTCACACCTGCCTCTCCTCCGGGACCGGCGCCCTCGCCCGCTGCGCACGCGCGTCACCCTCTCCCAGTGCGCACGCGCGCTGCTGCCCGTCTGGCCCCGCAGGCTCGGTGAATCGAACGTTGAGCAGGGCGGTGGGTGGTGCGGAGTGCCGAGCGGCCTCACCCCCAACCGTCGGCCCAGTCGGACGGTTCCGAGGCGTTGCCGGGAGCCGGGCGCGGCTCTGTGTGGACTCGGAGAAACGCGGGTACATTTGGGGACACCGGGGACGAGAGCCCAGCCCGGACTTGGGGGAGTCCGTCAGTGCCGGACGCGGGTCCCTGGCTTGCGGACGGGCTGGGGCCGGGGGCGTCCCCGTCTTTCCGGAGCTGGGGGCGGGGTTCGGGCCCGGGCAGATGCGGCGTTCGGGCGGCCGAGCCCCGAAGTAAGAACTCCGTGGCGCGTGCAGCCCTAGGGAGGAAGGGCGTGCTGCGGGTGCAGTCTCAGGGTGAGGACGGAGCTGGGGCCGACGCAGCCTCGGGAGTTGGTGGACGGGACAGGTGCGGCCTGTGGGGAAGAAGGGCCGGCCAGGGAGATGCGGTCTGCAAGGGGAGAGGAGGCACTCCCAGGACAGATGGGACCTTTTGGGACGAAGGCGCTCAAGGCAGATGCAGCTCAGGGAGGGAAGGGCGCGTCCAGGGTAGATGGGGCCTGAGGAGACCAGCGGGGCGCCAACGGCCAGATGCGGCTTTGGTGTGAGACAGGGTGTCCCAGGCCTGATGCAGCCTCAAGAGAAGCGGAGCTCAAGGGAAGATGAAGCCTGGAGGAGAACGTGGGGGCGCAGGGTGCAAATGCACCCTCCAGGCGAGAAAGGGAGCACCCGGGGATGATGTGCCGCTGGGATAGAAGGCAGGGAGGCACTGGGGGCAGATGCATCCTTGAGGAGAGATGAGGAGGCCCCGAGGCTCGGCCAGGTTGGGGTCCCTGGGCTGTAAGCAGCTGAGATGGCACCCAGGAGCTGCCCAGGGTCAGGTAGCTGTGGCCGCACTGTGGGCTTCTGGTCGTCGGGGAGGGAGGGGAGAAACCCTGGCGTTCCTTAGCAGTGTTCTCGCGCCCAAGACGTGCTCGGCAGGTTTTGTGGAATGAGTTGTTGAAAGGAGTGAATGTCCAGTCCTGAGATCCCCTGAATTCCCACCCGAGTTCACTGCTAGTGCCCCTCACCCCACATGTCTACCTGAACCAAGGCTCCAGGAACTTCGGTCTTTCTCAGCAGCCCGGCTGTGCTGTGGTTCTCCTCGTGTGTCCGGGAGCCGGGTGGCTGGGGATCCCTTCTGTAGCCTCTCGTGAGCCCTCATGGACCACGGCTCCTCCCTTCTTTTCTAGGGCGTCTGCCTGAGCCCGCTTTTCTACAAGATGTGGGGATTTTTGAAGCGCCCTGTAGTGGTGACGGCTGACATCAACTTGAGCCTTGTGGCCCTGACTGGGATGGGGTTACTGAGCCGGCTGTGGCGACTCACCTACCCGCGGGCTGTGGTGTAAGCTAAATGACTCCATTCCCAGGGTGAATCTAGAATTGTACTTTGTGACAGGAGGCGCCCTTACTGAATAGCATAAATGGGAGAGTGAAATCCTGGCTTCTTGGTGATAGGTGTTTTTGGCAGTGAGAGGAGAGACCAGTCTGTCCCCAGGACAGCCCCAGCAGAGTACACCTTTTAGGTCTTGCCTTCTGAGTCTGTAACAGGTGAAATTTGGCCCATTAAAGGGGTGCAGTAGAGGAAAATCTGGTTGCCAGCCTTAAGTAACAGTTTTAAAGTCTGGACGGCAGAGGATTAATGGATTTGGAAGTAAGTCTTCACTGTTGAGAGCACTTTTTAGAATGTGTTTTTGTCATAATGGGAAGTGATTGCTGTTATTATTGAAGGGCTCTTTATTAACTGATTAATGTGTGTATGTGTGTGTGTGTGTGTGTGTGTGTGTGTGTGTGTGTTTTTGAGACGGAGTCTTGCTGTGTCGCCCAGGTTGGAGTGCAGTGGTGCCATCTCGGCTCACTGCAACCTCTGCCTCCTGGGTTCAAGCAATTCTCTGCCTCAGCCTCCCGAGTAGCTGAGATTACAGGTGCCCGCCACCACACCCAGCTAATTTTTGTATTTTTAGTAGAGACGGGATTTCACCATCTTGGCCAGGCTGGTATTGAACTCCTGACCTCATGATCCACCCACCTGGGTCTCCCAAAGTGTTAGGATTACAGGCGTGAGCCACTCCGCCCTGCTGCATGTTCTTTTTTGTTTAACTTTTTATTATGGAAAACGTCAAACATATACAAAAGCAGGGAGACAAGTATAATGAATGACCCCCCCACACACACCAGTATTTTCATTACCCAGCTTCACCTTATCAGTTCACAGCCAGGCCCCTCCCTGCAGTGGTTTTTACTTTGCAGCAAATCCTAGTATTCATAGATAATTCAGCGGTATATCTGTAAAAGATGAGGATTTTTTTTTTTTTTTTGGAGACATAGTTTTACTCTGTCGCCCAGGCTGTAGTGCAATGGTGCGATCGTGATTCTCCTACTTCAGCCTCCCGAGTACCTGGGATTACAGGCACCTGCCACCACGCCTGGCTCATTTTTGTATTTTTAGTAGAGAAGGGGTTTCACCATGTTGGCCAAGCTGATCTTGAACTCCTGACCTTGTGATCCACCTACCTTGGCCTCCCAAAGTGCTGGGATTACAGGCGTGAGCCACCGTGCCTGGCTGAGGATTCTTAAAAACAAAAATCACATAACCACAGTTGCATTATCATGCCTGAGAAATTGACAGCAGTTTCTTGGTTATCTTCACCTCTCCCTGATTGAAAACATGTTATTGCAGTTGATTCCCACGTTTTCCTTTCATACTTGCAGCCGTTTCATTGGGTCATCGCTAGCCACAGACATGTGCTGCTGGTGGGGGCGGGGGTGGGGGGGTTGGGTAGGTGGGTAAGCAGGATTAGCCTTGCGTCCCAGGAGGTCTTTCAGCAGGTTGGCTCATAGTATCCACCTAAATCAAACACAAGGGAGAGACAGAATCTGTATGGGCAGGCATGCTGAGTGCCAGCTGTGCTTGGTGAATTCCCCATGTCTCTGTGGGTGGGTGATGCTGTATGCATCTTAATATTTGGGGATGGGAAACAATTGGGGCAAAAGATCCAGCCTTTGCTGATCACTCACTCAAAGTCATTTGGAAACACATACACATTTATCCTCACAGTTTTTGTTTACAGTTAAGATTCTAATTGAATATAATATGGGTTGTTGTTTTTTTTTCTAGTTTTGACGAAGTATATTATGGGCAGTACATCTCTTTTTACATGAAACAAATCTTCTTCTTGGATGACAGTGGGCCGCCATTTGGCCACATGGTGCTGGCCTTGGGAGGTAGGAGTCATCAGGAGAGTAGCCCCTACCCTTCAGGACCTCAAATACATTTAAAACTTATCAGTGCATTTCTTACAGGCAGAAACCAGGTCTTATTATTGATGCATCTTGTTTATTGCTTGCCACAGTACTCTAGAAATATTTGCTGAATGGGATAGTTACTGATTAATCTTCTGTTTCAGGTTATTTAGGAGGATTCGATGGCAATTTTTTGTGGAACAGAATTGGAGCAGGTAAAAGATAATTTTCATTTCCCTTTTAATGTGCGCAGGTTAGAATGAAGAGATTGTGACTTTTGTAAGGATTAACAACTGTGGCTTTTTTTTTCCTTTCATACCTAGTCCCACAGAAACTGTGCCTTATTAATCTGAGTCCAGAAAATAATAAATTGGTTGGATACAAATGAAAGACTTCTGGAAAGTCTGGTTAAAATCTTACTGTTCAGTTGCAGTCATTATTTCAGCCCTTGTCGTTGGTACACGTATCACAGAGCGTCTGATTGTGATGATCGGTTGTACATGTGAATTTTGTCCATTGCCACAATGTTTTTGAAAATAGGGAGGGTAGGCCGGGCGCGCTGGCTCACGCCTGTAATCCTGGCACTTTGGGAGGCTGAGACGGGTGGATCATGAGGTCAGGAGATCGAGACCATTATGGCTAACATGGTGAAACCCCGTCTCTACTAAAAATACAAAAATTAGCCGGGCGTGGTGGCGGGCGCCTGTAGTCCCAGCAACTCGGGAGGCTGAGGCAGGAGAAGGGCGTGAACCCGGGAGGCGGAGCTTGCAGTGAGATGAGATGGCGCCACTGCACTCCGGCCTGGGGGACAGAGCAAGACTCCGTCTCAGAGAAAAAAAAAAAAAGAAAAAAGAAAACAGGGAGGGTAAATATGTATAAGTAAGGCGGTAAATTTTAGAATCCTTAGTCCTGTCTATGCTTCATGAGATCGGGTTCCATGACTATGCAAAGCTAATTTCAAAGCCTTCACCCATAGTTTATGCACTCTGCTGCTGATGGGGTCCCCAGTTTTGTAAACGTGCATTTTAGAGTCTGTGAACATGACGGCGCTATGTGAAAGCATAGCTGCAGTACACAGAGATGGTGTGTGCACAGTGTAGTCAGCTCTGCAGTGTGGTTGCTTTTCCAGAATACAGTAGCAACGTGCCTGTGTGGTCCCTGCGCCTGCTGCCAGCACTCGCGGGGGCCTTGTCGGTCCCCATGGCCTACCAGATAGTGTTGGAGCTCCACTTTTCTCATTGTGCCGCCATGGGAGCTGCTCTGTTGATGCTTATCGGTAAGACCTGCGCCCCTGCCTGCTCTTGCTGTCATGCAGGGAAGAACTGACCCTTTGGCCCGGAAGATCACATGGGCTTGGTGGGCGAGCTGCACCAGAAAGTGCATCTGGTTCATCCAAATTTGACGCTGCAAGTCACCCGCTCCCAGGCTGACCCCGTGGTTATGGGATTGCTGAATTGTGGGATCAGACTCTTATCAGCAGTCGGGGTATGGCAGTAGAAAACTGCCCAGATGCTGCTGCAAAGTCCATGCACACGTGGGCACCTCCATCTCCAACCAATCTTGTGACCAAATGATAACTTCCCCTTGTTCCACCACCTCCCAGGCCTTGGCCAATTGAGATGGACTCGTGAGTCAGTGGATCCTCTTCAGAGAGGGTCTTCCAGCTCACGTTTATGAACAGATGAAATTAAAGCAGATGAAAAGTTAGATTAGGCTGGGCGCAGTGGCTCACACCTATAATCCCAGCACTTTGGAAGGCTGAGGCGGGCAGATCACGAGGTCAGGAGTTTGAGACCAGCCTGGCCAACATGGTGAAACCCTGTCTAAAAATAACGAAAAATACAAAAAATTAGCTGGGTGTGGTGGCAGGTGCCTGTAATCCCAGCTACTTGGGAGGCTGAGGCAGGAGAATTGCTTGAACCTGGGAGGTGGAGGTGGCAGTGAGCCAAGACTGCGCCACTGCACTCCAGCCTGGGCAACAGAGCAAGACTCCATCTCAAAAAAAATAAATAAGCCGGGCACGGTGGCTCACACCTGTAATCCCAGCACTTTGGGAGGCTGAGGCGGGTGGATCACAAGGTCAAGAGATCGAGACCATCCGGGCCAACATGGTGAAACCCCATCTCTACTAAAAATACAAAAATTAGCTGGGCATGGTGGCACCCACCTTTTGTCCCAGCTACTCAGGAGGCTGAGGCAGGAGAATCGCTTGAACCCGGGAGGCGGAGGTTGCAGTGAGCCGAGATTGTACCACTGCACTCCAGCCTGGTGACAGAACAAGACTCTGTCTCAAAAAAATAAATAAATAAAATTAGCCAGGTGTGGTGGCATGCGCCTATAGTCCCAGCTACTCAGGAGCCTGAGGCAGGAGGATCCCTTGAGCCCTGGTGGTCAAAGCTGCAGTGAGCCATGATGGTGCCACTGCACTCCAGCCTGGGCGACAGAGCAAGACCCTGACTCAAAGAAAAGAAAGAGACAGTAGAAAATCAAAAGAGATGTGTATTGGGTGATGACTGTATGAGGCCTTGTGTCTATAGAATGTTTTAACATTCACAACAGCCCCACACAGTTGTATCGCTTCTGAAGTAATGCCTTTTTTCATGAGTGTTTTTCATCCTCATACGTTTTCCCTTGCTACCTTAAAATTGACATGTGTTTCCTCTTTGAAACAGAGAATGCTCTCATCACTCAGTCAAGGCTAATGCTTTTGGAATCAGTGTTAATATTTTTCAATCTATTGGCCGTGTTGTCCTACCTGAAGTTCTTCAACTGCCAAAAGCACAGGTATGGAAAATGGAGTGTCTTCCTAGTTAACGAGAACAGAGATTCTGGGTGGTTTGTTGATCTGAGATGGTCCAGTACCTTTTTTTGTTTCGTTTTGTGAGACAGTACCTTTTCATTTTGAGGAGTTGCTTGCTAAATATCTTTTTTTTTGAGACGGAGTCCCTGTCACCCAGGCTGGAGTGTAATGGCGCAATCTCGGCTCACTGCAACCTCCGCTTCCCAGGTTCAAGCAATTCTCCAGCCTCAGTCTCCCGAGTAGCTGAGATTACAGGCACACAGCACCATGTCTGGCTAATTTTAGTATTTTTAGTGGAGACGGGGTTTCACCATATTGGCCAGGCTGGTCTCAAACTCCTGACCTCAGGTGATCTACCCGTCTTGGCCTCCCAAAGTGTGGGGATTACAGGTGTGAGCCTCTGCGCCTAGTGCTAGATATCTTTTGGTCCTCTAATATTTTGGGGGTTGGCCCTTGGCTTGTGACTTCATAAATACATCTTCATTTTTCTATAATTTAAACTAACAGGACAACATTTTCTGGGCAAAAAGAAAAATTCTGCTGGGATGGATACTTTGGGAGATGGGAATTCTTTCTTACTGCCCCTGTGGCTCAGCATGGCCAGCCGACCCAGAAAGATTTCTCTGAAGAATGTGGAGCTTCACTAGCCTTTTGGAAATGTGTCTGAACTATTTCTGTCTCCATCTGCTTTGTTTTTATTCCAGCCCTTTTTCTCTGAGCTGGTGGTTCTGGCTAACACTGACAGGGGTCGCTTGTTCCTGTGCAGTGGGGTGAGTTTGAGCCTCTGGTCTTGGGCAGTGTCCTCCTCCATCTCCTTATGTTTTCCTGTCTCATGTTAACTCCATTTCTGTCATGTCTTTGCAGCATCAAGTACATGGGTGTGTTCACGTACGTGCTCGTGCTGGGTGTTGCAGCTGTCCATGCCTGGCACCTGCTTGGAGACCAGACTTTGTCCAATGTAGGTGCTGATGTCCAGTGCTGCATGAGGCCGGCCTGTATGGGGCAGATGCAGATGTCACAGGGGGTACTTGGTGAAAAGACTCCAATCCTCAATGTTTTAGAAGCAGGCAGGCCTGGGCAGCCTCGCCTCTTGGCCTCTGCAGGTGCCTCTGTATGGGAGGCCAGAGTTTCTGTCACTAACTTTTTCTAAGCTCACAATGTCTAGAGGTGGGTACGCTTTTCCACGCAGTGGAACATGACTTTTCTTTGAATCTCTGGCAGGTCTGTGTGTTCTGTCACTTGCTCGCCCGAGCAGTGGCTTTGCTGGTCATCCCGGTCGTCCTGTACTTACTGTTCTTCTACGTCCACTTGATTCTAGTCTTCCGCTCTGGGCCCCACGACCAAATCATGTCCAGTGCCTTCCAGGCCAGCTTAGAGGTAAGTAAGCAGTGGGCATCGTGGCCACTGGAGAAGGAAGATGATAGTGGACCCAGAGTTTTCTTACAAACACATCAAGTGAACATTAGCACTTGAATCAAAACATGAAGAATCCACATCCATATTTCTTTTTTTGGTGGGGGGGATGGAGTCTTACTCTGTCACCCAAACTCCGCCTCCTGGCTTCAAGCGATTCTCCTACCTCAGCCTCCCAAGTAGCTGGTATTACAAGCACCTGCAACCACACCCAGCTAATTTTTTTGTTTTGTTGGTAGAGATGGGGTTTCACCATGTTGGTCAGTCTGGTCTGGAACTCCTGACCTCAAGTGATCCGCCTGCCTCGGCCTCTCAAAGTGCTGGGATTATAGGCGTGAGCCACCGCGCCTGGCAGCTGGGAGCATTTTAAAGTCAAGTCTTACAAACCCTGGGCAGTTTCACCCGCCTTAAGGACCACACTCAACTGTGACCTTCATTCCTATGAACCTCGCAGCAGTGGTAGAAGGTATCAGTAGAGGTGGTCAGGACTGTGGTTCCTGAAGTCAGCCAAGCCTGCCGACGGCCAGTGCTGTAGTGCTGTGTGTTTCAGCAAGTTGTTTGGCTCACCCTAGTCTTGGTTTTCTCATCTCTTAGACAGACATCATCATTGCTCTTACCTCATTGGATGCTTGTAAGGACTGAATAGGGTGCGCGTGGAAGGCTGAACTGAGTGCCTGGCCCAGAGGCAGCATTTGATCAGACTTAGTGCTCATTATGGTTCTATAATGTAACGTGATGTGATTAAATGGGAGATCATTACCACTGTTACAAGAATGGCCACCAGCCTAAACATCACCCCAGAGGGAGGAGTGGCCATCGGGAAGGCTGGCTTAGGGTCATTTTTCTTTCTGTCTCTCACTCATCAACCTTCTGCTTCTGTCTCAGGGAGGACTAGCTCGGATCACTCAGGGTCAGCCACTGGAGGTGGCCTTTGGGTCCCAGGTCACTCTGAGGAACGTCTTTGGGAAACCTGTGCCCTGCTGGCTTCATTCCCACCAGGACACCTACCCCATGATGTAAGGTGATGGTTTTACTTTGAAGATAATTAAATGCTTTATTTGCTCGTAGATTTGCTTATCTTAGCAACTTTCCCTTTCTTTGAGGAAGTTTGTTTGCAGGACAGAAAGAAGTTGAGCAGCCCGGGTGCTGATTGCCAGTGAGCTTCGTGGTTCCCGGGTGTTGCTGGAGGGACTTGGCGTGTGGCAGGGCCCAGGGTCGGCCCCAGCTCTGTGGCTGTGGCTGACCTCAGCACTGCCTGCCTGAATCATCTGATTTCGGCTCCTTGTCTGTGGTATCTTCATTTTCCCTGAAACCCCTTGCTAGGTTGTATTTGTTGAAATCTGCTTCCCTTTGCAGAAACTTTAGGAGAAAGGCGTGTGGGCCCGATCGATGACCCACTTCCAGATACGTTTCTTTCCCTTTCTTTTCTTTTTCTCATAAATAGACACAGGGTCTCACTATGTTGCCCAGGCTGGTCTCAAACTCCTGGGCTCAAGCAGTTATCCTACCTCAGCCTCCCAAAGTGCTCTGATTACAGGCCTGAGCCACCGCGCCTGGCCCAGATACATCTCTTTGTTGACTTCACACAGATATGAGAACGGCCGAGGCAGCTCCCACCAGCAACAGGTGACCTGTTACCCCTTCAAAGATGTCAATAACTGGTGGATTGTAAAGGATCCCAGGAGGTGAGTGCAGGTCCTGTGACTCCAGAGCAGAGCTCACCTCCTGGCCTGGCCAGGCGAGACCCTGGGATGCAGTCCTGGGCCCCCTTCTTTCCCTCCCTCACTGACTCTAGTCACCGTCATGGCCTTGAACACCAGCTCAGTGCTGAGTCCAAGGTCAGAGGAATAGATCATGAGACCCTCAGTGAGCAGCCTGCTCAGTAGCTGCTCTGAGAAGTTTCCAGGCGAGCCTCAATGCCCCGACCTGTGTCCCTCTCCCTTCCTCATAAAAACAAGAACCCCCCTCCTGCAAAAGTAGCATCATCTTGCACACATCCCAGCTAGAGGTGCCCCTTGCTCTCATTCCCATATCCAGTCCTGTGGATTCTGCCCCCAAACAAGGTCTCTAGCTGTCCCGGTCACTGTCTCCTGATGGTGTCCTCCCATTGCTGCCTGCCCAGCTCCAGCACCTGCAGCCCGAGTGGGCTTTTTCTTTTTTTTCTTCTTATTTTTTCGGGGGACAGAGTCCCACCCTGTTGCCCAGGCTGGAGTGCAGTGGTACGATCTCGGCTCACTGCAACCTCCGCTTCCCGGGTTCAAGTGATTCTCCTGCCTCAGCCTCCCGAGTAGATAAGATTACAGGCGCCCACCACCACATCCTGGTAATTTTTGTATTTTTAGTAGAGACGGGGTTTCACCATGTTGGCCAGGCTGGTCTTGAACTCCTGACATCAAGTGGTCCACCCAGCTCAGCCTCCCAAAGTGCTGGGATTGCAGGTGTGAGCCACCACGCCCGGCCCCCTCATACACTTTCATTGGTGGAATGCCCTTCAGAAGGATTCCTTGGCAGTCATGGTACATTTGTCACTGTAGTGTTTGTAGACAAATTCAGAGCAATGCAGGTGTGATGACCGCGGGTAGAATCACATTCGGAAAATGACCTTTGGTTTCAGAAAAGAGCCCAATTAATGTCTGTGCTTTGGTTTCCTGTGTTCACCTCATGTGAGGCACACATGGGTTGGGAGGCAGTCTCAGCCATGAGAATTCAGAGCTGTGCCCCTCCGGTGCAGCTGTTAGTTCGAGGGGACCAGGCTCTGTGTGGTCCCGACAGCACTGTGTCTTCCAGGCACCAGCTGGTGGTGAGCAGCCCTCCGAGACCTGTGAGGCACGGGGACATGGTGCAGCTGGTCCACGGCATGACCACCCGCTCCCTGAACACGTGAGTGTGCCCGCCGTCTGCTCTGCTGCACCTGTGGGTTTCCTCTGTGGTTCTCTGTTCAGACCAAAACGTGAGCCCTGCCTTGGGCCGCTGCCCCCTGTCTACCCATCATCTGCATGTGTAGCAGCTCTTAGACCTACATTTGATGCCGGGAGGGGACCCAGGCCTGGCCGCGGAAGGGAGCGGGGTTAAGAGGAAGCAGGGGCTCTGTGAGGACTGGACAGAAGCACCTAGCACAGCCCATCCTAGGAGAGCTCAGGGCCCCGTGGATGAGTGTACAAGGACAGGCTGGGAATGTTGACCCGCTTTCTATGCAGAGAATGGAGTTTGGGCACACCTCCTTAAAGTGGTCAAGCTTAAAGTATGAGTGAGTCCAAGAAGCCTGGAAGCTCGGGCACGAGTGGAGCCGTGAAGGCTTCTTCCTTCTCAGTCCTTCGTCCTTGTCCGACTTGCCTTCCCGTGGTGCTGGGCACAGTTGCTCACACCCTCCTCCTTCCTCCCTGACTGCTCTCTCCACCGCCTCCTTTTCCTCTGTTGCTCTCAGTCTCTGAGGGCCCTCCGGCCTTGCTGCCTCTGCACAGGCCCAGTCCCGGGGCTACCTCTCCTGGACTTCCACCCGGCTGCCCGGGGCTCACCTCCAGCTCTCCACGACTCCCAGCTCCACAGGGGCGGTCTCTGGCCCTGGCTTTTCTGGTTCTCCCTGGAAAGGGCCCAGTAGCTGAGGCATCACCTGACTCCTTCCCCTCCCCTCCCATTGCATGTTGATTCCATTGGGAGATCCTGTTTCTCAACCTTCAGAACCAGCCCTGGGTAGGGGTCCTTCCTTCTCCCTCTACTCCCACCTCCTGGGGCCTGACCTCTCTACCTCGCAGCAGCCTGTCCGGCCTGCGGACCGTGCACAACCCACTTGCGTTGTTCCTCTGTGCTCAGTGACTCCCGTCACCCGCCAAGGTCCCTGGTGACCCTGACACACTTCACCCCCGCCACCCTGGCTCCCCCCAGCCCTGAAACAACCACCTGCGGGCCCCTTGGGGGCTTCACACTTGCTCCCTCTGCGAGAATGTTCTTGGACTTGGCTCCCCCATGGCCCCTCTATGTAGGGGTCTGCTGGGATGTCACTGCATCCAAAAGTGCCTCCTGGGTGCTGTCCCCCACCATTTGTTTTATTAGTGGCACTCCTACAGGTGCACGCTCTGCCCACCGGCATGATGGCTGTTTCCCAGAGGGCTGTGAGGGCCTTGTCTTGTTCACAGCTGGGTGGCTGCTCCTAGACAGTGCCAGGTGCATGGTGCGGTACCACATGGTTACTGAGTGTGTGGATTAAGAGGAAGTGGGTGTTCCTGACCGGGCGTGCTGGCTCACACCTGTAATCCCAGCACTTTGGGAGGCCAAGGTGGGCAGATCATTTGAGGTCAGGAGTTGGAGACAAGCTGGGCCAACATGGTGAAACCCCGTCTCTACTAAAAATACAAAAATTAGCCAGGCATGGTGGCATGTGCCTGTAATCCCAGCTAGACAGGAGGCTGAGGCAGGAGAATCGCTTGAACCCAGGAGGCAGAGATTGCAGTGAGCTGAGATCGCGCCATTTGCACTCCAGCCTGGGTGACAGAGTGAGACTCCATCTCAAAACAAAAAAGAAGTGGGTGTTCGTTAACATTGAGGTTGATAGCCTTTTCTCCCAGCTTATCTGCTGCGTCCCCAGGCCAGCTGGGCGCAGGGGCGGGCAGCTCAGCCCTGCAAGTTGTAGCATTGGTACTGCCAGCTGGCATCGCAGCAGTACCGGATCGGGCCTGGGCGCACGGTTCCTTCCTCTGAAACTTGGTTCGCTCGTCTAACAGGTGGAAGGTTCCACAGCAGAGTGTCCTTTTCTTTTGGAGATGTTCCCACAGGGCCTCCTGCCTGTTTAGTGTCCACTCCCATCGCCGAGCCTCAAGACCTCCGTCCTCAGTAGCAGCAACTCATGGGACTGGGCCACCCCTTATGGCTGAGCCGGCTTTGTTTCTGAAAAGCAACCTTTTCCTGCCTGAAAGATTTAGTAATTGCCTTCCAGAGGAGTTCAAGGAATTTTCTGAAATCTCGGTCTTGGTTTTCCAGGCATGATGTTGCAGCCCCCCTGAGCCCCCATTCACAGGAGGTCTCCTGCTACATTGACTATAACATCTCCATGCCCGCCCAGAACCTCTGGAGACTGGTGAGTAAGGCTGCGGCTATAGCAGCCACAACCGTCAGTAATGAACACTCCCTCACACGGAGCACTTCCTCACCCGGAGCACTCCCTAACACAGAGCACTTCCTAACAGAACACTTCATCACACGGAGCACTTCCTCTAACACGGAGCACTTCCTCTAACACAGGACACTTCCTCACACGGAACACTTCCTCACACGGAGCACTTCCTGTAACAGGACACTTCCTCACACGGAGCACTTCCTCTAACATGGAGCACTTCCTGTAACACAGGACACTTCCTCACACGGAGCACTTCCTCTAACACAGGACACTTCCTCACACGGAGCACTTCCTCACAGGGAGCACTTTCTCTAACACAGGACACTTCCTCACATGGAGCACTTCCTCACATGGAGCACTTCCTCACAGGGAGCACTTCCTCACACGGAACACTTCCTCTAACACAGGACACTTCCTCTCACACTCACACGGAGCACTTCCTCTAACACAGGACACTTCCTCACACGGAGCACTTCCTCACACGGAGCACTTCCTCTAACACAGGACACTTCCTCACACGGAGCACTTCCTCACATGGAGCACTTCCTCACAGGGAGCACTTCCTCACACGGAACACTTCCTCTAACACAGGACACTCTCACACTCACACGGAGCACTTCCTCTAACACAGGACACTTCCTCACACAGAGCACTTCCTCACACGGAGCACTTCCTCACACGGAACACTTCCTCACACGGAACACTTCCTCACACGGAACACCTCCTCACACGGAACACTTCCTCACACGGAGCACTTCCTCACACGGAACACCTCCTCACACGGAGCACTTCCTCACACGGAGCACTTCCTCTAACAGAACACTTCCTCACACGGAGCACTTCCTCACAGGGAGCACTCCATCACACGGAGCACTTGCTCACACGGAGCACTTCCTGACATGGAATGTTTGAAACTGCCGTTGAGAATAATCATTTTTCCTTTTTTTCAGTTTACCCAGTTGAGGTTGGATATTTAGAATAATTCTGATTCAGATGTAAAGTTACATAAGTTTTATTCGTACATAAAGTCACAGATGTTTTCACAGGGAACCGATGCGTCTTCCTTGGTGGAACTGGGGAACCTGGTGGTTTCCTGCATCAGAGGCCTGTGTTCACTGAGATTCTAAATGCTTTGTGTTTGCTCCATGTTGGGTGCCAGGTGCGCTTGAGGCTCTGCCAGGTGAAAGTTCTCCCAACCTGTTTAGCCTCAGGAGCAGGTCCTGAACACAGGACACGAGCTCCAGCCACCCCTCTGCCACCATGATCCAGGAGAAATTCCATTTCTCAGGATTTCCCTGGGGACAGGCTTAGCCGTGAGTGCGGGGGATGTTCCTGAGGCGCTGGGTCTGTGGTCACCTTTCCTTCCAGCGACCAGGGCCACCTGCTCCCCTTACGGAATCGGGTCTCCTGGGAAAGGTTCCATAAAAAGTCTTCTGTTACTGGACCATGTTGCCATCTGAATCTAAGGACATGGACACTAAATGCAGCCCAGCCCCATGACCACAGTGAAGGCACTGGGCTTATTTCCATAGTGAGGTCACACCCCCCCTTCTAGCTTCCCACTGGCTTCAGCGCTTTCTGCCTACGCAGGCTCAGCCCTGTTTCGCTTGACAGAGTTAGCACCACGTCCTCATGGCCAGCCCTCACAGCAAAGCCAGGTATCTGCTGATGTTCTTTTTTTTTTTTTGCGACTGGGTCTCACTCTGTCACCCAGGCTGAAGTGCAGTGGCGTGATCTTGGCTTACTGCAGTGTTGGCCTCCCAAGCTTAGGTGATCCTCCCACCTCTGCCTCTTGGTATTACAGGTTAGCCACCATGCCTGGCCCCTGTTAATTTTGAATATTTAATTTTTAAAATATTTTTTCTATTCCAGGACAGTCTGATTTTTAAAATTTTTTGTGGAGATGGGGTCTTGCTATGTTGTCCAGGCTGGTCTTGAACTCCTGGACTCAAGCCGTCCTCTTACCTCAGCCTCCCAGAGTCGCTGGGATGACAAGTGTGAGCCACTGCTCCAGATTGGCTGTTCCATTTTTGTGCAGAGTGCGCCCCTCTGCCCCACTCGCCGTCTCTGTGCTCTGCATATCTGTGTGCGTTCTGCATTTCCATCCCCGCCCCCCCACAGTCCTTCCCTGACGTGAGTGCTGTGCCCCTTCTCACGGGCACCCTTCTCTGTCCTTTCTGATGGCCCCTTTGGCACCAGGAGCCCACATTTCAGGTGTCTGAAGTTCATAGAACAAGGAAGGAGGGAGCATGCGTGAGGTGTGCGCGCCCGGCCTGCGGCATGGACCGCGGCCAGGCCTCCTCATGCCTGCTCCTGCCTAGCTTCTTGGGTTCTCTGGTTGTGACAGTATGGGAAAATGACAGTCATGTGATGTCATGGGGTCATTGTGAGGCTCCAGTATGTCAGGCTGTGACAAGGCAAAGTGCCTTTCAGATGTTAGTTGTCTTTTTTATTACTCGATGCGAGGAAATCTCTAAGCTGTGTCTGGCAGGGACAGTGTCTGGCCTTCATCTGAGCTGTCTGCGAGTCCTGCCAGATAGGGACTGAGACTTGCTCACTTTTTGGCCAGGGCTCTGAGCCCTATGAATAGGCTTTGCAGAGAGGCACGAAGAACATCAGGCTTTGTATTTTCTGTGAGGAGGCCTCTTGTACGGCCTTGGCGAGGAGGAGGGTGCACTTCCCCAGCGACCCTCGGAGCAGCCCGGGGTGCTGTGGGCATTGGGAAGGAAGGCCAGTACCAGCCCCTTATAGCTTCCCTCACTTGGGGACTTGTCCCTTTGTCTCAGGCTCAAGTCAGTATCATTGTTTGGTGACAGGTCTTTATTTTTACATTGAAGGAAATTTGAAAAGGAATGAAATAATCCTTGAGATGTCTTTTTGCAGGAAATTGTGAACAGAGGATCTGACACAGACGTCTGGAAGACCATCCTCTCAGAGGTCCGCTTTGTGCACGTGAACACTTCCGCTGTCTTAAAGGTAAGGACACTGTCCGTGGCTTGGCCTGTCCTGAGCTGTGGGCTCCAGTCTGTTTCCCAAGCCCCTCAGGCTTCACCGCCTCTCTGCAGGCGGAACGCTTCATTTGAGTCATCATGGCTTCCTCTTACACTGAGGGAGGGCGGCTTTTGTAACTTCTCAGGATGGAATCCCAATGTGAATCTCCCACAAGGGGCACCTGCTGACAGCGTGACCCGGGCAGGGGTTCCCCTTCCAACCCAAGTGGACACGGGAGCCACGGCCTTCCCATCACGCCCTTTACTCTCCTGCGGTGTCACCAGCTGAGCGGGGCTCACCTCCCTGACTGGGGGTATCGGCAACTGGAGATCGTCGGGGAGAAGCTGTCCCGGGGCTACCACGGGAGCACGGTGTGGAACGTGGAGGAGCACCGATACGGCGCGAGTGAGTCCGCGGCGTGGCTTCCGCCGCTCCTGGAATGTACTTTCAGCTGCTCAATATTTGATAACACCCCAGAGTTCTCATTTTGGTGGGAAGGGAACTGAGCACATTCTCCATGCTCGGTGGCAGGTCATCTCCCTCCCTGCACCCTGCACTCAGCTGCTGCAGTAATAACTCAAGACGCTTCTTCCGAGGTGTCGCTGGAAGGCAACCAGTTTATCCCCGTGCAAGTGGAGCTTTCTCAGGGTCGAAATCACCTCATTTGACCGGGCAGTCTTGGGTGTGGTGGGGAAAGCTAAGTGGAATGATGCGGTTCGATAAGGGGTCTTTGTTAGAAAGGCAGGAAGCCAGCTTTTTGCTGCACTGACAGCTTCTGCTCTGAGCTCTTGACCTTGTGCTACTTCTATCTGTTATGCCCTTGTCTGTTCTGCCAGGCCAGGAGCAGAGGGAGCGGGAACGGGAGCTGCACTCACCTGCGCAGGTGGACGTCAGCAGGAACCTCAGCTTCATGGCGAGATTCTCGGAGCTGCAGGTGAGGAGCGGCCAGGGGAAGCTGGCCTAGCTCGCTGAGCATTGACTCCTCAGCAGGGAGGCCTGGGGGCTGCACAGGACTCAAACCAGAGTCAGGCTTTGACGCTGGAGCTACAGGCTCACAACAGAATGAGTGTCTCCTCTCTCCAGTGTAAGGGACTGTGTGTGACACCCCTGGCCCACACCTTGTGGCCCTGTGGTCAGGAATAATAGGGACCCAGGAGGTTCTGCAACATCGCCAGGGTGTCTTAAGGCCCCCAGGCAGCGAAATGGGCCACACTCAACAGAGCCCAAGAGAAGTCACAATCAGAAACTCACGGTCACAAATCTGAACGTGACCTTAGAGAGCATTCAGCCCAATCACTTCGTCTACAGAGGAGGTAACTGGAGCACATAGGGTGGGGCGACCCTCCCAAGGCCACATTCAGGGCTGGAATCCAGGTTCTCATCATGCTGCCTCCGATGCATGATCCGAATGAACTTGAGCTGGGCCAGTCCACGTGCAAGGGGCAGCAGTGTACTCCTTTGACCAAATCCACGCACAGCGGGAGGCATCCCCCATCCTCAATCTCAGAGGCCTCTGCTTTGTTCCAGTGGAGGATGCTGGCGCTGAGAAGTGATGACTCGGAACACAAGTACAGCTCCAGCCCACTGGAGTGGGTCACCCTGGACACCAATATTGCCTACTGGCTGCACCCCAGGACCAGCGTAAGCGAGCGATGCTGACAGCTGACAGTCATAGATTCATCCTGTTTCTTGAGAATTCCTTGCATTAAGAGCAGCCGCTGCACCCTAGAAAGTGCTGGGTTTCTCCCAAGCTTTTCCTGACAAAGGCCTGTGACTTGGTTTTCTCTAAACGCTTTGGCAACCTGGAGCCAGGAGTAGGGGTGTGGCATGTGTGCCTGTTGAAGGAAACCCGGCTTGATTGCTTTTGTGGAGACACATTGTTCCCCTTTTCCTGGCGAAAGTGGTTTTAAGATATTCCCATTCAATTTTCCGTGTGGCACCTGGTGGTGGAGCTTACCGGTGCTTTGCTGATGTGCGTGCCGTCTCTCCACCCGGCAGAGTGAAAGCATTGGTAGGCCGGGCGCACAGTCAGCGCCCCATAAATATTCACTGAATGGGCAGACGCTGGAAATGCCCACCTTTTTCCTCCTCCCTCAGAGGCGGGTAGGTCGGCTCAGCATGTGCACTGAAGGCAGAGGCTCAGGCCCAGAGGCCGCCCCACCCCGAGCTCTGAGCGCACTTTGCATTCTCCTCCGTGGACAGCGCTGCTGTTACAAAGTGGAGTCATCTGCTCCCAATTTTCAGTTTCCAATTACAAAATTGAGAGCATCAGTGCTGTGTGTGTGTGTGTATGTGAGAGAGAAAGAGAGAGACGGAGTCTTGCTCTGTCATCCAGGCTGGAGTACAGTGGCGTGATCTTGGCTCACTGCAACCTCCACCTCCCAGGTTCAAGCAGTTCTCCTGCCTCAGCCTCCAAGTAGCTGGTATTACAGGTGCCCACCGCAATGCCCAGCTAATTTTTGTACTTTTTAATAGAGACGGGGTTTCGCCACGTTGGGCAGGCTGGTCTCAAACTCCTGACTTCAGGTGATCTGCCCACCTCAGCTTCCCAAAGTGCTGGGATTACAGGCATGTGCCACCACACCCGGCTGGCATCAGTGCTTTTAATGAAAGGTCTGAGTAGGAGCAGACCTGTCCACAGTAGTAGTAAGGCCTAGTGGATGCTAGGCTGTGCCTGGCGTTTTTTCACTCTGCTAAAGTAGTGCGTGCATCTGAATTCCTTTCCTGTGTTCTCTTCTCTTCCCTCCCTGAGCAGAGGGCAGGTGGCTAACAGCATCTCCCATGTTCCCTTAGGCTCAGATCCACCTACTTGGAAACATAGTGATCTGGGTTTCGGGCAGCCTCGCTCTGGCCATCTACGCCCTGCTGTCCTTGTGGTACCTGCTCCGACGGCGAAGAAATGTCCATGACCTCCCTCAGGGTTAGTACCTCTCCCACATGGCTTTCTTTCTTTTTAATATAGACATGGGGTCTTGCTGTGTTGTCCAGGGTGTTCTTGAACTCCTGGGCTTAAGCGATCCTCCTGCCTCGGCCTCCCATAGTGCTAGGATTACAGGTGTGCGCTGAGCATTCACCGCCTCAAGTGACAAACCGACTTCATAGGAACCTACCCCTTAACGCGGCCTCTTTGTTTCTGTATTGTGGAATCTTAAATTATGTTTGTCTCCCAAGAGACAAAATGTTAAGTTCCCATGTTGCGTTAGAGGTGTCTCCAGTCGAGTGCAGCGTATTGGGCAGGAATTGCCCTCTTGGTCCCATGTTGCCCGTATGCGCTGGAAATGGCTGGGTAACACAGGCAGCCAGGCCGGGCGCGGTGGCTTACACCTGTAATCCCAGCACTTTGGGAGGCCAAAGTGAGGGAGTCACCTGAGGCCAGGAGTTCAAAACCAGCCTGGGCAACATAGTAAGAACCCTCTCTCTAAAAAAGCAAAAGAGAGAGAAGACCCGGCCTGTGGGAGCAGCAGAGTCGGTGTAGCTCGAGCCCTTTCCTATAGATGCCTGGCTGCGCTGGGTGCTGGCTGGGGCGCTGTGTGCCGGTGGCTGGGCAGTGAACTACCTCCCGTTCTTCCTGATGGAGAAGACACTCTTCCTCTACCACTACCTGCCCGCACTCACCTTCCAAATCCTTCTGCTCCCTGTGGTCCTGCAGCACATCAGCGACCACCTGTGCAGGTACGGGGGCTGCGGAGACAGTGGCTGGACCGGGCAGCAGCCCTCTGCTGGGAAGCCCATGCGCAGCAAACACATGGGGTGCAGCGAACCTCACCCATTTCACGTTACACTGACATCCTCCGGGTCCCTCCGGGGAATGGGTGAGGTTCAGAAGAGATGCCCAGATGAGGCACTGCAGGAACCCAGAGGGAGAAGTCGCGGCTGACAGAGATGAAAGCGGAGTGGGTGGGGAGACGGGGAGGGGATGAAGAGATGTGGGTGGCCTGGAGGATTCGGGAGCAGGGAGCAAGGCCCAGGAGCCTGGGGTGTCAGAAACGGCAGCTGGTTATGGTCGGGTTGTGTGGTGTGGTGGAGAGAACCCAAGAAAGCTTCTAAACCAGAGTGTGTTTGGAGGTTGGAGCAGAGGGCGAGGGCCTCCCGGTTTCAGGAAGCCACACAAGGGAGGACCGTGGGTTTGGGACCAGTCCTCTGGCATCTGTGTGGAGGTGGCCCAGCCACTGTGGAGGCCTGAGGAGTCATCAGGGGGCCCCTCTCAGTGCATCCAGGTGGGAGATGGTCATGGGTGGCAGGAGACAAGACACAGAAACCTGAAGGCAGAACCCCAGGCCTCGGGGGGTGACCGTGTGGACAGCAGATGCCAAGAGGGTGCCGGGCAGGGAAGCCGCAGTGGTCAGCCACCCTCCCCCACGCTGCTCTGACCTCTGCAGGTCCCAGCTCCAGAGGAGCATCTTCAGCGCCCTGGTGGTGGCCTGGTACTCCTCCGCGTGCCACGTGTCCAACACGCTGCGCCCACTCACCTACGGGGACAAGTCACTCTCGCCACATGAACTCAAGGCCCTTCGCTGGAAAGACAGCTGGGACATCTTGATCCGAAAACACTAGAACAAGAGTGTGGCAAAGAACACCCGTGCTGGGGTCGGGATGAGGTTGAAGGGTCTTGGTCAATGTACGTAATGAGCAGGGTGGGCCCCACGCTGGGAGGACACGGGCTGGGCTGAGCAGGGCCTCTAGTGGAACACATGGGGGTCTCATTGAAAAGCTCTCTGATGAGCACCTCCTTTTGTGCAAAGTTAATTTTTTCTCGACAATAAAGATATTCCGTGTCTTTACCCCTGAACTAAGACACAGGGAGTATTTCAGAGGCCAGCGTAGGAGTCATTGACAACAAAAAGCCGAGAACCCAGGGCCAGCAGTGGAGCCTCAGCAGACCAGGGCCTGGTCCTTGCTAACTGCTGCAGGGTGGAGTTTGATCTGGCAGACCCGATCCTCCTTCATGAACACCCAGCAACCTGAGCAAGTCCCGGCCCTGCCCTCAGCGAGCCCGGCAGGCGTCCTGGGACAGCTCAGTGTTGGAGGGCCACCTGAACCACGAGCCAGGGCTGGGGCTTGCATGTCATTGTCTATGACAGCGTCAAGACTGGCCCTTGGCACCGTGCTGTGTGGAAACCCTCCCCTCTGAGACTCCACTGAGACGTGGCTGAGTGAAATCTTCCTCGTCAGTGGTCAAGGTGTGTCATCCATACAGCTCCATGCCTTTGTCTTTTTTAAATGTAATTAAAAAAGGAACCAACTGGCGTTTGTAGTTGGTGTTTGTTATTTATTGATTCTCCCTCCAAAGGGGCCTAAGCTCGACAAAACCGTTACAGTTGTCAGAACCCAGCCACAGGGCTCAGCCCCCTTCCCCCACGTCACGTCTGCATCACTACTGTGGGTGAGCCTGGACGGACGGGGGCTGGGGCTGCCCATGGCAGCGGCAAGGGATGCTTTCCAGAGACAGCCACCACGCAGGAGGGAGGATCACCCCAGGCAACCCAGACACGGGTGTTCACATGTGAGGCTGTGAGCTCCACATAGCACAAAGGAGGCTTGCTGACTTTGGGCGGCCATGTCTGCTGGGACCTGGGTGATCCAGTGCGTGCCACAGCCAGAAGCACCATTCCCTGCATATGGCCACTAGCCACCCTGGGGTGGGACAGCCTGTCTAGACAGACAGCACCTTGGGGGCTCCCCTGAGGGTCAGTGAGGGCCTGACCCCAGGCAGGACTGCGTGGACGCTGTTCTCCAGCCGGGACAGACCTGGCCTCCGCTGCCTTCTGCCCTACTGCATGGGCTCCCAGCCTGGCCCCGCACAAGCCTGGGTGTGATGCTGGGTGCTTCCAGGGCATCCGCCTCGCTTCTCTGCCTTTAAGGCACAAGCAAGGGGGGAAAACATCCCTCAGTGGCTCCCCATATCCGTGTAGGCCACGCTGGACTGCAAACCACTGGGTCATGAAATTAGGTTTGTAGGCCACAACCAGCCTTGTGTTATGAAACAGAAAACAGAAAACATGAGGACATGTAACATGTAAAAAAGGAAAGTACTTGTTCACAAAACTTTTGAGTTATGTGTGTGAGTGTGTAAGAACCAGATCAGACTGGAAAAAACTCTCTCCCACTGTGGGTTCACTGTCAACAAAACATCAGGCCAGCCAGTGTCTAGGCTGTCTCCTCAATTTCCCCAATAATGTGCCTCACATTCCTCACAGAAGCCTCCCAGGCTTCCTGCACATTCTGTGGCATTTCTCAGTGACCTAGAGGGATCTTTAAACCGCAACGAGCCTAAGTGGCTGAAAACCTCAGGAACGCCTGTCAGTGTCCCAGCAAGTTGAGTCTGAGTGACACATCTGAGTTTCCACTCCTGAGTGAGGAAGGCCTCGCTGCTAACACTCCCCTGGGGTGCGCCGAGAGGAAGCAGTGGGTGTGGGTGGGCGTCCCCAGGCTCAGTCCCTGAACACACATGCCGGGCGGGAGACCTGCCCTGAGGCTCGGCAGCCCCTCAGTGGGGTCTGCTGCTGGACTCCAAATGTGACCGTTTGCCAGAGGTCAGCATCCCAGGGTGGTCCCCTGGCTCAGAAAAGGTCCGCTTGTAGCTCCGCCCATTGGACCCTCCTCGGTGCCATTTGCAGATGTCACCATTCAGAATGTCCTGGATGTGCTGCACGATCAGGTTGATGGCAACTGCGCCAAGAGACAGACAAGCAGCGGGTTAGCCGCATCCATCCTCCGTGGAGACCGCCCCTCCCCGCAGCACTCGGCCAGGAGTGAGCGCCCAACCTCTGCCCTGAGGCACAGCCTGCGGCGAGGGGCATCGAGTCAAATCTCAGCAGACAGAAACATGCATCAGGACACAGCAAAATAAGACTTCTTAGCTTGGTCTTCCAGGAATTTATGTTAGAGTCTGCTTAAAGTACTTTCTGCTAACAGATTTGAATATACATATATATATGTTTTAAGAAACAGGTTCTTACTTTACTGCCTAGGCTGGAGTGCAGTGGCCCAATCACAGCTCACTGCAGCCTCAACCTCCCAGGCTCAAGCAATCCTCCCACCTCAGCCTCCTGAGTAGCTGGGACCAGAGGCACATGCCACCATGCCCAAATAATTTTATTTTTTGTAGAGATGGGGTTTTGCTATGTTCCCCAGGCTGTTGAACTCCTGGGCTCCAGTGATCCCCCTGCCTCAGCCTCCCAAAGTGCTGGGATTACCAGTGTGAGGCACCGCGCCCAGCTACATACATTTTTAAGCATATTTTAACCCTGTGCCGCAGATCAACACTGGCAGGCCGCGTGCGCAGGGGAGTGCTCAGTAACTGCACACTGGTGGAACTGTCCCTGCCTCAAGCTCTGGGAGGGGCGGGGGGACAGCCCAGCAGGCCAGCTTCTTACCCATATTGTCCACTCCTCGCGGGATGATCACATCGGCATACTTCTTTGTCTGTAAGGCACAAGGGGGGGTGTTCCTGTGAGGACTTTTCCTTCAAAGGTGATTTTAAGATGCTCAGAAACAGATGCAACAGCAGGAGGGGCGGCCCTGGGGTGCTCAGAGGTGCTGGTGTCATCGGCAAATGGGGGACACAGACTCAGTCATCAGCCAGGTGTGAGAGGCCATGATCCAAGAAGTGAGGCAGAAAGTGCAGCTGAGGCAGCCAAAAGAAAGTGCCTCTTCCAGTGTCCCCATTCCATCACAGAAGACAGCCCCCTTCCAGTGTTCCCACTCCATTACAGGAGACAGCTGGCTACGCTAACGACTCAATTCACTGGGCCAAGCTAAGTGTGGCACTTCTACAAAGTGTGACATTGTTCCTCTGGAATCATGAAGCTTCTGCAAATACCCTGGCACAGCAACAGGACAGCCGCCGCCGTGCATAATTACTGCAGGCAGAGACGCTGATGGTAACTTACTCCCTCATCCAACCACTCATTGGCTCAATGCTGACTCTCATTCCCTGTCAGATGCTCTGCTGCTGAGGAAGGACAAGGATGGAGATATATCAGGAAATGCAGGGCTGCTGGGGAGGGTCCGCAGCCAGATGGTGGGGGTTGGGGGGTGGCTTTAGGGAAGGGGAAGCAGCCTGGAGAACATGGCTGAATCAGACAAAGCTGAGGGAAGAGGGAGGGCAGGGTCTGGGCCGAAGGACGGAACTTGGAACGGTGCGTGCTGCTGGCGTGTGGATTTGGGTCAAGAAGGCGGCAGAAGAGACAAGCTGCAAGAGGCAGACAGGGACCAAGTCCTGGGGACAGCTGTGTCTGCAGTTGGTGGGACCCCATCTCATGAAAGCACGAGCGCAAGGGCGAGGGCTGCTTTCTATTCTAGTCTGATAGTCTGACGGGCTGGAGGAGTCCGGGAGAGCTGACAGGGGTCTTAACCGCCAGCAGGGATGGGCCTGAATACAGTTGGGAAATACCTACGGGGTCCAGGCAGAGGACTGCACAAGCCACTCAACATGAAGGTGAAGGAAAAGGAGGCTCAAGAACGGCTCTGGGTGGGGCTGGGGCCGGGTGCGGTGGCTCACGCCGGTGATCCCAGCACTTTGGGAGGCTGAGGTGGGTGGACTGCTTGAGGCCAGGAGTTTGAGACCAGCCCAGCCAACATGGCAAAACCCCGTCTGTGCAAAAAAAAAAAAAAAAGGAAAAATTAGCCAGGCGTGGTGGTGCGTGCCTGTAGTCTCTGGCTACTCAGGAGCCTGAGGTGGGAGGATCACTTGAGAGTGGAAGGTGGAGGCTGCAGTGAAGCAAGATCTCACCACTGCACTTGGGCCTGGGTGGCAGAGGGAGACCCTGTCTCAAAAAACAAGCAAGCAAACAAACCAACCAAAAACATCTCTGGGGCCTGGGCCCAGAACATAGCAGGTGACAGCACTTCCTCTACTCAGGTCGCTGAGGCAGATTTGATATCCAGAGTTTTACTGCGAATCACCTACTTTTTGCCAAATATCTTTCTGTGAATGAGAGACTAAAACAAGTTAACTTTACTTTTAAAATTATATTTTAGAAATTTCAGACAGCATGAATGCAAAAAAAAACAAAAGTTTTCTTTATATAGCAGCCAATAGGCCAGGCATAGTGGCTCACACCTGTAATCTCAGCACTTTGGGAAGCTGAGGTGGGAGGACCACTAGATCCCAGGAGATGGAGACCAGCCTGGGCAACACAGGGAGACCCCATCTCTACAAAAAATTTAAAAATTAACCGAGCATGGTGGTGCACGCCTGTGGGCCCAGCTACTCGGGTTGCTGAGGTGGAAGGATCGCTTGAGCTTAGGAGGTCAAGACTGCAGTGAGCTGTGATTGCACCACTGTACTCCAGCCTGGGCAACAGAGCAAGACTCTGCCTCATTAAAAATAAAATTTAAAAAAAGGCCAGGCACAGTGGCTCAATCCCAGCATTTTGGGAGGCCAAAGTGGGTGGGTCACTTGAGTCCAGGAGTTCGAGACCAGCCCAGCCAACATGGCAAAACCCCATCTCCACTAAAAATACAAAAATTAGCTGGGTGTGGTGGCGTACGCCTGTAATCCCAGCTACTCGGAAGGGTGAGACAGGAGAATTGCTTAAACTTGGGAGGTGGAGTTTGGAGTGAGCCGAGATCGTGCCATTGCACTCCACCCTAGACGACAAAAAGAGACCCTATCTCAAAAAAAAAAAAAGCAGCAGATAGAACTTACTTGTCCTACATTATCAAAGGCAGGAATCTTGGTTTCAGTTCCTTTGTGCTGTATTTTTACCTTAACAGGCAAAATGTTCCCGTGCAAAACACTCCCATTTGAGTAGAGCCACGAGTCCCACCAAGCCAGAAACACAAGATGGAGAAATGGAGAAAAGACAGGTGGGTGTGCAGCGGGGAGTTCCTGCTCTCTGCGAGCCAGCTGGGATCTGGGCACAGCGCTCACTCCAAGATTTCAGAGCACTGGCCCAGAGCAGCCTGGGGTCACAGACCCTGGAGGAGCAGCTCTGAAGCACCTTCTGAGGGCCAGATCCCGGCCTTGGCAGTGAACAGACTAAAGTGCTCCTGGGCTTCCCCACTCTGCGGGGAATAAGCACCCAGGACGTGTCAGATGATGGTAAGTGCCCCGGAAAAAGGAAGCAGGCAGAGAGGCTGGCGCTGGGTGCAGAGGGTTTTCAGTGTTGAATGGGGACGCTGGGCAAGGGCCTGAGGCAGGGAGGAAGCGGCCAGTGTGAATGTGGGGGAGATATGGGGCTTTTTTAGGCAGAGGGAGGAGCAGGCACAGAGAATGTTTTTACAGCTGAGAACTACTCCCAGGGTATGTGGCCATAATGAGCCAAATTCTTCTCCTTTTTTTCAATCAGATCACTGTCACCCAGCACTAAGCCCTCTCACAGTACTGGGTCCCATGTGTCCTTGTGAAAGGGGAAAATGGGCTCTGAAGCAGCGAGCACAGGTACCGGCAGGCAGAACTCCTCGAAGGCCGGCTTCACGAAGGTGGTGTACTGCGTCAGAATCTGCTCCAGGTCCCTCCCTCGGCGCACGTCCCGGAGAACTGCAGCGGCAAGGGGCAGGCGTGCTTCAGACCTCAGGACCTGCCGCCAGCCTCGGCCAGGCAGGCACGGAGGCCCGCGGCCGCCTTACCTCTTCGAGACAGCCTGACGTCGGAGTCGGTGTCCACGAAGAGGCGCAGGTGGAACATGTCCCGGATCTCCTGGCTGTAGAACACCAAGATGCCCTCAAACAGAACCACGTCCGCAGGGTAGACCACCGTGGTCTCTGGTAACCTGAGGGGCGCACGGGGAAAGGGGCTCTGCTGCAGACACAGGGTCTCCAGGCCACACACACAGTCAGCTTCCATTGCAGGGACACTGACTGTGGGAAGGGGTGGGGGACCCACAGAAACCAACCGGGGGAGGCCTGCCGCCAGGCAGGTCTGTGTGAGCCCGAGGGGACGTCCTAGCTGGCCCCTCTCCTCGGCCCTCCCTAGAACCACCTGCTTACCTTGAGTGTGTCACAAAATCATAGGTCGGCACCTCCACCGTTTTGCCCTCCACGATGTTCTTCAGAGTCCTGTGCATCAAATCATTATCAAAGGCATCTGCAGGGTTGGAGACAAAGGCAAGACAGGCAGATGCCCTCGTGCAGCGGACAGCAGGGAACCCTCTCTGCTCTGGGGTCAGCACAGCTGGGTGCTGGGGACACCGAGAACCCTAGCACAGGTAGACTAGGACTACGGCAGTGTATGTTTGGTAGCAACAGTGCCCTCTGCAGCCCTGCAGACCACAGGATGACCCTGTCCTTGCTGTTCTCGGGCTGTGCCACTGCCCAAGCTCTGTGCCCCTGAGATGCCGGAACACAGGGGTTTTCTGATCAGCTCTTCCTGGGAGGTGGGTAGGCTGGGCCTCTGCTTCTCTCTCTTTCTGGGACTAACTGGTTAGACTGCGGCTTTGCAGGCCTTCTTCCCACAAGTCCTTGGGAAAAGGCTGACCATGCCAGCCAGCCAGGGTGGAATCTTCTAGCAGTGGCAGGTGTCTCCCTGCCGCATCTGCCCGTTTACCTGGCCCGGAGCTTCAAGCCACCAGCACTAGTTTACCTACCGCCTCCCACACTGGCCTCTCTGAGGACTTTGCCCCAAAGCACGGGAGGGCACAGTGGGCAGAGGTGTGTGTGGAGGGCCCTAAAGGCCCCAACGTGGGAAGGGAAGATGGGAGGATTTCTCCAGGATCACAGTTGTGGCAGGGCAGGGCAGGGCTCCCCACAGTGCAACAGGCTTCCTGACTGGCTCCAACCACGCTCCTGGGGGGACACTCAGGGCCCAGAGAACTCAGCAAAGTTCCCCTGACTTCACTGTGCAGCCAACTCCACTGCAGGCTGCGTGGCGAGTTGGGGGAACAGCCCAAGCGGGTCTGCATCCATCCAACCTTGGGCCCAAGCGCAGCTGGTTAGCGGCCGCCCAGAATGGGGTCTGCCCTCCCCACATCGTTGGGCTCGCGATTTACCTGGATGGTCAAAATTGTACTGTCCTTTCAAGGCCTTGGCCTTCTGCTCTGCCGTCAGGACCTTGTAGAACCTGTCCTGGCTCAGGATGACCACCTTCCGCTGCCGCTGTTCCACCTCGTTCTGTCCCAGCAACTCCATGATCTTCTCACACACGGTCGACTGGAGACACAGAAGCGGGATTCCCGCCTGGAACCGCTCGTCCTGTGACAGGCACGGGGCCGGCTTCTGGAGACACTGACCCACCCGCCCCCTGGGGGGTATGCTCGGAAGGCGGGAGGACACCAACAGGTGTGGATGGTCTCAGCGGAAGGGCCGCGGGGGCCCAACGGGGTTAGCACGGACTTGGGGCTCCGAGGAGCCCGGCCGGCGGAGAGGCTGTGGGGGAGCCCCGAGGCCCAGCGCCCCAACCCCTCGCCCGCCCCAGCCCGCCCCGGCCCATCGCGGCCTGCAGCCCCTTCGCTCCCGCGCCCTGCCCCTGCCTGGCAGGGGGCCCCTCGGCCGGGGCTGGGGTCTCCTCTCTGGACCGGGCCGCCCGTAGGCACCGGCGAGAGGCGAGACCCCGGCCCGCTCGGCCCCTTACCTTCCCGCTGGCAGTGCCGCCGCTCACCCCTATCAGGAAGGGCCGCTGGTGCGGACGGTCGGCCTCCGGCGCGGGGCTCTCGCAGTCTTCGCCTCCCGCCGAAGCCATCTCGGCCTCCGCTCCCGCGCATCGGGTCCCCGCGCCCGCCCCTTCCCCAGGCCCGGCGCGCCCGCCCAGCGCCGAGGTCGGAGGCAACCGGAGCGATCACTTCCGGGAGGCGCGCGGGGCACGCCGGGAGTTGTAGTCCACCGGGGGGGGGGGGGCCGCGCATGCGTGAGGGTGCAGGGCCCGAGGCCGGCACACCAGGAGCGCCCGCGTCCCATTGCGCCGAAAGCTGGCTGGCAGGGACTGCTGCGCCCGGGCCTCGAGCCGGCTACAAGGTCTCAGACTCAAGTGGCCCGGAAGGTGCCCGTTCCGCACCCCGAGGCTGGGGCTGCGCCTTCGTCCGAGTGCTTGCCTCTGCCTCGCGCTGCCTCTGCGCCAGTCCCGGGCCCTCCCCCGGCCGCCCCCGGGCCTGGCCCCCTCCAGCCCAGGCTCCTCTTGGCCATCGAGGCCTCCGGACTGTCCGGACGCCTCCCACCCCACCCGCTGCTGGAGCCGTCGGGGCGCCCCGGAACGTGGCGGGGGCTGTCGCCTGATGACTTTAGGCTCGCGCCTACAGCGCGCCAAGGAGGCAGAGGCCCATGTGCCGGGTTCCATCCCTGCCGCCCCCCCGCTCCGTGCCTGGCACAGAGAACGTGACAGGCAAATTCTGATCCATTGAAATTATGGATTTCCAGCCGGGCGCGGTGGCTCACGCCTGTAATCCCAACACTTTTGGAGGCTGAGGCGGGTAGATCACGAGGTCAGGAGATCGAGACCATCCTGGCGAACACGGTGAAACCCCGCCTCTACTAAAAATGCAACAAATCAGCTGGGCGTGGTGGCGGGCGCCTGTAATCCCAGCTACTTGGGAGGCTGAGGCAGGAGAATCGCTTGAACCCGGGAGGTGGAGGTTGCAGTGAGCCGAGATGGTGCCACTGCACTCCAGCCTGGGCCACAGAGCAAGACTCCGTCTCAAAAATAAAAAAGAGAGAGAGATAGCTAAGGCTCGGGGCAGAGCATGCTTTTCATATACAAAACAGACAACCCCGGGCGGACGCGGTGGCTCACACCTGTAATCCCAGCACTTTGGGAGGCCGAGGCGGGTGGATCACGAGGTCAGGAGATCGAGACCATCCTGGCTAACATGGTGAAACCCCGTCTCTACTAAAAATACAAAAAATTAGCCGGGCATGGTGGCGGGCGCCTGTGGTCCCAGCTACTCGGGAGGCTGAGGCAGGAGAATGGTGTGAACCCGGGAGGTGGAGCTTGCAGTGAGCCAAGATCACGCTACTGCACTCCGGCCTGGGGGAAAGAGTGAGACTCTGTCTCAAAAAAAAAAAAAAAAAAAAAAAAGACCCCAAGTCTACAGCCCCAGCTACCTCCTTATCTAATTCTCGCCTTTGGAGGCAAGATTCTCCCTGCCCTAAGTCACCCAGGGCCAGGTATCAGGTGACTAGAGACCACTCTGCAGCCCAGAGCCTGCTAGAATTACTCAAACTAGCCAATTTTAAACTCTTTCCCTGCCCTGCCAGGCCTTTTCCATGGAAACCCCAAGAAAGCCTCAGGCCTGGGCTCTCCCCTCGCCCCTGCTTCTGCCTCCTGACCAAACCTGGGGTTCTCTACTGAGAACCGTGCATGGCATGGGTGCCCCTTCTCTCAGGAAATGCGATCAATCTTGCGATGGCTTTGGCCTCTCCTCATGGTCATTCAGCCGTACCTCTGTAAATTAAGCCCCAGGCACAGAACAGTGCCTAGCAAACAGCCACGCTGCTGGCTTAGATCTGTCCAGGTGTGTGTCCCAAAGGTGGCCATCCCCCAAGCCAACTTTGAATTTGTATCAAGGGAGAGTTAGACACGGTTTCTTGCCATTTCTTCCCCTGTGGTCCAGCCACGTAGCGAAAGGCAGGGAAACTAGCAGAGTCTGACCAGGGGCTGTCCCTGATACCCCTGGCCTGGGTCTCGTGTGCCCTCTCTGGTGACTGGCCACAAGGCATGGGCTGCCAGGGCCAGTCAGGCTATTGCGTGGTTCCGCTCCCAAGGCAAAGGGACGCTTTGGGAAGGAGCCACTCCCTGGGAGCAGGCCCAGCACCCAGGAAGCCCACAGTCCAGTAAACAAGGCCCGGGCCCACACGGCTCAGGCCTCTGGGCCACAGTGGCTCCCCTATGGGACCATCCCAACCACCACCAAGCAGAGGGCCAGCCCCAAACCTCTAGCTGGTCCCCAACTCCCCATATTGTGAAGAAGAGTGACTTTTATGGGTTTTTTTTGTTCGTTTTGAGACGGAATCTTGCTCTGTTGCCCAGGCTGGAGTGCAGTGGCATAATCTTGGCTTACCGCAACCTCCGCCTCCCGAGTTCAAGCAATTATCCTGCCTCAGCCTCCCCGAGTAGCTGGGACTACAGGCACCTGCCACCAGGCCCGACTAATTTTTGTATTTTTAGTATAGAGACAGGGTTTTGCCATGTTGCCCAGGCTGGTCTCGAACTCCTATTCACCTGCCTCAGCCTCCCAAAGTGCTGGGATTACAGGTGTGAGCCTCTGTGCCCAGCCGAAGAGTGTCCTTAAAGAAGCATGAGTCAGCCGGGTGCAGTGGTTCACGCCTGTAATCCCAGCACTCTGGGAGGCCGAGGCAGGCGGATCACTTGAGGTCAGGAGTTCGAGACCAGCCTGGCCAACATGGTGAAACTCCATCTCTACTAAAAATACAAAAATTGGCCGGGCACGGTGGCTCACGCCTGTAATCCCGGCACTCTGGGAGGCTGAGGCAGGCGACTCACGAGGTCAGGAGTTCAAGACTAGCCTGGCCAACATAGTGAAACCCCGTCTCTACTAAAAATACAAAAAATTAGCTGAGCACAGTGGCGGGCGCCTGTAATCCCAGCTACTCGGGAGGCTGAGGCAGGAGAATCGCTTGAACCTGGGAGGCGGAGATTGCAGTGAGCCGAGATCACGCCACTGCACTGCAGCCTGGGCAAAAATAAATAAATAAATAAGTAAATAAATAAGCCGAGCATGTTGGCATGCGCCTGTAATCACAGCTACTCAGGAGGCTGAGGCAGGAGAACTTGAACCCAGGAGGCAGAGGTTGCAATGAGCTGAGATCGTGCCACTGCACTTTTTTTTCTGTCTGCAAAAAAAGAAAAAAATAAAAACTAGCTGAGTGTGGTGGCATAGGCCTGTGGTCCCAGCTACTGGGGAGGCTGAGATGGGAGGATTGCTTGAGCTTGGGAGGCAGAGGTTGCATTGAAGAGAAATCGCGCCGCTGCGCTACAGCCTGGGTAACAGAGCGAGACCCTGTCTCCAAAAAAAAAAAAAAAAACAAAAAAACGTTGTTGCTGAATTGGGGGGTGGGGGTAGGTGGAGAGTTGGGTGGAGGCTTGGAGCCCTCGGAGTTTGGGTTTCCCAGAGCCAGGCAAGGCAGTACTCCTAAGAGTGACCACTGTCTACTCTGGATTCATTCTCTTACCTGCTCTCTGGTGCGGGATGTTGAAAATCGGGGAGGCTGTGCATGTGGGGGAGTGGGGAGTATATAGGAAATCTCTGCACCTTCTGCTCAATTTTTCTGTGAATCTAAAACTGCTCCCCCTGCCCCCTCAAACACATGCAGTACAGGAAACACCGCTCTCCATGGCTGCCCTCCTCCCTCCTCCTTCAAGCCACCCTAACCACTACAAAAATGTCAGCTCATGCCAAGCATGTCCTGAAGCTTTTATTGAACACTAGCTGGCTCTCAGCGCTTAAAGAGATAAGCAGGTGCCTGCTGTTTTAAGTATTGATTGCCCTTTTCCCTGTAATCATAAAAGTGACTCCTGCTGATTGCAGAAAATGTATACACACAAACACACAACCAAAACTAGAACCACCCCTTACTCCTCACCCAGGGAAAAGCATGGTTTTGAGTTCTGGGGTGTGCCCTTCTGGTCTGACATGGCTGTTCTAGATAACGGAACGAGAGGCTAAACAAGGTTTGGTGGTGTGGGTTTTTTTTTTGTTTGTTTGTTTTTCGAGACGGAATCTCACTTTGTCTCCCAGGCTGAAGTGCAGTGGCGCGATATTGGCTCACTGCAACCTCCACCTCCCAGGTTCAAGTGATTCGCCTGCCTCAGCCTCCTGAATAGCTGGGATTACAGGCGCCTGCCACCACGCCCGGCTAATATTGTATTTTTAGTAGAGATGGGGTTTCACCATGTTGGCCAGGCTGGTCTCAAACTCCTGACCCTCAGGTGATCCTCCTGCCTCGGCTTCCCAGAGTGCTAGGATTACAGGCCTGAGCCACCGTGCCCGGCCAGTTGCATATCTTAAATAGCATTAAAGCCTCACAGCCACCCTGCGATATGGGTACCATTGTGATACCATTTTCCTGATGGGTAAATTGAGAAACAGAGTGATTATGTGGCTTGCCCAAGGCTTGCAGCTGCAAGAGACCTCCGTCAAGTTGGCTGAGACAGCAGGTGTAGGAAGCCAACGCACATATTCACATATACACACTCGACACACACACAGAACTGCACCATCTCCCTGCTCAAAGACAAGACGGGGAAACATGACAGCCAGGCTCTTGGAATGAAGAAGGTCCCATAGCCAGTGGTTTGAAGCTGAGTTGCCTATAAAGGGTCCAGGACCAGGTATGTCTTAGGGGTGGGAGTCAAAGCCGCAGCTTCACACACAGCAGGAGGTTCTGGAACTGGCCCTCTGCAGACAGCTGGAGCCCAAGATGAGTTGCCCTTTTGTGAAACTAGAGAAACCAGTGCAGCACTCGAACTCTGGGTAAACGGAGTCATATCTAAGAATGTGGAGTCGGGGGCCTGCGCTACACCTGGGCCACCCACATGGGACAGAAACTCCAAGCTAACAAACTGACATAAAAATGGTTCAGACCAGGCATGGTGGCGCACACCTGTAATCCCAGCATTTTGGGAGGCTGAGGTGGGAGGATTGCTTGAGGCCAAGAGTTCAAGACCAGCCTGGGCAACATAGTGAGACCCTGTCTTTCTTTTTTTTGAGATGGAGTGTCACTGTGTCACCGAGGCTGGAGTGCAGTGGTGCAATCTCAGCTCACTGCAACCTCCGCCTCCCGGGTTCAAGCGATTCTCCTGCCTCAGACTCCCAAGTAGCTGGGATTACAGGCATGCTCTACCATGCCCGGCTAAGTTTTGTATTTTTAGTAGAGACAGGGTTTTGACATGTTGGCCAGGTTGGTCTCAAACTCCTGACCTCAGGTGATCTGCCCACCTCGGCCTCCCAAAGTGGTGGGATTACAGGTGTGAGCTACCGTGCCTGGCCAGCAAAACAAAACAAAACAAAAAACAAACAAACAAACAAAAAACCAGCTAGGTGTGGTGGTGGTGGCACATACTTATAGTCCCAGTTACTAGGGAGGCTGAGGTGGGAGGGTTGCTCAAGCCCAGGAGTTCAAGGCTGCAGTGAGCTATGATGGCATCACTGCACTCCAACCTGGGTGACAGAGACTCTGTCTTAAGAAAAGAAAAATAGGCCAGCCACAACTGGTGCACACATAGGAACCCCTCACAGAGACAAATGCGAAACTCTGATATTCCAGGGCACCAACATGGCACGTGCAGGATGCTTTTAGAAGACAATGCCTGCTGAAGATGAACTCACAGACAAAAATTACAAAGAGGGGGAAATCTGCCCCCTTGTAGAACAGTCAACAGGTGTCGACTAGTGATGAAATCACATCTGAGAAGATACAAATGATTCCATTTGAAAAGGACTTAAAAATAAGTCTGTTGGTCAGGCATGGTGGCTCATGCCTGTAATCCCAGCAGTTTGGGAGGCTGAGGTGGGTGGACCACTTGAGGTCAGCAGTTTGAGACCAGCCTGGCCAACATGGTGAAACCTCGTCTCTTCTGAAACACCAAAAATTAGCTGAGTGTCATGGCACATGCCTGTAATCCCAGCTACTCGGGGGTTTAGGCTAGAGAATCGCTTGAACCCAGGACGTGGAGATTGCAGTGAGCCGAGATCACACCACTGCACTCCAGCCTGGGCAACAAGAGTGAAACTCCATCTCAAAAAAACAACAACAAAAACAAAACAAAACAAAACAACAACAACAAAATATATATATACACACACATATATAGTCTATTAAAGTGTTTGAAGACCTGACAGCTAAATGCAACACGTAATCCTAGGATAGCAACAAATATGCTAGGAAAGAAAAGACATTCTTGAGTAATTTGACAAAATGGTAATACAGACAGTAGATTAGAGCAGTGGTCCCCAGGCTTTTTGGCACCAGGGACATGGAAGACAACTTTTCCACAGACTGGGTAGGGGGTGGGGGTGGGGGTGGGGGGCGGTTCTGGGATGATTCAAGTGTATTACATTTATTGTGCACTTTATTTATGTTATGATTACATTGGCATATATAATGAAATAATTATACAACTCACCTTGATGTAGAATCAGTGAGAGCCCTGAGTTTGTTTTCCTGCAACTGGGTGGTCCCATCTGGGGGTGATGAGAGACAATGACAGATCATCAGGCATTAGATTTTCTTAAGGAGCACGCAAGCCAGATCCGTCACATGCGCAGTTCACAACAGGGTTCACGGTCCTGTGAGAATCTAATGCTGCTGCTGAACTGCACATGTATTTATAGGAGACAGAGCTCGGGCAGTAACATGAGTGATGGGGACCTGCTGTAAATACAGGCAAAGCTTCACTCTCTTGCCCGCCACTCACCGCCTGCTATGCAGACCAGGGTTCGGGTCCGTGGCATCTAAAGGGTTGGTGACCCTTGGATTAGAGTGTATCTTATTGCACCAGTGTTCACGTCACTGAATTCGATAACCGTGCTGAGGTTATGTAAGAAAATATCCTTATTTTTAGGAAATGCACACAGTTATTTAGCGGTAAATCACCATGATATATGCTATTTATTCTCAAATATTCAGAAAAAAATTAAGTATATGTGCACGCATGTGTGCGTCTGTGTCTGTGTATGAACAGAGAGCATACAAATACCAAGCAAAGAGTGCAAAATGTGAGCCGCTGAGGGGTCTGTGCAAGGGCTACGGGGCGATGATGAGTCCGCTCCTGCCGCCGTCACAAAGTGCTACGGGCCGAGTGGCTTTGACAACAGAAATCTGTTTCCTCAGGGGCCGGGCACGGTGGCTCACGCCTGTAATCCCAGCAGTTTGGGAGGCCGAGGTGGGCGGATCATGAGGTCAGGAGATAGAGACCATCCTGGCTAACACGGTGAAAACCCGTCTCTACTAAAAATATAAAAAATTAGCCGGGCGTGGTGGTGGGCGCCTGTAGTCCCAGCTACTCGGGAGGCTGAGGCAGGAGAATGGTGTGAACCCGGGAGGTGGAGCTTGCAGTGAGCCGAGATCGCGCCACTGCACTCCAGCCTGGGTGACAGAGTGAGACTCCGTCTCAAAAAAGAAATGTATTTCCTCCCTGTTCTGCAGGTTAGAAGTCCAACGTCAAGGTGCAGGGTTGGTTTCCACGGAAGACGGCTGCTCCTCCCTCACTGACTCTTCATGCGGTTGTCACTGTGTCCGCACACCCCTGGGGTCTCTTCCCTCTTCAGCTTTTTTTTTTTTTTTTGAGACGGGGTCTCGCTCTGCCGCCAAGGCTAGAATGCAATGGCGTGATCTCGGCTCACTGCAACCTCCGCCTCCCAGGTTCAAGCGATTCTTCTGCCTCAGCCTCCCGAATAGCTGGGATTACAGGCACCCGCCATCACGCCCGGGGTTTCACCATGTTGGCCAGGCTGGTCTTGAACTCCTGACCTCAGGTGATCCGCCCGCCTCGGCCTCCCAAAGTGCTGGGATTACAGGCATGAGCCACTGTGCCCAGCCCCTTCCTCTTGTTTTTTTTTTTTTTTTTTTTTTTTTGAGACGGAGTCTTGCTCTGTCACCCAGGCTGGAGTGCAGTGGCACAATCTCGGCTCACTGCAACCCCTGCCACCTGGGTTCAAGCGATTCTCCTGCCTCAGCCTCCCGAGTAGCTGGGATTACAGGTGTGCACCACCACGCCTGGCTAATTTTTCTATTTTTAGTAGAGACAGGGTTTCGCTATGTTGCTCAGGTTGGTCTCAAACTCCTGACCTCAGGTAATCTGCCTGCCTCAGCCTCCCAAAGTGTTGGGATTACAGGCGTGAGCCACCGCGCCTGGCCTCTTCCTCTTCTTATAAGGACACCAGTCCTATTCAATTAGGATCCACGCTTATGAGCTCACTTAGCTTTCATCACCTCTGCAGAGGCTCTGTCTCCAAATACAGTCACACACTGAGGCACTGGGGGTTAGGACTTCAACATACGAACATGGCAGGGGACACAATATAGCCCATAACACACCAGGTGACATGGCTCTTCTTTCTACTATTCTTGCAACTTTTTCTATGAGTTTGAAATAATTAATAGAAGCCATTTGAGGAGAAAGCAAAGCAAAAAAACATTAAAGTTGTAGATTTTCATTTTATTTCTATATTTATTTTATGTTTTTAGAGACAGGATCTTGCCCTGTCACCCAGGCTGGAGTGCAGTGGCACGATCATAGCTCATTGCTAACCTCAATTTCCTGGGCTCAAGTGATCCTCCTGCCTCAGCTTCCTGAGTATCTGAGACCGCAGGTGGGTGCCACCACACCTGGCTCATTTTTAAATTTACTTTAGAGAAAGGGCCTTTCTATGTTGCCCAGGCTGGTCTTGAACTCCTGGCCTCAAGCAATCCTCCTGCCTCAGCCTCCCAAGTTGCTGGGATTAAAAATGTTAGCCACTGTGTCTGGCAAAAATTGTAGACTTTTTTAAAGAACCAAGTGAAAATTCTAATCATAAAAAATAAAGACATCAAAATGTTTTGTAGGGGCCTGTTGCAGTGGCTCATGCCTGTAATCCCAGGACTTTAGGAGGCTAGGCAGGCGGATCACTTGGGGCCAGGAGTTAAAGAGTAGGCTGGCCAGCCAGGCACTCATGCTTATAATCCCAGCACTTTGGGAGTCTGAGGCAGGCGGATCATCTGAGGTCAGGATTTCGAGACCAGCCTGGCCAACATGGCAAAACTCCATCTCTACAAAAAATACAATAATTAGCCAGGTGTGGTGGCAGACACCTGTAATCCCAGCTACTCGGGAGGCTGATGCAGGAGAATTGCTTGAACCCAGGAGGCAGAGGTTGCAGTGAGCTTAGATCATGCCACTGTATTCCAGCCTGGGTGACACAGCTAGACTCTGTCTCAATAAAAAAAAAAAAAAACATCTTTTGTAGAGGCTGGATGCAATAGCTCATACCTGTAATCCCAGCACTTTGAGTAGCCAAGGTGGGTGGATCACTGCAGCCCAGGAGTCAAGACCAGCCTGGGTAACATAGGCACCAAGCCCATCTCTAGTTATTCCTGGTGGTGCTCACCTTGACCACCTGGCTCCAGTGCCGTCGGCCAGGATTCTTGGCTGTAAACTCTCGGATTCACACGAGTGCTGAATTCTGCACATGTGTGGTCCTGAAAGTGAGTAACCCTTACATTTTGCATCTCAGGACCTCACTGGCCTCACCATAGCCCTAGTCATGCTCTTTTCTATTTGTTCTATCTGTGCTTGAATTGATGTTTCCTCTTTTTCTAATTCCTCATGGGTTAATTGAAAATTGTTTATGGTTCCATTTATCTCCTCTATTACATTATTGTTGAGATCTTTTCAATAAAAATCTAGTGATTGCCCTAGGGTTTATGACATATGTATTTAATTAATCTGTTTATCTTCAAATAATGTTATATTGCTGGTGCATAGTGTAATAGCTTTACAGCAGTGCAGCGCCAACCCCTCCCATCACTTGTTCTATTGTGTCACATAATTAATGAATTAATTAATTTTTTGAACAGGGTCCCACTCTGTCTCCCAGGCTGGAATGCAGTGGCTCAATGCGATCTCAGCTCACTGCAGCCTCTGCCTCCCATGCTCAGGTGATCCTCCTACCTCAGCCTCCTAAGTAGCTGGGACTATAGGCACACACCACCATGCCCAGCTAGTTTTTGTATTTTTTGTAGAGACAGGGTTTTGCCATGTTGCCCAGACTGGTCTTGAACTCCTGAGTTCAAGGAATCCACCCGCCTCCGCCTCCCAAAGTGTTGGGATTACAGGCATGAGCCACTGTGCCTAGCCTGATTTATTTTTTAGTATGCTATAAACACAAATAAATTCCTACTATTTTTGCTTTAGCGTTTTTTTGTTTTCCTTTTTTTTTTTTTGAGATGGAGTTTTGCTCTGTCACCCAGGCTGGAGTACAGTGGCATGATCTCAGCTCACTGCAACCTCTGCCTCCTGGGTTTGAGCAATTCTCCTGCCTCAGCCTCCCAAGTAGCTGGGATTACAGGCACCCACCACCATGCCTGTATTTTATTTATTTATTTATTTTTAGAAGAGATGGGGTTTCACCATGTTGGCCAGGCTGGTTTTGAACTCCCAACCTCAAGTGATCTGCTTACCTTGAGCTCCCAAAGTGCTGCAGTTACAGGCATGAGCCACGCACCTGGCCTTTGCTTTAGTTTTTTTATTTCTTCTGCCTGAATGAACTTCCTCTGTTGTTTTTGTTTGTTTTGGATGAGAAATTATTTTTCTTTTTTTTTTTTTTTTTTTGATATGGAGTCTCGCTCTGTCGCCCAGGCTGGAGTGCAGTGGCACAATCTCGGCTCACTGCAAGCTCCACCTCCCGGGTTCACGCCATTCTCCTGCCTCAGCCTCCCGAGTAGCTGGGACCATAGGCACCCGCCACCACACCCGGCTAATTTTTTGTATTTTTAGTAGAGACGGGGTTTCACCGTGTTAGCCAGGATGGTCTTGATCTCTTGACCTCGTGATCCGCCCACCTCTGCCTCCCAAACTGCTGGGATTACAGGCGTGAGCCACCGCACCCGGCCTATTTTTCTTTTTAAAAAAGAATTGTAATAGACTTTATCTTTTTAGAGCAGTTTTAGGTTCACAGAAAAATTGAACTGAAGGTGCAAAGATTTTCCCATATACTCCCTACCCTCACATTCACAGTCTCCCTCATTTTCAACACCCCACACCAGAGTGGTACATTTGTTGCAATCAGTGAACCTATATGGACACACCATTATCACCAGTGTCCATCGCTACATTAGAGCTCACTCTTGCTGTACATTCTATGCATTTGGAAAAATTTATAATAACATGTATTCACCATGATATTATTATTGTTTTTGAGACGGAGTCTCACTCTGTTGCCCAGGCTGGAGTGTGGTGGCATGATCTCGTCTCACTGCAACCTCCACCTCCAGGATTCAAGCAATTCTCCTGCCTCAGCCTCCTAAGTAGCTGGAATTACAGGCACCTGCCACCACGTCTGGCTAATTTTTGTATTTTTGGTAGAGATGGGGTTTTGCCATGTTGACCAGGCTGGTCTCAAACTCCTGACCTCAAATGATCCGCCCACCTCGGCCTCCCAAAGTGCTGGGATTACAGGTATGAGCCACTGCACCCAGCCTATAGTATTATACAGAGTAGTTTCACTGCCCTAAAAATCCTTTCTGCTATTCATCTCTTCCTCTCCCTAACCACTGTTCACCATTGATCTTCCATAGTTTTCCTTTTTCCAGAACATCATCTAGTTGAAATCATACAATATGTAGCCTTTTCAGATTGGCTTCTTTCACTTAGCAATATTCATTTAAGGTCCTTTCATGTCTTTTCATGGCTTGATATTGCAAATTTAAAATGTTTTTGTTTTATTTTTAAAGAGGTTTTTTTTTTTGAGACGGAGTCTTGCTGTCGCCCAGGCTGGAGTGCAGTGGCGCGATCTCGGCTCACTGCAGGCTCCACCCCCAGGGGATCACGCCATTCTCCTGCCTCAGCCTCCCGCATAGCTGGGATTACAGGCGCCCGCCACCTCGCCTGGCTAATTTTTTGTATTTTTAGTAGAGATGGGGTTTCACCGTGTTAGCCAGGATGGTCTCGATCTCCTGACCTCATGATCCACCCGCCTCGGCCTCCCAAAGTGCTGGGATTACAGGCGTGAGCCACCGCACCCGGCCTAAAGAGGTTTTTTTAAATCTTGTTTTTTAATGAATTTTTACTGGGTATAGAATTCTGAGTTGACAGTTTTTTTTTTGTTTTTGTTTTTTCGTCAGTTCAAATACATCACTCATTGTATTCTGGCTAGCATAGTTTCAAACGAGATGTCTGCTGTAATTCTTCTCTTTTTCCTTTTTCTTTCTTTTGTTTTTGAGACACAGTCTTGCTCTGTCACCCAGGCCGGAGTGTAGTGGTGTGATAACAGTTCACTGCAGCCTTGACTTCCCCAGTTCAAGTAATCTTCCCACCTCAGCCTCCTGCCTAGCTGGGACCCACAGGCACACCACCACATCTGGCTAATTTTTTTTTTTTTTAACTTTTTGTAGAGATGTGGTCTCACTATGTGGTCCAGGCTGGTCTTGAACTCCTGGACTCAAGCAATTATCTTGCCTCAGCCTCCCAAAGTGCTGAGATTGCTATGTTGATGGTTGTGCCATCACACTTGGCCTCAATATTTCCATTGATAATTCCATTTCACTCTGATTCTTGACCTGGTGGATAAAACTGACTGTTTCCTATGGACATTTACAGAATCTTTCTTTGCTGCTAGAATCTTGCAATTTCACAATCACGTCCCTTTGGAGGGTATTCTCCCCAGTATGTTGGGCCCTCAGTGACCTCTTTCCATCTGAACACTTGTGTCCTTTAGTTCTGGGAAATTTTCTTGAATTCTTTTTTTTTTTTTTTTTTTTGAGACAGAGTCTTGCTGTGTCACCCAAGCTGGAATGCAGTGGCATGGTCTCAGCTCACTGCAACCTCTGCCTCCTGGGTTCAAGCAGTTCTCATGCTTCAGTCAACCAAGTAGCTGGGATTACAAGTGTGTGTCACCACACCTGGTTAATATTTGTATTTTTTGTAGAGACAGGGTTTTGTCATGTTGGCCAGACTGATCTTGAACTCTTGGGCTCAAGCAATACACCCACCTTGGCCTCCCAAAGTACTGAGATTACAGGCGTGAGCCACCATGCTGGGCCTCTTGTCAGCTTGGATGGGGGTCATGTCCCACCAGAGTAGTTTTACATTTGCTTTGGACCAGAGCTCTTTCCTAGAGCCAATTTTGTTTTAATGACAATTTTAGTGTAGGGGCATCTAGACTAGCAGATAGGCTGAATTTGAAGCCCATATTCATGTGAGGAACAGGCCCAGGGCTACAACTCCCAGGAAGATTTTTATTTCCAGAATCCAGGCTGGGTCACACCAGCTTCCTTGTCACCCTTTTGGGCCACAGGCAGATTTTGTTTTCTGTTCATTTCTCTTCATCCCAACTCCCTGCTTCCCAGACCCAAGGCTTCACCTCCTGTCCACATCTGGATGGAAAAATCAAGCCCTAGACTCTGAGACCAAAGCCCCCAGGGCTGCTGCATACTTCCTGGGCATATCTGTCCCTCCCTCTTCATTGCTGGTCCCTGAGGATTCTCTTGGCTACGTGGGAGCTCAGCTATGAACATACAAGGCTGCCTGGCATGCTGGTGTCCTGTCTCTAGCATTTCCACGTGGTTGGATTGGGACCTGCCTCAGATTCTCCAGTCTGGCACATTTCAGAGAACAGAAGTCCCACACAAATGATTTTTAAAAGTCAAGATATTTCGTCCGGGAGCAGTGGCTCACGCCTGTAATTCCGGCACTTTGGGAGGCCAAGGCGGGCGGATCACGAGGTCAGGAGATCGAGACCATCCTGGATAACATGGTGAAACCCTGTCTCTACTAAAAATACAAAAAAAAAAAAAAAAAAAAAAATTAGCCAGGTGTGGTGGCGGGGCCTGTGATCCCAGTTACTCGGGAGGCTGAGGCAAGAGAATCGCTTGAACTCGGGAGGCAGAGGTTTCAGTGAGCTGAGATGGCGCCACTGAACTCCAGCCTGGGCAAAAGAGGGAGACTCTGCCTTAAAACAAAACAAAAACAGAAAAGAGAGATTTCACATAAAAACCTACGTTTCTGGCTTCTGTTGCTGGAAAATTAAAAGAAAGCTAGAGACACCATGACTCTCGTCTGTGCAGCTCACATCCGTCCGGCTGTGGTGTCCAGTTGCCCAGGTCCCCACCACTCCTCTTTGTCTCATGCTGACTCGCTGGCCTTGCGGGCACTCTCGTGTGCCACCCTGCCTTCTCTAGTCCGGCGTGGCTGACTCGCCCTCCTACCCCAACCCCTCCAGCCCTGCACAGCGCCGCGGAGTCTCCACCGAGCCCGTCCTACCCAGGCAGGCAGGGAGGCAGGTCCGGCCGAGCGCAGGGCGCCAGGGAGCGACTGTTGTTGACCCAGCCTTGGGCAAACAAGGCGGTCAATTATTAACCGGCCGCACGGCAGGCACCAGGAAACCTGAGCCCGCGGCGCAAGCGGAGCCGGCCCGACGGCAGGCGCCGGGCCAGGGAGCCGCGCAGCCCTTGCAGCCGCCGCGGGCTCGGACCATGGAGGCAGGAGCTGGAGGGGCAGGTGCCGGAGGGGCAGGTGCTGGTGGGACAGGTACTGGCGGGGCAGGTACTGGCGGGGCAGGTACTGGCGAGGCAGGTACTGGAGGGGCAGGTACTGGCGGGGCAGGTGCTGGCGGGGCAGGTGCTGGCGGAGCGGGTGCTGGAGGGGGTGTAAGGGGTAGATACCAGAGGGTCGGCTGCTGGAGGGGCAGGTGCTGGTGGGGCGGGTGCTGGAGGGGGTTTAGCGGGTAGATAACTGCGGGCCATGTTCTGGAGGGTCAGGGATCGGCAGGGCGGGCCCAGGCCCGGGGCTGTGGTGCCCCGGAGGCCGGCGGTAGCAAGATGGGGGAGAATGCCCGGCCCAGGACACCCCATCCGGAGCCAGGGTGGGGAGAGCCAGGAAGCTGCTGTGGAAAGTTCAGGAGCTCTGGGGGCGCCCCTGCGGGCAAGCCAGGGAGGGGGCAGCGGCGGTTCATTCTCTGAGCATTTTGCCCACTCCCGCCCCGTGTCCCGCCTCTGGCAGCTCAGCTCACCGCCCCGGCCAGGCTGAAGTCCTTGCAGCAGGGGAGTGGGCGACCCTGGCCAGGGCGGGGTGGAGACAGAGCCTGCAGTAGGGAGCACGACCTGGGAAGAGACCCCACGGGCTAATTCGGGGACGGAGAGCTGGAGACAGGGACCGAGAGAGGTGGGGTGGGGGCAGAGCTGGAGAGAGGCGCGGACGCGGGTGGGATCCGGCCAAGGCTGCGACCAACTCGACGTCGCCCACCCCCAGGCGTCAGGCGCTGGAAGGGGCGGGGGGCAAGGAACCGAGACCTCGTCCTTGCCCTGGGGAGTCTCTGGCTGGCTGGAAGCAGTGGGGCGGTGGCAGTGGGACCCCTGCAGAGTCTCGCGCACTCCCCGCCCCCTCATCCCCCAGCGCGACTGATCTTGAGAGCCCGGGGATGGGGCGCACCAGTCCCATCTGCAAGCAGCTCCGGGAGATGCTGGAGCGCTGGCCCCTCCCCGCCGCCCCGCCCTCCAGGACTCCCCCCCAGACCCTCAAGCACTTGCCCAGCGGGGAGCCCGGACCCCCCTTCCCAGCTGGAATGCCTGGCGGAGGCTCCGGTGTCAAGAGCCTGAGAACCTGAGAACCCACCCGAGGCCCCCGCCAGGCAGCGCCGCCAGCAGATTTATTTACTCTGGGGCCCTATCTCCGCGCCATCGGGCCAGATATTTGCCCTGGCGGGATCCAGGGAAACTGCGGTTTTTGTTATGATAGCTGGGGCAGGGACACCATCCCGGAGAGACCTGTTTAGAGTGGAGAGCTGACTCGCTGAGACCCACGTTTCTTGCTGGGAGTCTCGGTTCCCTCATTAGTAAAATGGGGAGCATAAAAACAAAAGCGCGCCCGAGATGACGCGGGTTACGAAGCAAAAGCTCTCAGAGCAGAGCCTGGCCTCCTGTTCGCTTTTTTTTTTTTTTTTTTTTTTTTGAGACTGAGTCTCGTTCTATTGCCCAGGCTGGAGTGCAGTGGCACAATCTCGGCTCACTGCAACCTCCTTTTCCCAGGTTCAAGGGATTCTCCCTCCCAAGTAGCTAGGATTACAGGCGCCCAATGTCAGGCCTCCGAGCCAAAGCTAAGCCATCATATCCCCTGTGAACTGCATGTACACATCCAGATGGCGGGTTCCTGCCTTAACTGATGACATTCCACCACAAAAGAAGTGGAAATGGCCTGTTCCTGCCTTAACTGATGACATTACCTTGTGAAATTCCTTCTCCTGGCTCATCCTGGCTCAAAAGCTCCCTCACTGAGCACCTTGTGACTCCCACCCCTGCCCACCAGAAAAGAACCCCCTTTGACTGTAATTTTCCTTTACCTACGCAAATCCTATAAAACGGCCCCACCCCATGTCCCTTCGCTGACTCTTTTCGGACTCAGCCTACCTGCACCCAGGTGATTCAAAAGCTTTATTGCTCACACAAAGCCTGTTTGGTGGTCTCTTCACACGGACGCGAGTGAAATTTGGTGCCGTGACTCAGATCGGGGGACCTCCCTTGGGAGATCAATCCCCTGTCCTCCTGCTCTTTGCTCCGTGAGAAAGATCCACCTACGACCTCGGGTCCTCAGACCAACCAGCCCAAGGAACATCTCACCAATTTTAAATCCAGTAAGCGGCCTCTCTTTACTCTCTTCTCCAACCTCCCTCACTATCCCTCAACCTCGTTCTCCTTTCAGTCTTGGTGCCACACTTCAATCTCTCCCTTCTCTTAATTTCAGTTCCTTTCCTTTTCTGGTAGAGACAAAGGAGATGCGTTTTATCTGTGGACCCAAAACTCTGGCACCGGTCACGGACTTGGGAAGACCGTCTTCCCTTGGTGTTTAATCATTGCGGGGACTCCTGCCTGATTATACACCCACAATCCATTGGTATCTGATCTCCGTGGGGACGCCTGCCTTGGTCATTCACCCACATTCCCTTGGTGGCAAGTCAATTGCGGGGATGCCTGCTTTGGCTGCTCACCCACATTGCAGCCAGGGCTGCTCACCCAACCCATTCTCTCTGTGTCTCTACCCTCTCTTCTCTCCACTTTCCTGGGGGGACAAGCATCCCCCACCCCTTCTCCACTTTCCTGGGGGGCAAGCATCCCCCACCCCTTCTCTCCGTATCTCTACCCTTCTTTTTAAACTTGTCTCCTTCACTATGGGCAACCTTCCACCCTCTATTCCTCCTTCTTCTCCCTTAGCCTGTGTTCTCAAGAACTTAAAACCTCTTTAACTCTCGCCTGACCTAAAATCTAAGTGTCTTATTTTCTTCTGCAACACCGCTTGACCCCAATACAAACTCGACAGTGGTTCCAAATAGCCAGAACACGGCACTTTCGATTTTTCCATCCTACAAAATCTAGATAATTCTTGTCGTAAAATGGGCAACCGGTCTGAGGTGCCTGACATCCAGGCATTCTTTTACACATCGGTCCCTCCCTAGTCTCTGTTCCCAATGCAACTTGTCCCAAATCTTCCTTCTTTCCTTCCCGCCTGTCCCCTCAGTCCCAACCCCAAGCGTCACTGAGTCTTTTGAATCTTCCTTTTCTACAGACCCATCTGACCTCTCCCCTCCTCCCCAGGCTGCTCTGCGCCAGGCTGAGCTAGGTCCGAATTCTTCCTCAGCCTCCATTTCCCCACCCTATAATCCTTTTATCACCTTCCCTCCTCACACCCGGTCTGGCTTACAGTTTAATTCTGCGACTAGCCCTCCCCCACCTGCCCAGCAATTTCCTCTTAAAAAGGTGGCTGGAGCTAAAGGCATAGTCAAGGTTAATGCTCCCTTTTCTTTATCCGACCTCTCCCAAATCAGTTAGTGTTTAGGCTCTTTTTCATCAAATATGAAAAAGCCAGCCCAGTTCATGGCTGTTTGGCAGCAACTGTGAGATGCTTTACAGCCCTAGACCCTAAAAGGTCAAAAGGCCATCTTATTCTCAATATACATTTTATTACCCAATCCGCTCCCGACATTAAATAAACCCCCCAAATTAAATTCCGGCCCTCAAACCCCACAACAGGACTTAATTAACCTTGCCTTCAAGGTGTACAATAATAGAGTAGAGGCAGCCAAGTAGCAGTGTATTTCCGAGTTGCAATTCCTTGCCTCCACTGTGAGATAAACCCCAACCACATCTCCAGGACACAAGAACTTCAAACGCCTGAACCGCAGCTGCCAGGCATTCCTCCAGAACCTCTTCCCCCAGGAGCTTGCTACGAGTGTTGGAAATCTGGCCACTGGGCCGAGGAATGCCCCCAGCCCGGGATTCCTCCTAAGCCATGTCCCATCTGTGCGGGACCCCACTGAAAATTGGACTGTTCAACTCACCTGGCAGCCACTCCCAGAGCCCCTGGAACTCTGGCCCAAGGCTGTCTCACTGACTCCTTCCCAGATCTTCTTGGCTTAGTGGCTGAAGACTCACGCTGCCCGATCGCCTCAGAAGCCCCCTAGACCATCACGGATGCTGAGCTTCGGGTAACTCTCACAGTGGAGGGTAAGTCCGTCCCCTTCTTAATCAATACGGAGGCTACCCACTCCACATTACCTTCAAGGGCCTGTTTCCTTTGCCTCCATAACTGTTGTAGGTATTGACAGCCAGGCTTCTAAACCTCTTAAAACTCCCCAACTCTGCCAACTTGGACAACATTCTTTTATGCACTCTTTTTTAGTTATCCCCACATGCCCAGTTCCCTTATTAGGCCGAGACATTTTAACCAAATTATCTGCATTTCAACTAAATTATCTGCTTCCCTGACTATTCCTGGACTACAGCCACATCTCATTGCCGCCCTTCTTCCCAACCCAAAGCCTCCTTTGTGTCTCCCTCTTGTATCTCCCCACCTTAATCCACAAGTATATCATGCACCCCTTACCATCCTATTAAAACTTAATCACCCTTACCCTGCTCAATGCCAATATCCCATCCCACAGCACGCTTTAAAAGGATTAAAGCCTGTTATCACTCGCCTGCTACAGCATGGGCTTCTAAAGCCTACAAACTCCCCTTACAATTCCCCCATTTTACCTGTCCGAAAACCAGGCAAGCCTCACAGGCTAGTTCAGGATCTGCGCCTTATCATCCAAATTGTTTTGTCTATCCACCCCGTGATGCCAAACCCATATACTCTCCTATCCTCAATACCTCCCTCCACAACCCATTATTCTGTTCTGGATCTCAAACATGCTTTCTTTACTATTCCTTTGCACCCTTCATCCCAGCCTCTCTTTGCTTTCACTTGGACTGACCCTGACACCCATCAGGCTCAGCAAATTACGTGCGCTGTACTGCCACAAGGCTTCACAGACAGCCCCCATTACTTCAGTCAAGCCCAAATTTCTTCCTCATCTGTTACCTATCTCGGCATAATTCTCATGAAAACACACGTGCTCTCTCCCTGCTGATCGTGTGCAGCTAATCTCCCAAACCCCAATCCCTTCTATAAAACAACAACTCCTTTCCTTCCTAGGCATGGTCAGTGCAGTCAGAATTCTTATGCAAGAGTCGGGACTGCGCCCCGTAGCCTTTCTGTCCAAACAACTTGACCTTACTGTTTTAGCTTATCCCTCATGTCTGCGTGCAGCAGCTGCCGCTGCTTTAATACTTTTAGAGGCCCTCAGAATAACAAACTATGCTCAACTCCCTCTCTAATCTTTTCTGGCAGGGCTATGCTGAACCTCCTTGGGCACTCAATTCTGTCCTGGGTCCTCCCAATTCTTAGTCATTTAATACCTGTTTTTTTTCTTCTCTTATTCGGACCTTGTGTCTTCCGTTTAGTTTTTCTTTTTCTTTTCTTTTTCTTTTTTTTTTTTTTTTTTTTTGAGACAGAGTCTCACTGTGTTTCCCAGGCTGGAGTGCAGTGGCGCGATCTCGGCTCACTGCAAGCTCTGCCTCCCGGGTTCACGCCATTCTTCTGCCTCAGCCTCCCGAGTAGCTGGGACTACAGGCACCCGCCACCATGCTCCGCTAATTTTTTGTATTTTTAGTAGAGACGGGGTTACACCGTGTTAGCCAGGATGGTCTCAATCTCCTGACCTCATGATCCACCCGCTTCAGCCTCCCAAAATGCTGGGATTACGGGTGTGAGCCACCGCGCCCGACCTGCGTTTAGTTTTTCAATTCATACAAAACCGCATCCAGGCCATCACCAATCATTCTATACGACAAATGCTCCTTCTAACAACCCCACAATATCACCTCTTACCACAAAATCTTCCTTCAGCTTAATCTCTCCCACTCTAGGTTCCCACGCCGCCCCTAATCTCGCTTGAAGCAGCCCTGAGAAACATCGCCCATTATCTCTCCATACCACCCCCAAAAAATTTTCGCTGCCCCAACACTTCAACATTATTTTGTTTTATTTTTCTAATTAATATAAGAAGACAGGAATGTCAGGCCTCTGAGCCAAAGCTAAGCCATCATATCCCCTGTGACCTGCATGTACACATCCAGGTGGCCGGTTCCTGCCTTAACTGATGACATTCCACCACAAAAGAAGTGAAAATGGCCTGTTCCTGCCTTAACTGATGACATTACCTTGTGAAATTCCTTCTCCTGGCTCATCCTGGCTCAAAAGCTCCCCCACTGAGCACCTTGTGACCCCCACTCCTGCCCACCAGAGAACAACCCCCTTTGACTGTAATTTTCCTTTACCTACGCAAATCCTATAAGACGGCCCACCCCATCTCCCTTCGCTGACTCTCTTTTTGGACTCAGCCTGCCTGCACCCAGGTGATTCAAAAGCTTTATTGCTCACACAAAGCCTGTTTGGTGGTCTCTTCACACGGACACGAGTGAAACCCGCCACCACACCTGGCTAATTTTTGTATTTTTAGTAGAGACGAGGTGTCACTGTGTTGGCCAGGCTGGTCTGGAACTCCTGACCTCAACTGACCCACCCGCCTCGGCCTCCCAAACTGCTGGGATTACCGGAGTGAGCCACCGCATCCAGCCATGTTCGCCTCTCTAAAAATGATTATTACTGTGATTTATCTTCACTTTACAGATGAGGAAATGGAGGCATGGAAAGTTTGTCACATGCCACTTCCCCCTTTTAGAGAGGACAAGGTCTCACTCTGTAGTCCAGGCTGGAGTGCAGTGGTTCAATCACAGCTCACTGCCCCCTCCTGTGAGGAGGCCACAATGTCTGGCCAAGTGTGTTTACCTTGACCTCATGGAGCATGGTTATAATGGCTGCTTTTTCTGAAAATTCCAATATCAGGTCATCTCAGGGTTGGCATCTGCTGAGTGTCTTTTCCTTTGAGCATTGGTCACTGTATGGCGAACAGTCTTGGATTGTGTCCTGGACATTGTGAATAGTATGTTGTGTAGATTCTTGGTCCTGTTACAATTCCCTGGAGAAGGTGGGTTTGTTTGGTTTCAGGAGGCAGTCAGCCTGCGTAGTTTCAGGCCAGAAGTTCTGTTTCACCTTCTATGAGTGGCATTTCCAAACTTGGGTCAGTTTTCAGAGTTTTTTTTTAGGCTGGTCTGGGTTTGTCTCCTGCACATGCAGTTTGGGGGGGAGCCCAACCTCTAAGGTTTTTTTTTTTTTGAGACGGAGTCTCACTCTGTAGCCCAAGCTGTAGTGCAGCGGTGTGATCTCGGCTCACTGCAACCTTCACCTCTGGGGCTTGAGCAATTCTCCTGCCTCAGCCTCCCAAGTAGCCGGGACTAGACACTTGTGCTGCCACACCTGGTTAATTTTTTTTTTTTTTTTTTTGTATTTTTAGCGAGACGGGGTTTCATCATGTTGCCCTGGGTGGTCTCGAACTGCTGAGCTCAGATGATCCACCTGCCTCGGCCTCCCAAAGTGCTGGGATTATAGGCGTGAGCCATTGTGCCTGGCCATTCTCTAAGTTTTGACTCCACTCCGCAACCTCCCTGCTTTTGTTTGTCTTTCAGTGACCTCAGATGCTTCCTTTTTGTATTTTGTCTAGACTTTTCAGTTGTCATCAGCTGGAAAGACATGCTTTTAAAAAATGGTGCTAAATATGTATAACATACGATTTACCACTTGAACCACTTCTAAGTGTGCGATTCAGTGGCATTAAGAACACTCACATTGTTGTGCAGGCATCACCACTATCCATCTCTGGGACGCTTTCTCATCTTCCCAAACAGAAACTCTACACCCTTGAAACACTAACTCCCCAGCCCCAGCCCCTGTTAACCTGGAGAGAAAGGTTTTTAAAGCTTCTGCTTACAAAATGTTTGTCAATGTGCCATTGTGCAAAGCACGTCACATGGTCAAGCCCAGATCCAAGGGGTGGAGAAACAGAGGGAACATCACAGGTAAAGGTGTGGAGGTATAAACAGCGTGGCAGGTGTATGGGGTGCAGGGGCCATGAGTGAGCCCCTAGCTGCTGGGAGGGGGTTGAGGCAGGACACGCCCAGGGGCTCATCATTCCCTGCCATTGGGATCACTCTGGCAAGGATCCCTGCCTCCACCCGTGGGGGACTTCAGGAAGGGTCCTCCCACCCCCACTGAGATGTCTGTGTGATGTCTGTTTCACTCATCCCTCTGCCTTTTATAACCCTTAAGGACACTTAGGAAATGGACCTCCAAAGCCAGACCCCTGGCTCTGGGCTGCCCACTTCTGCAGTGAGGCCTGAATGCCCACGCAGGTCAGGGGAGGCCACTCTGCGATTCTCTTCCAGGGCCTTCCTTGTACCCTTGCCTGAGGCCCTCTGGTGCTCAGCTGGTCGGGATGCTCTCAGGAGGTGCAGCCTTAAGAATTTGTTGGGACCTGACCAGGCACCACCAGGACCTATCGTTGGGTGCTGAAGGCCAGGGCCTGGGTCGGGAGCAAGGCAGCTGGGCAGCTTTGAGGCTCTGAGCCCTGGCTTCAAGCTGCTGGGCCCTGTATATTCTGGTGTCCATTCTCAGTGTGCATATGGCCCTTAGTGACCTCCTGGCTCCACCATGTTACTCTAGCTACAGTTTGGCAGCTCCTGGGCACCTCACCCCTCCCCTACAACTCCAAGCCAAGAATCTAATTGGTTCAGCTCATCTCCTCAGGTAGGCGTCCCCTTCATTGGAGGTGTATCTCAGGACAGCCAATCAGGGGCTTCCCTGGGCGGATTATCCTTTTCTGGTCCAATTAGCTTTGACATAAAGGCCTTAGTTGGGGGTGAAACTACCTCCCAATAGAGGCCATCTGCCAAGGAAAGGGGGTGGGACAGTGCGGGGAGGGGCGGGGTCAGCAGCCTGGGTTCCCACCCAGATGAGTCGCTCAGTCTGTGTGACTCCAGCAAGGCAGGTGGCCCCTCTGGGCCTGTTTTTTAGTCCCTTTGCGTCACGATCCTATGAGGCCCAGCTGCAGAGGGCTGGGAGCTTGGTTCGTGGGAACTGCGGGACCAGCGACGTCCCACCTAGCCCGGCGGCCTCTTGCTCACGACCGCTGCCATTTCTTTCTAGGGTCCGACACGAAAGGGGGCGGCAGCCCCGCCACCCCCGAGGACCCCCGGAGCCCCGCGAAGCCCGCCGCCCCCGAGGATCCCCAGATGCCCGCGCAGCCCGCGCTCCCGCAGCTCCCGCGCCGCCCGCGGACCCTGGACGAGGACGGGGCGCCCAGCGAGGACGGGGCCGCGGGGGGCAGCGAGCCCGCCCCGGAGGACGCCCCGGCCCAGGCGGCGGGCGAGGCCGGGCCGGTTTCCAAGGCGGCGGCCGGCGGCGCCCCCCACATCGGCTTCGTTGGGGAGCCCCCGCCCTACGCGCCGCCGGACCCCAAGGCCGCGCCGCTGCTGTACCCGCCCTTCCCGCAGGTGCCCGTGGTCCTGCAGCCCGCGCCGTCTGCGCTCTTCCCGCCGCCCGCCCAGCTCTACCCAGCCGCGCCCACGCCGCCCGCGCTCTTCTCGCCGCCCGCCGGGGCCGCCTTCCCCTTCCCCGTGGTGAGTGGCCGCCGCCCTGGGCGCGCTCCCCTCCGTGCTGTCTGCGCGTGGTCGGGGGCGCCCGTGCGGAGGCCGATAGGTCACTTCTGTCCCTGGGGGCGGGCGAGTCCGGGAGGCTCCCTGGAGGTGGGGGCATTTGAGCGGGGTTTTGGAGGATGAATAGGAGGGCTAAGGCAAAGAGAACGACGGGCGCCCTGGACAGAGGACACCGCACAGGCGTGGAGGGGCCGAGACTGGGCGTTCTGGGGATGGTGGAGGCTTGTTTGGCTTGGTAGGGAGGGCAGGAAGGTGGAACCCGTGGGGAGGGACCCCAGAAACTTTGGGCAGGAGGTGACTTGATTAGATTTTCTTTAAAAACAAAACAGTCCGGGCACGGTGCCTCATACCTGTAATCCCAGCACTTTGGGAGGCCAAGACAGGCAGATGGCTTGGGCTTAGGAGTTCCAGACCAGCCTAGGCAACATAGTGAGCCCTCATCTCTACTAAACGTAAAAAAATTAGCCGGGCATGGTAGTGCGCGCCTGTAGCCCCAGCTATTCTTGAGGCTGAGGCAGGAGGATTGCTTGAGCCAGGGAGGTTGAGGCTGCAGTGAGACGAGATCACACCATTGCACTCCGGGCTGAGTGATAGAGCAAGCCTCTGCCTCCAAAATAAAAACAAAAATAAAAATAAAAATAAAAATAAACAAAAGCCCTGGGCTGCCTGTGGGGGAAAGATTGGAGGCCCCCCAGGGAGGGGTGGCGAGCCCAGTGAGGACGATAGAGATATCACAGAGGCTGGACCCTCGACTGAGCCAATGGTAGAGGGCAGGACTGAGGGCTCAGTGGGACTGAGGGCTCAGCGGGGCTGAGTGGCCAGGGGTGCAAGAGGGAGAGGGCAGAGGGGCACCCTGACCCAACCCCTCCGTGAATTGCAGCCTCAGTGGGTGGGGACTTGGGGGACTGAGTGAGAGAGCTTGCATGGCCTGGCTGGCCTTCTCACTCACTCTGTTGTCCAGAGGCTGGGCCAGCTCCCTCACCACTGTGGCTCTGCCCCCACAGTACAATGGCCCGATGGCTGGCGTGCCAGGCCCTGCCACGGTGGAGCACAGGCCCCTGCCAAAGGACTACATGATGGAGTCAGTGCTGGTGACCCTCTTCTGCTGTCTGCTCACCGGTCTCATCGCCATCGTCTACTCCCACGAGGTAGGTGCGGGGGCGGCCCTGGGCACAGCCTCTCCTAGCACGCAGCCACTGGCGCCCCAGTGGGTCCACAGAGCCCCTCTTCCAGCAACACGGTCTCTGGTGTCTCTCCCTCTGGAGGGGGGTGGGAATTGGGAAGTCAGAGCCCAGTTGTTTGTGGGATCCTTGCTCCTCCTGTCTCTGCCCCCAACTATTCAAAATGTGCTGTGGAATGTTTGGCCAAAACAATTCACGGTAAAGCTGTGAATGACTGATAAGACCCAATGTGCTGCCCATTCCAGTGGAGGCTTGTGTTTTAAAGGGGGTACAATCTGCTCATTCATTCCTATGCTCATCTCATCTATCCATCCACCCCATCTCTCCATCTCTGTAGCTACCCATCTATTCACCCACCCATTTATCCATCCACCCACCCATCCACCATCTCTCTCTTTTTTTTTGATACAGAGTCTTGCTCTGTTGCCAGGCTGGAGTGCAATGGCGTGATCTCGGCTCACTGCAACCTCCACCCTCTGGGTTCAAGTGATTCTCCTGCCTCAGCCTCCCGAATAGCTGGGATTACAGACGCCCACCACCATGCCCAGCTAATTTTTTGTATTTTTAGTAGAGATGAGGTTTCGCCATGTTGGCCAGGCTGGTCTTGAACTCCTGACCTCAGGTGATCCACTTGCCTCAGCCTCCCAAAGTGCTGGGATTACAGACGTGAGCCACTGTGCCTGGCCCATCCACCATCTCTCTAGCCTCCATCCATCCATCATCCATCCATCATCCATCTACCATCCATCTACTATCCATCTACCATCTTCCATCCACTCACCCCACTATTCATCCATCTGCCTACTCACCCACCCACCAATCCCTACCCATCCATCCATCCCTCTATTCATCCATCCATCTACTCATCCATACACCCACCTACCACCCATTATCTCTCTACTCTCCATCCATCCATCCACTCACCCATCCCTCTATCGATTCATCTATTTATTAGGCCCTTGGGATTCAAAGATGCCAATGTGATGACACTCTAATAGAGACAGAAGCAGGGCTGGGCATGGTGGCTCACAAATGTAACCCCAGCATTTTGGGAGGCCAAGGTGGGTGGGTCACCTGAGGTCAGGAGTTCGAGATCAGCCTGACCAATATGGTGAAACCCCGTCTCTACTAAAAATACAAAAATTAGCCGGGCATGGGGGCAGGCACCTTAGTCCCAGCTACTCAGGAGGCTGAGACAGGAGAATCACTTGAATCCAGGAGGTGAAGGTTGCAGTGAGCTGAGATCGCACCACTGCACTCTAGCCTGTGAGACGGAGCAAGACTCTGTCTCAAGAAAAAAACAAACAAAAGCAGGCAAGGCTCTGGGGGGCCTATGCTCAAGGCTGACCTGGACTCAGCCCTGGCTTGACTCTGCTGTTCAAGCCCCCAGCCATAAGCAGAAGGCAGCTCTCAGGACAACTCAGAGGTGGGACTTGAGAGGTTGCTGCCTGCTGGTGAATTCTGGCTCCACCATTAGTGTTGTGACCCTGGATAGGTCACTTAACTTCTCTGAGCCTTTGTTTCCATATCTGCAAAGTGGGGTCAGCCTCAGGGCTGCTGCAAGGATGGTAGAGGTTGAAGCTGAGGGCAACTGTCAGTGCTGAGCGTGACAAGCGCCTGATGGCTGGCGGCCGCCACTGCCATCACGCCTGCCCCCTTTCGAGCTGTGGGCCTGGCAGGTCCCTGACCTTTTCAGCATGTCAGTTTCTCAGTTTGTGGAACTGGGCCTAGCCCTCAATCGCACTGGGAGGGAGTGGGGGCTCCCTGTTCGCTCCCACCGCCCCCTCCTGCCCTGTCTCGTTGCAGGCCCGTGCAGCACTGGGCAGGGGTGACCTGGCCCAGGCTGAGGAGGCCTCGCGGAAGGCCCGCTCGCTGGTGCTCTTCAGCCTGCTCTTCGGGGTCTTCGTGTCTACCAGCTGGGTCATCTACGTGGTGGTGGCACTCTACCTTCCCTGAGGCTGTGGCTCCTGCGGAGATGCCGGATGCCGGAATGTCCACGGAAAACTGGCCGGGCCAGACCCTTTCTCTGGACTCAGATCCCTGCCGGTGGCCAGCTCTTGCCTGCAGAGGGAATCTGGGGGCCAGAAGAGGGCAGGCTTGGCAGCCCTCAACTGACTTGTGGCTGGGCCTCAGCCTCCTCAGCCTCCACAGGTGGCCCACTGGAGCCTCAGTCAGTGTCCTAATCCAAGGTGTCTCCAGAGCCCGGCCCCAGCCGTGGGACAGGAGCCCACCAGAGCCCCATTTCCCAGGAGCCTCCTCTCAAGGCCTTCCTGGGACTCCTCTTGCCTTCATCTGTGCTCTTGGGAGGCCATCGTAGGGACCAAAGCCTTCTCTGTCTTCAGAGCCATCTGGAAGGACACTGCAACCTCCGCCCCCCGCCCAACCTCCAGCCCAGCTTAGGCGATCAGGATGCCAGTATTACCTTTCCCTGCGGGAGAGTGGAGCATGGTGACTTCTGGCTGGTTGTTCCCCTATCCCTTCCCCATCCCAGGAGACAGGGTCCCTCATGCTGACCCTACATCCAGAAACCAGGGCCACTCTGTCTGGTCAATCAACAGAAAGTGACACATCCGTGCGGAGCTTCACACTGCTACTTTGGGGACACTTCCTGGCTCTCTTCCAGGGCCAATGGCAACATCTGTCCACAGTTGGGCTCCAGGGCACCCTACCCACTCCTCTCTGAGATGCTGTTGGCATAGAGGCAGTGCTGGCAAGAACTACCCAATGACAGAGGATCAGCTGGGTGCTCGTTTGATGAGGACCGCCCTGACTGGGGAGCACTTGCACCAAGATCCCTCGGCCAGCCTGTAGAACCGTACCTATGACTCTGGCATCAGATTCCTGGCACCCCAGTCCCACTAGCTGTGGTCCCAAGAATGAACCTGCATTTTAACAAGATTCAAAACCATTGCAGAGGCCAGGCGAGGTGGCTCACACCTGTAATCCCAGCAGTTTGGGAGGCCGAGGTGGGTGGATCACCTGAGTCAGGAGTTCAAGACCAACCTGGCCAACATGGCGAAGTCCTGTCTCTACTAAAAATACAAAAATTAGCCGAGTGTAGTGGCAGGCGCCTGTAATCCTAGCTACTCGGGAGGCTGAGGCAGGAGAATTGCTTGAATCCGGGAGGCAGAAGTTGCAGTGAGCTGATTGTGCCACTGCACTCCAGCCTGGGTGACAGAGTGAGACTCTGCCTCAAAAACAAACAACCATTGCAGACAGAGGAGGAAGGGGACCCCCAGCTGAGCCACACAATATTGATAGCTCAAGCTAAATCAGTTGGTTTCAGAGCAGCCTCGGTGTGCTGCTTACAACCCTGGCACCAGGGGCTGAAACAGGAGAATGGCCCAGCCCAGCCCAGTCCCTCCTCCAGAAAGCTGGAGAGGCAGGCATGAGGAAGTAAGTCATGAGCAGCCTGGAGACTCTGTGGATTTTTGTTCAGTAAGCAGGGCCTGAGGTTCTGCATTTCTAATAAGCTTCCCAGTGATGCTGAAGCTGGTACTCAAACCAATAGCAAAGTGGGAAATTATCAAAACTACTAAAAGGCATTAAAACCAGGATCATGACATGGATGCCCCCTGGTGTCTCTATTATTTGACATTGTTGTGAAGTTCCAGCTAATGCAAAAAATAAAAAAGTGAAATTTGTAGTATGAAAACTAGAAGAGACAAAAAATTATTACCTAGCTAGACTATCCAAGAGTCAATTAAAAACATGGAACTAGTAAGATAACTCAGTAAAGTGGTTGGATACAAAATAAATATACAAAAGCAATAGTAATAACCAGGTACACTTGGAAAAAATTTAAAATTCAACTTATGATAGTGATAACAACAGTAAAATTTAGGAATAACTTAACAAAAGATCTGGAGACCAAATTAAGAAAATTATTTTAAAAAACTACCAAAAGGCCAGGTGCAGTGGCTCATACCTGTAATCCCAGCACTTTGGGAGGCTGAGGCAGGCGGATCACCTGCGGTCAGGAGTTCGAGACCAGCCTAACCAACATGACGAAACATCTCTACTGAGAATACAAAAATTAACCAAGCACGGTGGTGCACACCTGTAATCCCAGCTACTCGGGTGGCTGAGGCAGGAGAATCGCTTGAACTTTGGAGGCAGAGGTTGCAGTAAGCTGAGATTGTGCCACTGCACTCCAGCCTGGCTGACTGTGTGAGACTCCATCTCGAAATACATAAAAAAAAAAAAAAAAGATAAAAAATACCAAAAGACCAAAAATAAACAACAAAATATCCTGGTAGAAGATGTAATATACAAATATCTATTTTTTATAGATATTTTAGATAGAGATTTAATACAATTCTGGCAAGAAAACCAAGCTTTAAATAAATGACAAAGATTATTTTAAAATTAATTTGGAAGGAAAAATATGCGAAGATTGCTAATCTTTTTTTAAGTTGAATGAGAGGAGACTTTCTTCACCAGATATTAAAACTGACCATAAAGCTATAATAATCAAAATGGCATGGCATTGCCACAGAGTTAAATCAGTGAAAAATTATTGAAAATCTAGAAAACATTACCAGTATATGTGGAAAGTTAGCACTTGCTAAAAATGGCATTTTAATTGAGTAAAAGAAGGTTCCTAATAAGCAGAGTTGCTATCTGGTTGGAAAAAATAATTATTCTAATATTGTATGCAAAAATAAATTCAAGATGGATTAAAGAGCTAAGTATAAAATGAAGCTCTAATCATAATAAAGCTTAGGAAAATATGTGTGTAACTTCAGGGTGCTGGGGCAGTATGGAAACGGGAGGCCTCTTAAAATCTAGAAAACCATAGAGGGAAAGATTGATTTATTTGAGTCCTATATATCAGGAACATGCAGATTTAAATCATGAGATATGATTTTTACCCACTGGATTGTGAAAGAATTAGAAAAGGTGAACACATCTAGCGTTGCAGAGGGACTGCTGACTCTCACATTTATTACTAGTGGATATGTATTGCCATAATCTTTGTGGAAAGGAGACTGATGGTATCTGTTACTAATGTATGTATGGGCCAGGCATGGTGGCTCACACCTATAATCCTAGCACTTTGGGAGGCCAAGGTGGGAGGAGTGCTTGAGTCCAGGAGTTTGAGACTAGCCTGGGCAACATGGCAAGATCATCTCTACAGAAAAAAAAAAAAAAAAAAAGGCCAGGTATTGTGGCATGGGCCTGTAGTCCCAGCTACTTGGGAGACTAGAGTGTGAGGATTGCTTGAGCCTGATGTTGAGGCTGCAGTGAGCTGTGATCATGCCACTGCATTCCAGCCTGGGTGACAGAGCAAGACCATGTCTCAAAAAAAAAAAAAAAAAAAAAAAGAGTATGTATGTGAGAGGAATTTAAAATTTTTGCACTTTTAACTGCTTATCACTATTGATTTGCATATTTATTATTTATATACATATAATGTTCTTGTCATGTATGCATGGACATATAACTATGGACATATGCATGCAAAGAATAGAGTCTGAAGGATTTATTCCAAATTGCTGATAGTGGCTGCCTTTGGGTACAGAATATGATGAGGAGGGTTTGTGCAATGCATTGCTGAATTTTAAAATAGGATGTATTGTGAATTTAAAAAATAACAAAAAACATGTACGGCTTTTGACCCAGAAATTCTAGTTTTTGGATTCACAGTCATGAAGAAGGAAAGGTCTGTTTTCCTGGAGCTAGCAGTCCAACATGGGATACAGACATTTAGCAGATAATGTAGCTGCAAACTATTCTAAAGTGCCATGAAGGAGAGGTAGCTCCTGCAAATCTGAAATGTTGAGTGCAACTGAGAAAAAACTGTCATTAAATTAGAGTGCGTCCTGATTTAAGAGATACAAAAATATTTCTTAGAATCATTCAGAGGTGGTTGAGAGAGTGGTGAAAAAGGGCTTTTCTGAGCATAGGTTGTGAGTATATTAACACTAAAAGTAAACGAGATGCTGCCAAACTACATTCCAAAGTGGTTGCATCATTTTGAACTCCCACCAGCAATGAATGAGAGTTCCAGCGGCTCCCCATCCTCATCAGCCCCTGGGATTTGTCAGTCTTTTACGTTTTACCTCTTCTGATATGTGTGTAGTAGTATTTCCGTTTGGTTTTAATTTACATCTCTCTGATGACTAATAATATTTAGGCTTTTATCATGTTTTTTTTTTTTTTTTTTTTTTTTTTTTAATACAGACAAGGGTCTCACTCCATTGCCCCAGGCTGGAGTGCAGTGGCATGTTCACAGTTCACTGTAACCTGGAATTCCTGGGCTTAAGCAATCCTCTTGCTTTGGCCTCCCAAGTAGCTGCGACCACAGGTGTGCACTGCTACATCTGGCTGATTTTTAAATTTTTTTTTAAAGAGACAAGAGTCTATGTTGCCCAGGCTGGTCTTGAACTCCTGGCCTCAAACAATCCTCCTGTCTTGGTCTCCCAAAGCGCTAGGATTACAGGTGTGAGCCACTGCACCTGGCCTAGCCTTTTATCATGTTTACCAGCTATTTGGATATCTCTTTTTACGAGGTGCCTGTTCAAGTTTTGTGCCCATTTTTATGTTTGACTGTCTTTGTTTTAGAGCAGTTCTGTATGTATTTGGGATGAGTCCTACATTAGATACAGTATTGCAAACATCCTTTCTCACTTGGTAGCTTCCCTTTTCACTTTTTTTTTTTTTTTTGAGACAGAGTCTCGCTCTTGTTGCCCAGGTTGGAGTGCAATGGCGTGATCTCTGCTCACTGCAACCTCCGCCTCCCAGGTTCAAGTGATTCTCCGGCCTCAGCCTCCCTCCCTTTTCATTCTTAATGGTATCATCTGATGAAAAGTTCTCAGTTTTGTTTTTTTTTTGAGATGGAGTCTCGCTCTGTCACCCAGGCTGGAGTGCAATGGTGCAATCTCTGCTCACTGCAACGTCCACCTTCCAGGCTCAAGCGATTCTCCTGCCTCAGCCTCCTGAGTAGCTGGGATTACAGGTGCCTGCACCATGCCTGGCTAATTTTTGTATTTTTAGTAGAGACAGGATTTCACCATGTTGGCCAGGATGGTCTTGATCTCTTAACCTCGTGATCCGCCCGCCTTGACCTCCCAAAGTGTTGGAATTACAGGCGTGAGCCACTGTGTCCAGCTGAAAAGTTCTCAGTTTTAAGGTAGTCAAGCTTATCTTTTCCTTTGTAAATAGTATGTGTGTAGGAGTATTTCAGTGGCTTTTGTGGCTTAATAAAATTTCTGTACTCATAGGACATGAAGATGCTCTTATAATGTCTTTTAGATTTAGAAGCTTTATTTTTATTTATTTATTTTTTTTAACTTTTGAGTTGGAGTCTCGCTCTGTCACCCAGGCTGGAATGCAGTGGTGCCATCTCGACTCACTGCAACCTCTACCTCCCAGGTTCAAACGATTCTTCTGCCTCAGCCTCCCAAGTAGCTGGGATTATAGGCGCCTGCCATCATGCCCGGCTAATTTTTATATTTTTAGTAGAGATAGGGTTTCACCATATTGGCCAGGCTGGTCTTGAACTCCTGACCTCAAGTGATCCGCCCACCTCTGCCTCCCAAAGTGCTAGGATTACAGGCGTGAGCAACCGTTGCCTTCCTGTGCCTGGCCTCATTGCTTATTTTCACAGTTAGATCTGCCACCAGCCTAGAATAGGTTCCAGAGCTCTATTATTATTTTTTTTTTTTGAGATGAAGTCTCACTCTGTCACCCAGGCTGGAGTGCAATGGCGTGATCTCAGCTCACTGCAACTTCCACCTCCCGGGTTCAAGAGATTCTCCTGTCTCAGCCTCCAGAGTAAGCTGGGACTACAGGCACGTGCCACCATGCCCAGCTAATTTTTTTGTATTTTTAGTAGAGACGGGGTTCCACTATGTTGGCCAGGCTAGTCTTGAACTCCTGACCTCACGATCTGCCTGCCTTGGCCTCCCCAAAGTGCTGGGATTGCAGGCATGAACCACTGCGCCCAGCCCTGTTTGCCTATTTCTTTGCCACTATCACACTTCATTATGGGGCTATATATATATATATATACACACACACACGCACACACACACACACATATATACACATATATATGTATATACATACACATATATATGTATATATACATATATGTGTGTATATATATATACATGTGTATGTATATACATATATATGTATATTTGACACATTGTCTTTCTCTATTACTAAGGCTGGAGTGCAGTGGTGTGATCACAGCTCACTGCATTCTTAGCCTCCTTGGCTCAAGTGATCCTCCCATCTCAGCCTCCCGAGTAGCTAGGACCACAGGTGTGCACCACCACACCTGGCTATTTTTTTATTTTTCTGTAGAGATGGGGTCTCCCTATGTTGCCCAGCCTTGTTTTTTTTTTAAGATAGGGTGTCAACCAGGTTGGAGTACTGTGGTGTGACTGTACCTCACTGCAGCCCCAAACTCCTGGGCTCAAGGGATTCTCCTGTCTCAGCCTCCCAAGCAGTTGGGATTACAGGCATGAGCCACCACGCCCCAAAATCACTTGTCTTTTTTTTTGAGAAGGAGTCTCACTCTGTTGCCCAGGCTGGAGTTGCCTCAGCCTCCTGAGTAGCTGGGATTACAGGTGTGCTCCACCACACCTGGCTAATTTTTCTATTTTCAGTAGAGACAGGGTTTCACCATGTTGGCCAGGCTGGTCTCAAACTCCTGACCTCATGTGATCCTCCCACCTCAGCCTCCCAAAGTGCTGGGATTACAGGTGTGAGCCACAGTGCTCAGCCCCAAATTCACTTCTTAATTCTGATAATTTATCTGTAGATTCTGTTGGGTTTTCTATACACAATGTTATCTATATATAATGAGTTGTCTTCCTTTTCAATTCTTACCCACCTTGGGTATTTTTCTTGCCTTATTGCACTAGCCGGGACCCCTATTATAATGCCGAATAGGAGTGCTGACAGCAGGCAACCTTGTCATTTTCCCAGTCTCAAAATTAAGGCTTTCAACATTTCATCTTGTTAAAAAAACAGATTTTTTTTTTTCAGGTTAAGTACCCTTCTATTCCTAGTTTACAAAGAGTTTTAAAAAACTATGCATAGATATTGAATTTTATTTTCATGTGTACTGAGAAAATGATCAGATTTAATCCATTAATATGGTAACTTATGTTACCATATTAATTTTCAAATGTTAAAATAGCTTTTCATTCCTGGAATAACTTCATCTTGATGAGGATGTATTATTATACTTTCTGTATTTCACTTTGCTAAAATTTTGTTTAGGATTTTTGCATTGTGTTCATGAGTGAAATTGGACGGTAACTTTCGTTCTTGTTATAGTTTCGGTATCATAGTTACGTTGGTCTCATCAAAAGAGTTGAAAATGTTTCTCATTTTCATTTTTGGAAGTGTTGTATAAGATCTGACATTTTCTTTTCTTCTTTTCCTTTTTTTTTTTTTTTTTTTGAGATGGAGTCTCACTCTGTTTCCTGGGCTAGAGTGTGGTGGCGCCATCTTGGCTCACTGCAACCTCCACCTCCTGGGTTCAAGCAATTCTCCTGCCTCAGTTTCCCAAGTAGCTGGGATTACAGGCGCCTGCCACCACACCCAGCTAATTTTTTGTATTTTTAGTAGAGACAGGGTTTCACTGTGTTGGTCAGGCTGGTCTCGAACTCCTGACCTTGCAATTCACTTGCCTTGGCCTCCCCAAGTGCTGGGATTACAGGCATGAGCCACTCCGCCCGGCTAAGATTTGATGTTTTCTATTCCTCATATGTTTGGGAGATGTGTGTTAGCACTTCCCACTAGAATCATAGATTTATCCATTTCTCCTTGTAGTACTGTCAGCTTTTGCTTTACATATTTTGAGGCCATGTAATTAGGTGTATACAAATTTAGAAACTGTTAAATCTGTTGGGTGTAATTTGTATCTTTACAAAGTGTTTCCTTTGTAACTCTAGCAATGCCTTTTGCCTTGAAGTCTGTTTTTTCTGATATTAATATAGCTATGCTTTGGGGTTTTTTTTTTTGGTGGACCATATTTGCAAAGTGTATCTTTCCCCAAAATTTTACTTTCAACTTTTCTGTACTTGTAACTTAATTTTTATTTATTTATTTATTTAGAGACAGGGTCTCACTCTGTTGCCCGGGCTGGAGTGCAGTGGTGGCGATCACGGCTCACTGCAGCTGCACTTCCCAGGTTTGGGCAATCCTCCTACCTATCTCAGCCTCCCAGGTAGCTGGGACTACTGGCACTCACCACTACACCTGGCTAATTTTTGTAGTTTTTGTAGAGATGGGGTTTTGCCATGTTGCTTGCCCAGGCTGGTCTTGAACTCCTGGGCTCAAGTGATCCACCTGCCTCAGCCTCCCAGTGTTGGGTTACAGACATGAGCCACCGTGCCCAGACAAGACATTTTCATGGCTGTTTTACATAGCGAGTGTTCATTTATCCACCTGTTCACTCTTTTTGTTGCTCTTTCATTCTCTCCTGCAAGTATGATCTTCCATTTGGGATCATTTCACTTCTGCCTGAGAAAGTTGAGTCTTTGCTTAGTGTAGGTCTGCCAGTGGTGAGTTTTCTGTTTTTTTAATCTCACAATATCTTGATTTTGCCTGCATTCTTTTTTTTTTTTTTATTTTGAGATGGAGTCTCGCACTTTGGCCCAGGCTGGAGTGCAGTGGCGCGATCTTGGCTCACTGCAAGATCGGCCTCCCAGGTTCATGCCATTCTCCTGCTTCAGCCTCCCAAGTAGCTGGGACTACAGGCGCCCGCCACCTTGCCTGGCTAATTTTTTGTATTTTTAGTAGAGACGGCATTTCACTGTGTTAGCCAGGATGGTCTCGATCTCCTGACCTCATGATCCACCTGCCACGGCCTCCCAAAGTGCTGGGATTACAGGCGTGAGCCACCACACCCGGCCACCTGCATTCTTGAAAGGTATTTTCAGTGAGCGTAGAATTTTGGATCGTGGTCCTATTCTTTCGGCTTTGAAGAAGATACCATTCCCTTATCTTCCAGCCTCAATCATGTCTGTTGAGGAGTCTAATTGTGGCTCCTTTGAAGGTGATGGGCCCTTTTTCCCCGTATGATTGCTTAAAGATTCCTTTTTCTCAGGCCGGGCGCGGTGGCTCACGCCTGTAATCCCAGCACTTTGGGAGGCCGAGGCGGGCGGATCACGAGGTCAGGAGATCCAGACCATCCTGGCTAACACGGTGAAACCCCGTCTCTACTAAAAATACAAAAAATTAGCCGGGCGTGGTGGCGGGCGCCTGTAGTCCCAGCTACTCAGGAGGCTGAGGCAGGAGAATGGCGTGAATTCAGGAGGCGGAGTTTGCAGTGAGCCGAGATCGCGCCACTGCACTCCAGCCTGGGTGACAGAGCAAGACTCCATCTCAAAAAAAAAAAAAAAAAGACTTCTTTTTCTCTTTAGTTTTCAAAAGCTTCATCATGCTGTGCTTTGGTGTATTCTTCTTATTTATTATCCTGCCTGGGGGTTCATAAGGCTTCTGGAATCCAAGGCTTGATGCTTCCAGTCAAGGACTGATCAGGAGACATAGAGAGTAATTTGGACAGGAAAAGATTAATATAAAGAATAACCCGACGAGAAGAGAAACTGTGAGTGCTAAAGAATGCTCTAGGGCTGAAGGTGAGTACCCAAGAAGAAAAAACTTAGAAGGGCCCAATCCCCATGGCTGGGATTGAGAAGTCACTGGAGAAGGTGTGAGTGCAGCCTACTGGGAGGTAGCACTCACTGGGCCCCGGGGCCAGAGCTGGCTCACTGGGCTGGGCAAGTCCCTTTGAGGTGCAGGTGGGCTGAGGCTGGTGGGCGGGCATGCGTTGGGAGTTGGGGTGTTGGGAACCTGCTGGCCAGCAGGGTGGCACAAGGGTGAGGTGTGCATTACCCATGCCTGGACGGCCACAGCAAGGTGGCCACCATAACACCACTGGGGCCGAAGTGACAGGTGTGCGGTAGGGGCAGGTCTCCACACATGTCTCTAGCAGCCATTGAGCCAGAGCAAGGACAAAAGGCCAGGGCCTTCCGCCAGCAGTGTCTCTCCAGCGTCTCTATTGACAGAACTTAACATGCCCACTGCAAAGGAGACCTCTTCATTGCAGAGCAGGTAATGAAGGGTGGACTTGGACATGAGAAGCAGTGACATGATAATTGGCCAGTAGGTTTAGGAAAACCATTGAAGTATAATCTACATATCATAAAATTTACTCATTTAAGTATATGATTCAGTTATTTTAAATTTGCAGAATTGTGCAACCAGCACCGTGATCCAATATTTAAGTTTCCATCATCCCCAAAGATCGTTCATGTACTCCTTTTGAGACAGAGTCTCGCTCTGTCACCCAGGATGGAGTGCAGTGGCACGATCTTGGCTCACTGCAACCTCCGCCTCCCAGGTTTAAGCGATTCTTATGCGTTGGCCTCCCGAGTTGCTGGAATTACAGCCCCGTGTGTGCCACACCGGTCTAATTTTTGTATATATATATTTTTTTCCTGAGAGGGAGTCTCGCTCTGTCGCCCAAGCTGGACTGCAGTGGTGTGATCTCGGCATACTGCAACCTCCACCTCCTGGGATCAAGCAATTCTCCTTCCTCAGCCTCCTGAGTAGCTGGGACTACAGGTGCCCGCCACCACACCCAGCTGATTTTTGTATTTTAGTAGAGACAGGGTTTTCCTTTGTTTGCCAGGCTGATCTCATACTCCTGACCTCAAGTGATCTGCTCACCTCAGCCTCTCAATGTGCTGGGATTACAGGCGTGAGCCACTGTGTAATTTTTGTATTTTTAATAGAGACGGGGTTTCACCATATTGGCCAGGCTAGTCTCAAACTCCTGACTTCAGGTGATCCGCCTGCCTTGGGCTCCCAAAGCGCTGAGGTTACAGGCGTAAGCCACCGTGCCTGGCCCCTCATGCACTTTTTGTAGTCCGTCTGTTTCCACTTCCAGACAACCATGAATCTGCTCTCTGTATCTATAAATTTGCTTTTTCTAGACATTTCATATAAATGGAATCATGTGATAACACACCCTTTGCATCTGGCTTCTTTCATGTCCATGTTTCTTTTTCTTTTTTTTTTTTTTTGAGATGGAGTCTTGCTCTGTCGCCAGCTGGAGTGCAGTGGTGCAATCTTGGCTAACGACAACCTCCACCTCCCAGGTTCGAGTGATTCTCCTGCCTCAGCCTCCCAAGTAGCTGGGACTACAGGCACCCGCCACCATGCCCGGCTAATTTTTTGTATTTTTAGTAGAGATGGGGTTTCACCATGTTGGCCAGGATGGTCTTGATCTCTTGACCTTGTGATCCACTCGCCTCAGCCTCCCAAAGTGCTGGGATTACAGGCATGAGCCACCCCACCTGGCCTCCATGTTTCTTTTTTTTTTGAGTCAGAGTCTCACTCTGTGCAGTGGCACGATCTTGGCTCACTGCAACCTCCACCTTCTAGGTTCAAGCAAGCACATCCGGCTAATTTTTGTATTTTTAGTAGAGACAGGGTTTCACCATGTTGGCCAGGTTGGTCTCGAACTCCTGACCTCAAGTGATCTGAATGCCTCGGCCTCTCAAAGTGCTCGGATTATAGGCGTGAGCCACTGCGCCTGGCCATGTCCATGTTTTCAAGGCTCATCCATGTTGCAGCATGTGTCAGCTCATTCCTCTGGATTGCTAAAGTGTTCCACTGTATGGAAATACCTCATTTTGTTAATCCTTTCACCAGCTGTTGTACCCTTGGGTCCTCTCCCCTTTTTGGCCAGTGTGAATAATCCTGCTGTGAACACTGATGTACACGGGAGTCATTCCTTGCTTCTGCTCTGACCTTTTCCTTTCTGCTGGTCCACTTACCCTCAGGACTTCTATCCCTGGGTCTCCTCCTACCTGGTTTGCTCCATCCTGTGTCTCTTCATGCTGCATTCTACCCACATCGTCTTTTTTTTTTTTTGAGATGGAGTCTCACTCTGTCTCCCAGGCTGGAGTTCAGTGGCGTGATCTCAGCTCACTGCAACTTCCACCTCTTGGACTCTAAGCGGATTCTCCTACCTCAGCCTCCCAAGTAGCTGGAATTACAGGCCCCCGCCATCACATCCAGCTAATTTTTATATTTTTAGTAGATATGGGGTTTCACCATGTTGGCCAGGCTGGTCTCGAACTCCTGACCTCAAGTGATCCACCTGCCTCCACCTCCCAAAATGTTGGGATTGCAGGCGTGAGCCACCGTGCCCAGCCCACCCACAGCTTCTAACCTATCTCCAGGTCACTAATTTTGCTCTTAAACAGTCACTGAGTTCTTCATATGAGGTATTTTTTGGTTTAGAATTTCCATTTGTCCTGTTTATATTTTCTAATTATTTGCCAAATTTCTCAGGCTTGTGTCACTCCTAGAACATAGTTAAGCACTGCACATTCACAGCCACATTTAAGAACTCCAAATTTCAGCCTTCGGGGGACTGATTCTGTCAAATGCTTCTGTTTTTTTTTTCTTTTTTTTTTTTTTTTCAGCAGGAAATGCTTGTGCCCTAGTTATGTTTTGCCGTATGTGAAAAATTAAGAAATAACTAGAGACCTAGGATGATGTTAACCTCTCCAGTTTTTTTTTTTTTTTTTTTTTTTTGAGACGGAGTCTCACTCTGTCGCCCAGGCTGGAGTGCAGTGGCTCGATCTCGGCTCACTACAAGCTCCACCTCCCTGTCCTGCCATTCTCCTGCCTCAGCCTCCCGAGTAGCTGGGACTACAGGCGCCTGCCACCACACCCGGCTCATTTTTTGTATTTTTAGTAGAGACAGGGTTTCACCGTGTTAGCCAGGATGGTTTCAATCTCCTGACCTTGTGATCCACCCGCCTTGGCCTCCCAAAGTGCTGGGATTACAGGCGTGAGGCACCGTGCCTGGCCAAACCTCTCCAGTTTCTTTGCCTTTGTTTCTGGCAAGTGCCTGGGTTGCTAGGTGTCCAGAATCATCTTAATCCAGTTTCAGGGACTGAGACCATCTGGAGCTGGCTCTGTCCCTGTGAGGGTTGGTATACTTGTCATGGGTCACCCTTCCACCTGCAGGGCAGCTCCCTGAGGTTTCAATTCAAAGCCTGGTGAGTTCTAGACTCTCCCCTTTTTTCCTTAACTACTCTTTTGTCTGAAGTTCTGCTCAGTTCCTCGGCCACGTCATCTGGAATTGTCAGACGCCCTTTACATTACATGGCCCCAGGTGTCAGGCTTCCCTCCTGTCTCTTCCTGAATCTTGGCCCAGTAATTCCTCCTTCTCTCCTAGTTCTCTGATGACTTTAGGCAGGGTTTTATTATATATATTACATTATTATTTTTATTTTTTGAGACGAAGTTTCGCCCTTGTCGCCCAGGTTGGAGTGCAATGGCGCGATCTCAGCTCACTCCAACCTCTGCCTCCCGTGTTTAAGCGATTCTCCTGCCTCAGCCTCCCAAGTAGCTGGGATTACAGGAATGCGCCACCACACCTGGCTAATTTTGTACCTTCTTTTTTAGTAGAGACGGGGTTTCACCATGTTGGTCAGGCTAGTCTTGAATTCCTGATCTTAAGTGATCCACCCAGTTAGGGCTCCCAAAGTGCTGGGATTACAGGTGAGAGCCACCTGACCTGACTGCAGGTAGGGTTTTAAAATCTGATCAAGCTTTCCTAGCAGGATGGCTGGGTGGAATCGCCAGAGTGGTAATTCTTTAACACATGTTAGAATTAACTTCATCAAGGACCACATAAAGTCCTTCTTTGATTTCCTTTGGAATAGTTTTGAATTTATACATTATCTGGGGGAGAAGTGACATCTTTACAAAAATTGGCTGGGTGTGGTGGCTCATGCCTGTAATCCCAGCACTTTGGGAGGCCAAGGCAGGTGGATTGCTTGAGCCCAGGAGTGCGAGACCAGCTTGGGCAACATGGCAAAACCCCGTCTCTACTAAAAATAATAATAAAAAAAATTAGCTGGAGGTGGTGGCATGCACCTGTAGTCCCAGCTACTGAGGAGGCTGAGGTGGGAGGATCACCTGAGTCCAGGAATATGAGGTTGCAGTGAGCCAAGATCACACTACTGTACTGCAGCCTGGGTGATGGGAGTTGAGACCCTGTCTCAAAAAACTCCCAGAAAGTTAATTTTCCTATCCACAAACATTCACACCTCTCAATTTATTAAGGTTTTTTTTTTATGGTTTTTAATAAAATCTTATCATTTTTCCTATAAAGGTTTCACACATCTTTTGCTGGTCTAGGACCTTAAGACTTGTGATGCTAGTATAAATGGGGTCCTTTAAGAATTACATTTTTTGAAGCTGGGCGTGGTGGCACGTGCCTGTAATCTGAGTTCCTTGGGAGGCTGAGGTGGGAGGATTGCTGGAGACCAGAAGTTTGAGACTGCAGTGAGCTGTGGCCACATCACTGCACTCCAACCTGGGCAACAGAGCAAGACACCATTAAACAAAAACAAAAACAAAAACAAAACAGAAAACAACCCCAAATCCTCAAAAAACAAACAAAAAAAAGGATTACATTTTCTGATTGCTGACTGACTGTATATAGGAATATGCTGAACTTTTTATTTGGTTGTATAGCTAGCCACCTTGATAGATTTTCTTGTTCATCTCTCAGTCATTTACTTTTCTTACATCATTGGCAAGGATCTCCAGTACAATGAACAGACAAGGAGTTAGTGGGATCATTCTCTTGTTTCTGATTTTAAAGGAAGCACTTTGAATATTTCACAATTAAGTATGTCTCTATACGATCTTGGAAGTTAACCTTCATCAGATTAAAGAGGCTTTCTATTTCTAGTTAACAAAAAGGTTTTTGGCCGGCTGTGGTGGCTCACGTCTGTAGTCCCTACACTTTGGGAAGCCGAGATGAGTGGATCACTTGAGCTCAGGAGTTCAAGACTAGCCTGGCCAACATGGTAAAACCTGGTCTCTACAAAAAATAAAAAATTAGCTGGGTCTGGCGGTGCGTGCCTATATGCCCAGCTACTTGGGAGGGTGAGGTGAATCGCTTGAGCCTGGGAGGTCGAGGTTGCAGTGAGCAGATGCCACACACTCCAGCCTGGGGGACAAAAGCGAAACCCTGAATTTTTGTTATTCATAATAAAAATAATGGCCAGGTGCGGTGGCTCACGCCTGTAATCCCAGCACTTTGGGAGGCTGAGGTGGGTGGATCACGAGGTCAGGAGATCGAGACCATCCTGGCTAACATGGTGAAACCCTGTCTCTACTGAAAATACAAAAAATTAGCCGGGTGTGGTCGCGGGAGCCTGTAGTCCCAGCTACTCGGGAGGCTGAGGCAGGAGAATGGCGTGAACCCGGGAGGTGGAGCTTCCAGTGAGCCGAGATCGCGCCACTGCACTCCAGCCTGGGCGACAGAGCGAGACTCCGTCTCAAAAAAAAAAAAAAAAAAAAAAAAAAAAAAAAAAAAAAAAAAGAATGGATGTTGCATTTTTAACAAAGGCTGTTCTGTGACTATTGCGGTGATTCTATGGCTTTCTCCCTTTAATTTGTTAACGTGGTACATTCGGGAGAAGCGAGGCCATGCCGTGAAAAAAAACCCTGGTCTCCATGGCTTCATTTTTCATTCACATCAAGCAAGCCCCGTGTGGGTGAGTGGGGTGTTCCCTGACCAGGCTCCCCCAAGTTGGGGCTCTGCCATCTCAACACCCAGACTCCAGGAGTACCGCGGGTGGGAAAGATTAAGTAGGGAGCTGCACAATAGTCCTTAAACGCCCAGCCCACAGTGACATGTGTCTGCCTCTCAGATCTCAGGCAGGGGGCTGGGAAGTGTAGTCCCCTGTGTGCCCAGGAAGGAGATGCAAACCAGACGTGTGGAGCAGCAGCGTCTAGCATGGGGTCAGTGACATCCATTAACTGATTGAAATTATTCCATCCTTGTATTTTTGAGATAAGCCCAACCTGGTCAGGAAGGACTGATTTTTATGTGATGCTGGTTTGGGGCTGCTAAGATGATTTTATAAGTTTTGTATCAGTATTCATACATCAGACGGACTTGTAATTATCTTGTACTGTCCTTGTTTTGATTCGATGTCAAGGTTATATTCCATTCATAAAACAAGTTTAGTTTTTCCCTTTTTTTTTTTGAGACAGAGTCTCACTCTGTTACCCAGGCTGGAGCCCAGTGGTGCGATCTCAGCTCATTGCAACCTCTGCCTCCCATGTTCCAGCGATTCTCCTGCCTCAGCCTCCTGAGTAGCTGGGATTACAGGCGCCCACCACCCACCACCATACCCGGGTTTTTTTTTTTTTTTAGGAGTCTCGCTCTCGCCCAGGCTGGAGTGGTGGTGTGATCTCGGCTCACTGCAAGCTCCACCTCCCGGGTTCACGCCATTCTCCTGCCTCAGCCTCCTGAGTAGCTGGGACTACAGGCGCCTGCCACCATGCCTAGCTAATTTTTGTATTTTTAGTAGAGACGGGGTTTCATCATGTTGGCCAGGCTGGCCTCGAACTCCTGACCTCATGTGATCCGCCTGCCTCGGCCTCCCAAAGTGCTGGGATTACAGGCATGAGCCACTGCACCCAGCCTGTGTGATTTTTCGATTAAGAGAAGTGAATGAGGTAAAGCAGTCTGCAAAGTGCTTGGTACCCCAAAATATTATTATATCCAAGTATTAACTCATTGAAACTTTGTGAGACCTTAGAAAGCAGAGTCTGTTATTACCCCACTTCCAGCTGGGGAAACTGCCAAGCAGAGAAGAAAACCACTTACCCAGGGTCCTTTTGCTTATCAGCTGCAGAGTCAGGACACAGCCCTTTGCAGCCAAGGACATATTCCCCCAGACTGCTGGCAGCCAATGAGGGACTCAGATGGCCCGAACCACACCTTGACTGCTTCCTAAATAATGCACCCCTAGTGAATGAATGAAAAAAAAGGTTTGAATGAATGCTGGGGCCTGCCTCCCATCCCACAGGGGGAACAATGAGCAGTCAGCCATCATACCCCATTCTCCAGCCTTGCACCACTGGGGGCGGGACCCAGATTGTCGACCTACTGCAAGGTCAGAGCAGGTGGGAGGCTTGGGGCCCTCAGCTCAGACACCTTCGGGGGGACCGCAGTTCTTGGTTGGAGCAGGCATCTGAGCCTCCTGGGTTACTGGCTAAGCATGCACACTCGCAGGTCCTGGGCGGGGACACTGTGGGGGTGGGGTGGAAGCCAAGGTGTTTCCTCCGTGACTATGGCGGCTCCCTTGGTGAATCTCGCGGTCTGCCGGTCACCAAAGACCAGGGTGGGTCGCAGCAGCTGCTGCCCCGCAGCCCTGGTGGGAAGGCTGAGGCCTGAGGTCCATACCTGGCACATCACCTCCTGCTCACTGGGGTTGTTGGGGCCAGACCAGCTTCCTGGCATTGCTGGCAGGGGAGGGAGATGCGAGTGGAGGACTCAGGAGTGGACTGGTCTCTCTCGGGCTTCTGTGTGCTCATTGGTCGAAATGGACAAAAGCAGATAATGAGGAGCCTGAGGCATGAGTGGCTGAGCAATCTGCCCGAGGACACAAGGAACAAAAGAGAGAACCTGGGCTTCCATCACCTACGAGGTTCATGGAGGCTTTGGCGTTGGCGCCTGACACACAGGCAGCCAACAGCTCTGGATGGTTGATGCCTGCCTGATGCAGGGTCCCTTCTATCAGATCTTGTGATCAGCCCAGGAATACTTGGCCCCTTCCCTTTAAAGGGACAGACTTAAGCTGCTGCCTTTGCGGGGCATGAGGGGAGATGCCTCCTCCTCACCAGGCCTGACCTCTGCACGATCAGGTACAGAGAGATGCAGAGATCCTGGGCTTCCCCAGGGGCCGCCGTGGGGCTGAAAGTTGGGGACTGGGAACCAGGGTGAATATGAGGGCTGGCCCTGATCCCCGCCATCCCTGGGTGGCTATGCTGGGGTGCTTGGTCTCAGGTGCTAGGATGGAAACAATGGGGCACAGGTGGGCTGTGGTGTGGGAGGACAAGGAAGACAGGGAGACAAATGGCCTCCCAGAGCCATTGGGCCCCGTGCCTTACTCCGCATGGAGGGGACACAGCACACCTCGGGGCAGAGAAGGGACTGGAATCCCTGGGGCCTCCTCACTCTGTCCCTTGTAAGTGCAGAGGCTCTGCTGTTCTTCACTGGGGCTGGGCCCGAGCCTCTGTGTGCTGCCTCCTGGGCGGCAGAGGACACACCGCAAAAGGCACGCCATAAAGACAGTGCTTCCGGGCCCCGAAGGAGCAATTCTAGAGCCTGTGCCCCCGAATCCCACCCGAGGAATGCCCTTTTCATCAGGACACTGGGGTGAGGGGCTCTTGTGCATGAACCGACCTCTGGAGCACGAGCAATTCTTTGTCCAGTTGAATGCTTCTAGGGCACAAGGCCTAGGAGGGAAAGTTCTGGTGACGTCCATTTCACTCAGCCACGACTACCCCAATGGCAGCAAGTGGGCCTGGGAGTGGAGCTGAATGACCCCAGCCTCCCAGGAGCCCCGCCTGCGACAGGGGTCTCAGAAAAGAGATGGCAAGGCCAGCATGGAGCAGGCTGGGCTGTCACTGTAGTTGCACACATGCAGCTGGGCGCGGACATGGCATTGGGCAGCTTTCATCTGTGTTTATTTTTTTTCATATAAAAGTTACATGTTTGAAATGTCTGCAGGAAGATGCCACCATCAGACAGGTTAGCTGGGGCATATATATTACAATGTAACCCTGTGGAGGTCGTGGGGCCGGAGCGGGAAGATGCTCCCCAGAATCGGGTTCAGGTCAGACATGGTGTGTGCCTGCCCCTCCTTGCCCCCCCACACCCCGACACCTGCAGGTGAGGACTGACCTCTGCAAGGAACGAGTCCTCCGCCTGGCTCACGTCTGTCTGTGAAGACTGATTCCCACAACCCGCCCGGGCCCCCCAAAGGAACAGACGAGCCACGGCCAGGCCGCAGCACTGAGCACAGAGCTCAGCAATAACCAGGGCCAGGCTTAGGGGGCACAGGGGGCTGCCTGCCATCAATAAGTTAGACATACATCGCACCTTGCCGTCCTCACGCAGGGAGCCCCTGGGCACTGCTCATGTGCTGCCTGGGCCCTGCTGCTCAGAACACCAAGGGCTCCCAGTGAGGGCCTGGGGAATTGCCTGGGCACACTGGGGCCAGGCACAGGGTCTGTTCTGAATTCAGGGAAGGTGAAGAGACCCCACCTCTATCCAGCTCAAGCCCAAGAACAAGGCAGACAGAGCTGTGGACAGCACCCGACCACAGACACGGTTCTGCCTGCTGCTGGAGTGAGAGGCCTGGTTTCTGAGGCTGCAGCATGGCACTGGCATTGCCTGTGCTACAGATGGGGACTCCTGCGAGTCTCACAAATACAGGGAGAATTTCAGTTCACACAACCCAAGGGCCCTGTGTGCAGAGCGGCCCTCACACGCGCACAGCAGCATTCAACAGAGCTGGGCAAGGGAAGGGGAGAGAGAGTCAAGGATTGAAATGAAGGGACTTCAAAAAGAAGGAACAAACTAAAAACCCAACCCACACACAATACTGTTAATAAGCCAGCGACTCTACACACACACTCCTTAAATAATAAAGTGACAGGTCCCGGCTGGCCCCGCAAGACCACCGCAAGAGGGGGTCCCGCCACCAGAGGGGGTCCCGCCTGCCACTGCACGGCTTTCCTCCCTCTATCTACAGGACAAACAAAACACGGGAGAGGGGAAAAAGCCCACATTTTCTTCTTGATAAATGCTGTTCAAAAACCCATGAAGGACTCAAAGTGACATGGTGGTTTAAAAAAAAACCTAAATGATCAACAGATGTTGCTTTCTATATTTTTCCTTTGTTCTGTTTGAACTGGGCTAAGTAAGCACAGTTAGACCCTGCTGTTCACTTGACCACGTCCTAAACCCGGGACAAGTGAGCACTCATTCATGCACAGCAGACCCGGAGGCATGGGCTGGGGCAGCACAACTGGGTTCCCGCAGCGCCCTGCCTGCAGGCTCATGCTGGAGGCCACGGAACCAGGCGGCACAGGGCAGATTCTGTTTGTCAAGCGCCCCACAAGCCTTGCCCAGATTGTCAAGCTCAGCAGCGAGAATGGTTTTGACGAGGAGGATGGAAACAGCATCTGCTCTGGAAGCCGCTCTGGCGTGGGGAGAGTGGGGAGAGGGTGCGCTTGCTGCAGCTGCTGCCTTAGGAGGCTCCTCTGTGGCCAGGCTTCTGCCTCCCTGCACCCTGAGGGACCATTCGGGTGCCTCAGGGATGCCCTTCCCTCCCAGGGGCACTGACAGCACTGGCTGAAAGGTCTGAAGAGCCAGAGGAGGAGCCCTGCTGGCTGGCCCAGGATGGGGCAAGGAGGGAGGGAAAGCCAGGGGATGGGGAGGGACATGAGATGGAGTTTAAGGCACACAGCGAGCGATGGAGGAGGGAGGTGCTGGCCTCTCCCCTCTGAATTAACTCCCCCAGGAGCTCAGCTCTGGCCTCAGTTTGGTGAGGTTCAGAAGACTCCCAGCAATAAAAAGTATTTCTTGGATGATCAAGTCCTCCCTTACTCCAGCCTCCTCTTCTCAGCTCCCCAGGTGGTGTGGGAGGGGCCCAGTGGCCTGGGGTGGGGGGTAAGGGGCGACGGGATGACAGAGACTGCTGCTGCTCTCAGGCGGGCAAGGGAGGCCCTGATGGCGCCAGTACCGCGGGGCAGAGCACCAGCTGCGGGGCTGCTAAGGCGTCACCTGCGTACCTTTCCGGGCCTGCTGAAAAGCTCACACCATCCTCCATGCATCAGAAGGGGAAGCGGAAAGTGAAAGGATCCTCCCCCGAGTCTACTCTGCATTCTGCCCACCCAGCTGCTTGCCCCCATTCCAGGGCCCCTGCAGGACAGGCCACCCCAGGAGGCCTCCACTCATTTGAGATTTCAGAAGATTCAGGGACCCTGGAGCTTAGGGAGGGGGAGCACCCACCACTTCCTTGGTCTGCTGATGAGGTCTCTGCTGCTCTCTCCCTGGAGGGGAGTGGGTGGAAGGTCAAGAGGGGAGAGATGGAAGTAAAAGCAGAAAACAAAACCAAACCAGAAAACCACCGGTTTGTAAATTGGCAACAAGACCTGCCTGCTGGCTGCCCTGAGGCCCACGGGTCTGCTCCCACAGAGGAAGGAGGCAGGAAGCGGCTGGCAGGCTCCAGCTCCCGCCCGGCCCCGCTGAGGGCTGGCCAGCCTCATGGCTCCGAGGCCGGGACTCCTGCCATGCGCCTAACAGGTCCAAGGTCCTCTCCGGTCTGGGAGCTGCCCTCTGCGCCCCTCGAGCATTCTCCTGGATCCCGGCGTCTGCTCCTAGGTCTTCTCTTCCCGGTCTGTTTTTCTCCTTGTTATGTTCCTGGGTTTAATTTTCAGAGACAGTTCCCATAGGGCCTCCTCAGCCAGGTGGTCACTGAAGTCATTGAAGAAGTTTATAATGTCGTCGTTCCTCCGCATGTCATAGTGCCTGGTGCAGGGGATGGGGAGCAGTCAGTGAGCACCTGTGTGGGCTGGATGGCCCGATGGCGCCACCCTCCTGGAAGGTGCCGCGGGGACCATCCCCACAGCCTCGCAGCAAACGGATGCTGCAGGGGCTACCGTTGACCAATGTGACAGAGGGGACACCAGTGCTCAGAGACGGTGCCACCAGCACATGGAGCACAAACAGGGCCCTGAGGCTGGGCTGCTCACAGGGAGGGGGCCCCAGGTGATCCCACTGCCCCCAACAACGCATGCCAGGGCCCGCCCTGGGGGAGCTCTGGTGCCTCAGAGTCAGGCAGGCCAGGGTTTGTCAGGCCCTTCTCACAGCAAGGTGGGCACCAGCTTCTGGTGTGTAAAATGGGAGGACGAGCTGTGCTGTCACGGGGTCCAGGCCCAGGGCCAGGCTAGGCCTGGCATGGAGCCTGGTGGGCATGCTCTCAAGTCATCCTGGCAGAAACTGAAGGGCCCGGACTATATCTCAGCAGTGGCAGGTCCCTGGGTCCTCTGTGGCTCCCCCTCCCCTCGGTGTCCCGGGCTGTCTCTCCTTGTGTGTGGCCCGGGGCTCAGCTCTGCCTGGTCCCCCCGGGGCAGTGGCACTCACGCCTGCTGGAAGCAGCGCATGCTGTCGAGGATGTTGAACTGCTGCCACCGCTTGGAGAAGTTCACTTTCCCGTCGATGTAGTCTGGGTTTCCCAGGTGAACGAAGGTCAGGTCCTGCAGGATCAGCCCCCTGGGAGGACGGGTTAGGCAGCCTGTTACTGCTACGGGGTTTGGAAGCAGCAAGGGCTAGAGACATGTGTCAGGCGCTAGGACTCGCAGTGAGCAGCTTCCAAACCCCAGAGCAAACCAAAGAGCCAGTCTGAGGTGTCTGTTTCCCAGAACAAACTCCCGCCTCAGCCTCTGGCCTCTGGCTCCACAAGCACCTGCTGGGGACCTCGGAAGCCAGTATGCTGATGAGGAGCCTGAGGGTGATGCGGCTGCCATGGCTCAACCCATAAGGGCGAAGCTGTGGGCTGCTAAAGTAACATTAACAAATGAGCAGTAAAAAAAAAAAATAACAAAACCCAAACCAGGGGGCAGGGGCAGAGATCTCCTTTTATTAACAGGTGTGGTGGGCTGGGTGCAATGGCTCACACCTGTAATCCCAGTACTATAGGAGGCTAAGGCAGGAGGATTGAGCTCAAGAGTTTGAGAACAGCTAGGCTGGGTGTGGTGGCTCACACCTGTAATCCCAGCATTTTGGGAGGCCAAGGTGGGAGGATCACCTGAGGTCAGGAGTTTGAGATCAACCTGGCCAACATGGTGAAACCCTGTCTCTACTAAAAATACAAAAAGTAGCCGGGCATGGTGGTGCACACCTGTCATCCCAACTCGGGAGGCTGAGGCAGGAGAATCACTTGAACCTGGGAGGCGGAGGTTGCAGTGAGCCAAGATTGCGCCACTGCCTGGGTAACAAGAACGTAACAAGAACTCCAGCCTGGGTAACAAGAACGTAACTCTGTCTCAAAAAAAGAAAAAAAAAAAGAGTTTGAAACCAGCCTGGGCAACATAGCAAGACCTCGTCCCTACAAAAAATACAAAAATTAGCTGGGCATGGTGGCGTGTACCTGTAATCCCAGCTACTAAGGAGACCGATGTGGGAGGATTCCTTGAGCCCAGGAGTTCAAGGCTGCAGTGAGCTATGATTGCACCACTGCACTCCAGCCTGGGTGACAGAGACTCCGTCTTTATTAAACAAAGAAACTGGCTGGGTGTGGTGACTCCTGCCTGTAATCCCAGCACTTTGGGAGGCCAAGGCAGGTGGATCACCTGAGGTCAAGAGTTTGAGACTAGCCTGGCCAACATGGTGAAACTCCGTCTCTACTAAAAAAAATACAAAAAAAAAAAATTAGCCAGGCGTGGTTGCGCATGCCTGTAGTCCCATCGACTACTCAGGAGGCTGAGGTGGGAGAACTGCTTGAACTCAGGAGGCAGAGATTGCAGTGAGCCAAGATCATGCCACTGCATACCAGCCTGGGTGACAGAGTGAGACTCCATCACAAACAAAGAAACAAAGAAACAAACAAGGTGTAGTAACTTAATAGGTGCTTCTGACTGCAGAGGACTTAAGGCCAGATGAGAAAGACAGGGGCAGTTCCTCCACTCAGGGAGAACTCAGCTTGAGGGAGCAGATGTAGAGCCACAGTGGGAAAGACTGTTAGTGCTCAGAGCAGGAAGCCTGGGGATTTGTATCTCTGAGGGTTGAGGCCTCGAGGGCAGCCCTGCAGTAACCCTATAGGATGTGCCATTGAACACTCAGCACTGGGATGCTGCTGCGCTTTTGGTCTCTTGGAGATTCTCAGTGTCTACTAGTATATACTAAAGGCTCTCGTAAGTCCTGCAACAGACACTTGTTTGGTTTTGGTTATTCCGCTACGTCCCTTTTCTATGAAACACATATTTCCTCTCGCCCATGGTCCACGCTCAGGAAGCACTTTCTGAACTTCTTTACACCAAGGCTCTCAAGGTCCCTGGGTGGCCGTGCATCCTCAGGTTGTTCTAATGCGCAGCCACGTGTGAGGACACTGGAATACTGTGTGATGCCATGTGTGGGGAGAGGAGCCATACATCTGTCACAAGCATGGCTGCACATGCTCACGGGCAGGCTACAGAAGGAAATGAGAGTGGGGCTGGGGGCTGGGAAAGGAGAACCCGTATTCTTCACCTGAGCGCTTCTTTTCTGTTTAAACTGTATTATAAGAAGCATTATATATTATATTATATATATGTATTGTATATTATGCATTATAACTGTATTACAAGAACCTTAAGTAAAACCAAGTACAAATGTCTCCGTTAGAAACCCCTAAATTAAGATTTCTCTGCTGGAGCCTGACAGATCTTCCCCAGAGCAATGGAGGCAAACCCAGGCGGGGCTGGGGGCCTGGAGGGGCTGCTACTCACAGGTACGGGATGCACGGCGGTTCCACCTCCGAGAGGGCGGCCCGGTAGGCTCGGAAGGAGGACGAGCTGTCGATCAGTGTGCAGTACTCGGCCAGGCCCTGGCAGGACAGGACAGGACAGGACCGGACAGGGGTGAGCGAGTGCTGGGGCAATGCTGGGGCAGAGCCCTGGTCCTCCTCACTAACTGGAGGGTCAACCACCCTCTGCCCAACTCCACAGGTCCCACTACGCACAAACACCCAGCCAGGTGTGGGTCCTGGCCCTGGCCAGCAGGGATTCTGTCCTTTTCAACGAGTGTCAGCCCAACCCCTGGTCACAGGGGACTTCAGGCCGTTTTGTGGAGAAACACCCCACAGTACTCATTGTGCCTGGGCAGCCAGCGCTTGTGTGTATACGACATCCCGGAAGATGGGCTCCTGCCTGGCCCTGTTCGGCGGTGCAGCCAGAGGAGCTTCCCAGGCACACACTGAGTGGCGTCACTCCTGACTCGGAGCTGCCTTTGCTCTGCCCTGTACTCAGGGAGGACCAACTAAAGATAGCATGTGACCTCGCCCTCCCCAGGGCTGGGTGGCTTCTCTCCTGCAGGGGTGGGGGGCTCCCACCTAGGAGACTCAGCCAGCCCTGCCCCACTCAGAAGGCCCCTCTCCTGCCTCTTCTCCTGTTACGTGCCTCTCCCTGAAGTGCTGCCTCCTGAGGACCCCCCATGCAGAGGCCGTGTGAATTTCCCACCTCTCCCCATACACTAGCTTACAACCATCCCTGAACATGGGCTTGAACAAGAAGACCCTGGGTGGCCTGGCTGACACCCGGGTCTCTGACATGACCCCTGGGTGGCCTGGGTCACACTCGGGTTCCTGACACGACCCCCAGGTGGCCTGGCTGACGCTCGGGTTCCTGACATGACCTCTGGGTGGTCTGGTCACACTCAGGTCCCTGACACAATCCCTGGGTGGCCTGGCTGAACTTGGGTCCCTGACATGACCCCTGGGTGGCCTGGCTGACACTCAAAAGCCATGGGTTTTGCCCCCATTTGCAATATTATTTCCCTACACAGGATAAAGGTCCAACTCCTCACCAGGCTCCTGAGGCTCTCATGACCTAGAACTGGTCCCCTTCTCCCGGGATGTGGTCCCCTGGCCTCCTCCTGTCCCTGGAGGTGCTGACCCCCACCTGCTCCTGGCTGTGCACTCCTTTGTCCCCTTTGATTCTCTTCCCTTCCCAGGAAACTCCTCCTCCTCTGCAGATGGTGGCATGAGTGACACTTCCTCTGGGCTGGCCCACCTGCCCACCCTTCTTCTTTTAGTGCTTATCTAGCAGAAACTCACCCAACATCATGTTGGGCTGTTCACAGTGCGTCCCCAGCACCTACCGCAGTGCCCGGCCCGAAGCAGACCCTTCAGAAGAACGGGCTGAGGGCGGGCGGGGGAGGCGGGAACCCAGGGATGGGCCTGCTGGGTGGCAGCAGAACACCGGGATGTGACCACCCCAGAACCAACCTCGAAGCTCCCGGGGGCCTGAAGATTGGGGATCAGAGACAGGAAGGCGGGAGGGCAGCTGTTCTGGTCACACAGCATGTCGGTGGCAGAGCAGGGGCCTAGGCCCAGCATTTGCTCCAGTGGGAGCACTTTCTGCCACAGCTAGTCGCCTGAGGGCTGGGCGGCCCCCCTTACCAGCCACCCTCCCGCCCACGCCCCAAGGCCACTCACCTCTGAAGTCTGCTTCTGCCACTCCAGCCTGCGGATGGGCGCCGAGTCCAGGGCAGAGAGGATGGCCAAGTAGGAGTTGAAGTTATTCAGCTTCCGCAAGTGCTGCCGAGAGAGGGGCGGTGCCGTGAGGCAGGAGGGCAGGCGGGTCCCGGGCTCCCAGAGCAGGGACTGATGATGGGGGCCTGGGAAGGACTTGGCCACCATTACCTTCATGATCTTGATGAACTTCAAGAGCAGCCGTTCCCTGTCCTGGGCCTTTTCCTGTAACATGATTATGGACCGGACCCTGCATGGACCAAGGGAAAAAGAAACAGCTGAGTTGACAAGTCCCTGCAGGTCCCAGGGGTCCTGGTGGAGACAGGACCTGTACGACCCCCATGCCAGTGGCCACGAGCCCACCCCTACTGAATACCTGCAGCCTGCCCCAGGCATAGATCTAGTTTCTGCTCTCCAGGAGCTCATAACATCCTGGGACAGAGGCACAAGGAAATCTGGTGACAATAAATCTGGTGACCATAAGGAAATCTGGTGAAGGCCCAAAGGGGGCTTCGAATCTGCAGGTGGAGCATGGGAGGATGAAAGCAGAGCCTTTCCTGACAAGCATGGGCCCCAAGTACCAGGGGGCTGGGCAAGTTCCTTGTGTGATGCAGGACTGGCTCGGGGAGACCCGCTAGCACGTGAGGTAAGAGGTCACCTTGGGCAGCCACGAGGGAAGGAAACTCTCAGAACCTTAGTAGCAACCAAAGCCGAGACCAAAGCCAAAGGCCAGTCTCATCTGTGTGATAAATGCAGCAGGGATGTCACCCTGGCCTCAATTTCCTGTGGTTCACAGGGGCCACTACCAGGGTCACTTGGAGGTGGTGCCGCACTTTGCACTGCTGGTTCTTCTTTTTTATTTAAGAGACAGGGTCTTGATCTGTCACCCAGTGCTGTGAGTATATCTCACTGTAGTCTTGAACTCCTGTTCTCAACTGATCCTTCTGCCCCAGCTTCCCGAGTAGCTGGGACTATAGGTGTGCACCACTGCTCTTGGCTAATTTTAATTTTTTGTAGGGGGGGGGCGTCTCTCTATGTTGTCCAGGCTGGTCTCGAACTCCTGCGCTCAAGTGACCCTCCTGCCTCGGCCTCCCAAAGTCCTGGGATTATAGATGTGAGCCACTGCACTCGCACCTCTGTGCAGCCAGGCCCTGTGGAGTGTGCCCCTGAGCTTCTTGCACCCAGCCAGAGGCTGGTGTCAGAAGCCAGGCTTGGGGCCTTGTGTGCAGCTTCCGTCTGCTTTAGAAACCACATCCTGTTGGGCAAAACCCTACGCTGGACTGCCATAGCTAAACATGCTTTTCCCCAGGATGGAGTGCTTCTGTGGGGAGGAAGATAGGCAAACGGGAGATGATCTCGGGGCCTTTAAAACACATCAGACATTCTCCTGGAGGCAACAGTGGGTGGGTGGGGGTGGCACAGCTGCTGAGCTCTAGGGGGTCCTGCCTGATGCTGAGCTGCTATGGGGGCTTTGTCGCCTCTTGAAGAGACAAGAGCTCTGGTTTATAAACACATTACTGGGATTCATTTTGCTTTAAGAATTAAAGACTAGGCTGGGAGCGGTGGCTCATGCCTGTAATCCCAGCACTTTGGGAGGCTGAGGTGGGTGGATCACGAGGCCAGGAGGTTGAGACCACCCTGGCTAACACGGTGAAACCCTGTCTCTACTAAAAATACAAAAAATTAGCTGGGTGTGGTGGCGAGCACCTGTAGTCCCAGCTACTCTGGAGGCTGAGGCAGGAGAATGGCGTGAACCCGGGAGGTGGAGCTTGAGGGGAGCCAGAGCTTGCAGTGAGCCGAGATTGCGCCACTGCACTCCAGCCTGGGCGGCAGAGCCAGACTCCGTCTCAAACACACACACACGCACGCACACACACACACACACACCTGCAGAGCAAGACTCTGTCTCAAACACACACACACACACACACACACACACCTGCAGAGCCAGACTCCGTCTCAAACACACACACACACACACACCTGCAGAGCAAGACTCCGTCTCAAACACACACACACACACACACCCACCTGCAGAGCGAGACTCCGTCTCAAACACACACACACACACACCTGCAGAGCGAGACTCCGTCTCAAACACACACACACACACACACCTGCAGAGCGAGACTCCGTCTCAAACACACACACACACACCTGCAGAGCGAGACTCCGTCAAACACACACACACACACACACCTGCAGAGCGAGACTCCGTCTCAAACACACACACACACACCTGCAGAGCGAGACTCCGTCTCAAACACACACACACACACACACCTGCAGAGACTCCGTCTCAAACACACACACACACACACACCCCTGCAGAGTGAGACTCCGTCTCAAACACACACACACACCTGCAGAGCGAGACTCCGTCTCACACACACACCTGCAGAGCGAGACTCCGTCTCACACACACACCTGCAGAGCGAGACTCCGTCAAACACACACACACACACACACACCTGCAGAGCGAGACTCCGTCTCAAACACACACACACACACACACACACCTGCAGAGCGAGACTCCGTCTCAAACACACACACACACCTGCAGAGCGAGACTCCGTCTCAAACACACACACACACACCTGCAGAGCGAGACTCCGTCTCAAACACACACACACACACACACCTGCAGAGTGAGACTCCGTCTCAAACACACACACACACACACACACACACACCCCTGCAGAGCGAGACTCCGTCTCAAACACACACACACACACACCTGCAGAGCGAGACTCCGTCTTACACACACACCTGCAGAGCGAGACTCCGTCTCAAACACACACACACACACACACCTGCAGAGCGAGACTCCGTCTCAAACACACACACACACCTGCAGAGCGAGACTCCGTCTCAAACACACACACACACACACACACCTGCAGAGCGAGACTCCATCTCAAACACACACACACACCTGCAGAGCGAGACTCCGTCTCAAACACACACACACACACACACACGAATTAAAGACTAAATGCAAACATTAACGTTATAGAGCCCACTCCTTTGCTAACTGTTCTGTCAGGCAGAGTCAGTGTGAGCATCAGCTTGAGATTGCCTGGCAGTGACCAGGGCAGGAGGGCAAACTCACGCCCTTCCCAACACCACCTATGGCAGACATCGCTCCTCGACCCTGGCACTCTTCCCTGCTGAGCCTCCTCGACCAGGTGGCCACTTCCAGCAAGCCCCATCCTGTCCCTGCCCCTGTCCTCAGCCTGTCAGTGCTCATGGGAACCCCCAGGAGCTTAGCGGAATGAAAGAGGCAGCTCCTTCTCCTACCATTCAAGCTCCCTGCAAAGGAAAACGCAGAGCCCACCCAGACGTGCCACCATCCAGAGCAACAGGGCTTGGCGCTGGGCCTCTCTTACCAGTAGGACATGTTGTTGAAGTGCTCCGTGAACTGGGTCAAGTTGGGGCTCTTCTCCTCATTCTGCTCTTTTGCCCAAAGCAAAACCTCAGGAATCTACAAAAGGAAAGAAGGCAGATGGAGGTGGAGCCCCGGCTTTCCCCTGATGGGGGTTTCTCTCATTCAGGGACAAACAGTGTGGCTCCCCCTGGCAGGAGCAGCCTGTACCTCTATTTTATAGAAGAGCTCAGCATCCAGCAGCGTTAGCTGCTCCGCTATCTCATGGCTGTGAAAGTCGTGCAAGGTCCCCGGCCTGGAAGACAGAGGTGTGAGAAGAGCCGTCAGGGGTGGGGAGGCCGGTGGGGAGGGCTGAGCAGGCCCGGGCTGCGGGCGTCAGAGCAGGAGAGCCTCTCTGCCCAGCAGGAGCGTGGAGGCTACAGGGCGGGGAAGCCCCAAAAGGCTCCCTGGGGCCCTAATGGCCTCCTGCCTCTCTCCGGGACGACACTGTCTGCCTTTCTCTCCTGCTTCTGCTGGGTATGTCCAGCAGCTTCTGGAATCAGAAGCCTGAGTTTCCCTCGTGAGCTCATGGACAGTTGAGATGCCAAGAAGGCTCGCTCACGGCTGGAGCCCACTTCCAGGTGGCCAGCAAGAACAGAGATGGTGCCAAAGAAACGAAGGCTATGCGCTCACTGGAAGGAGCCCACTACTCAACAGACATGTATAGGTGCAAATGACACTCACCGTCGGTGTCGAGGGGACGGGCCACAGACTGGCATCAACCACTGCCATGTTCGTGCTGGGACAACCCAGAACTGACCACAGCCCAGGGTGTGTGCACTCCTGCCCTGTCCTATGAAGCCCCATGCCCTGCTGCCCGCTTCCTGGTCACAAAGGGATCACCACCCAATATGTGCCTCCTGGAGAAGAGGCCCAGCCCCCAGGGATCCACGGGGCTGTTCCTGAGGCACCTCATCAAAGGGCCTGTGCAGAACCAGGATGGGGCTGTGGGGCTGGCAGGGAGGGAGGGTAAACTGAGAAAGGCACGGCTCCTGGGGAAGAGGCAGGGCTGGAGAGGTGGGCTTCTCACCTGGCTGCTACCCCCCGGGCTGCCAGGGGCTGGCTGGAGGTGGCACACCTGAGTAGCTTCTTCTGGTCCACCTTGTCCAGGATGTTCTTCCGGAGCACACGGGCCAGGCTCAGCTCCCCATTGCACACCAGGCGGAAGACCAGTTCCATCAGCAGCTTCAGGATCTCTTCTGTCAACTCCACCAGGCTGAAGGACAAAAGAGCACAAGGTGAGGAGCAGGAACGCAAGGCCCAGGCAGAGTCTGTCTTTGCCTTGAGACACACAAAGGGCACGGGGCTGTGACCGGCACAGAGCTGGCTGGGAAATTTCTCATGGGAAGAGAGCAGGAGACGAGAGCCTGGGATGGCTGCCTGTGTCCTTGGAGGTGTTGGGATGGTCACAAGCACCTGCCACACACTCAACAGCCATCTGTTGGCGCTGGACAAGCGCCAGTGACTGTGCTGGGGCCTGGGCTGCAGGGACAAGTCCTACACGAATCCCGCCCTGGGGAGCTGCTGCTCCCATTGGGCAATGAGACACCAAGACTTCCCGGCCTCTCAGACTAGATGCTCCCCAACTTGCCCTGCTGAGCACTGTCCACACGTGGCCATTTCCCAGCCGCACAGCCACTTACCATGGTCATCTCCCCCAGCAGGAGGAAGGCAGTCCGCCTGATGGAGATTTGTTAGCGGAACGGATATGGCCAAGTGCCATGCTGTCAGATGGCCAGCCATGGAAACACTGAGGAGCGAGGGAGAGGTGGCCTCTCCCATTCCAGCCTCCACACAGCCTCCACCATGGCTGGCGGCTGAGAGCACGGCCTGCTGGAGACTGGACCTAAGATACCATGGGAGCAGGTGCGTTGGGCGGGTTCTCTCCTGAGGGTCCAGGAGGGACCTCATGAGGAAATCCAGGGCCTGGGTGCAGGGTGGAGAGACACCTCACCCATCTCACCCTGGTCTATCGGGCACAGGCCATTCTCTCAAAGGACCAAGATAGAGCAGGCAAGAGCCAGCTCTGCCCAGAGCCGATGGGCAGGAGAAGCAGGTGGAATGGAGCCTTTGCCTCCCCACTGGCCCCCAGGACCCCAAGGGTGAAGCACTCACCAGAGCTCATCCACCACCCGTACCAGCACGAAGAACGTGTTCTTGCTGACGCGCTTCTTGAATGTGTCGGCAAAGGGAGAGAATTTCTCATATGTGGAGCACGGGTTAAAGAAATAGCCATGTGGTCGGCTGAGGGTGGTGGAGTGGAGGACTGACTCCTGGTGACCACTCACTGAGCGCTCACAATGTGCCCATCTTCCTGCATGTAAAGCACTGGCATCCAGAAACGAGGGCACGGGACTAGCGCAGTGGAACAACTGCAAAGCCAGGATTTGAGCACAGGCGTCTGTCCCCAGGGATGCCCCCGGCTGCTGCCCTCTCCTCCCTGCCACGCCATCTCCGCTGCACTGTCCAGACCCGCCTTTCCATCGGGTTCACCCCGAGGTGCCCATGAGATTACAGACACGTAGAGAGTGCCTTGCTGAACTTTAGGTAGAGAACGGTGGGCCCAAACCAAACACCCTCCAAACCCCAGGTCCCTAGGCAGGTGTGTAGGCCAGAAGTATCTCCCTCCAGTCTTTCTGTGAGTTTCCATCCTGAGGCTGCCTCCCTGGGCTCTGCAAGGGAACTCTCACCTCCGTGACACCGGGCCGGGTCTCTCTTCCCAGAGCTGCAGCACGCTCCACATTGGCTCCCTGTCTCCAGGGCAGCACTTCAAGCACCCGATCAGCTCTAGCTCATGCCCTGAGGTCGGGCTCTGCTTTGTGGTCAGGGTTTCCTGCCCGGCTGTTGTGCTCGCCATCGACTCCCCAGATCTCTCTGACACCCTCCTGCCTGCTCTCTAGTGATCCACGACCTTCCAAGTCATGGGGCTCAGGACAGAGCAACGTACCAGGGACTGTGTCTTGGCCCACAGCACAGGGGTCGCCAGCCAACCAGGCCCAGACCTTGATGCTGCAATATTTCCATGATGGCTGAGCCAGGCAGAGGCTGAGAGCCTGGGCGCAGGCAGCAGGGGGCAAGCAGCGTGTGGCTGCTCTCCCACCAAGCAGCCACATGGGTCAGGTCCTTCATGTCTCTGGGCCTCGGTTTCCTCAATTACACAATAGGGAGTTATAGAGCAGTGGCCCCATGTATAATATGGTAATTTTATACACACCCACACACACATATTAAAAAATGGTCATAGAGCTAGGGCTAGGTGAAAGCACAGGTGTAAAGCACATCTCGCCTGACCAGCAAGTCCTTGACACGTGTGAGTGACAGCCATTCACTGAGTCAGGCCTGTGAGCAGGTGCTCTGAGTAACAGAACTTGCCGGGGACCCGAGGCTCCGCCAATGGAGGATGTCCACGTCTGTCTTGATAGATCAGGGATTCTAAAGGTCAACACGAGGGGAGAATAGGAGGCCAGGAGGTCTGCAGGAGGCCCTGAGTGGAGCAGTGAAGGCTCAGGGCACACAGGAAGGAGCGGGGGCGCGGGTGGACTCAGGACTTCCTACCCCAGGTGGTGGTGGCTGCCCAGCAGATGGCAGCCGTGGGCTATGTGCAAAGAGGTGGCTGAGGAGCAGCTGACCCAGGCTACCCTCCTAGAGCAGCAGCTGCAGGTCAGCCTCTTAGGATGGGCAGGTTTGGACTTGAAGAGGCAATGGGTCACACAAGTGGGTCCTTCCAAACCCCTGGGGTCCTCCTCAGCCACTACTGCAGAGGGTGACATTTACTGAGGGTGGGCCCATGGGGTAGATCTGGGGACAGGAGCCCATTCCAGTTGTGGATGTGGCAGTCGCAGGGTCCGCTCCAGGGAAGGTGACTGTGCTGACCCCTGAGCTGTCTATTTGGGTCTTGGTATCCTTCGTGCCCAACGCCCTGGGGCTCAGCTCTGAGAAGCTGCCGGAGCCGACCATGAGGGTCTCTCAGAGGCGTCTGCAGGACCGGCACACTTACCCCTCCCAGTCTGGGGCATGTCTAATTCGTTTTTAGAATCATCCAATGACCACAACTGCCACCAGACACACATTCCCAGACTATGTTCCAGCCTCTTCACATCATTTCACTCGGCCCTTTTAGAGATGAGGAACTTGCCTGAGCTCAAAGCTGGAATGCGGGAGGGTAGAGGTGGGAACCTCGGTCCATGGGGCTCCTGTGTCCCTACTTCAATCACACTGCCACCCAATATGCTGCTCGGCTTCCCCCACGAGGACTGAAGGGCAAGAGGGTCCCTCTCTCTCCAAAATGCCCATGGTGCAGGGGCCCTGGGTCAGGAAGGAAAGGATATCTGTACTGCAGCTTCTTGATGAGCTCCTCTGGGGAGATGAAGGTCCTGTAGGTGGTCAGGAATGCCTCGCAGTACAACACCAAATCTAGAGGGAAAAAACAATGCAAACTGCTTGTCTGGGTGCAGAGTGCTGGGGGGTGGTAGCCAGGGTGGATTTGAGTCCTTGCTCTGAGAGAGGCAGGGGAGATGGCACGGGGAGTGGGATGGGCGAGGGAGCCGAGGGCTTGGGAACCCCCTCTGGTGTCTCCGCCTGCATGTCCCAGAGAAGTCACACGTCCTCTCTGTCCATCTCTCAAAGGAAACGGCAGATCAGAGAGGGGAAACAGGAAAGGGTTTTATCTCATGGGCACTTTCTACCGATGATGGTGCTGCCTGGAGAACCGTGCTGTGGGAGCTGAGGCCAACTCTGGTCCCAGCGGAAAAGGGCACTTAGGCTGACGAGTGACGCCTGCCCTAGGCATCAAAACCCGGTGGCATGCCTGTTCCAGGTAGGAGCCAGCCCTGGATTAGACTCTGAGAGGCTCTGCCTGTCCTAAGGCTTTATGCTTCAGAGGGTCTCAGCCATCATGGGAACAAAGAAAATCGTCTGTTCAAACCCGTCAGCAGGATCCTGAAATGAAACCCTAGGCTTTACTTTTATTTTTAAATTTTTATTATGATTATTATTTTCGAGACAGGGTCTCACTCTATCACTCAGGCTGGAGTGCAGTGGTGCGATCTTGGTTCACTGCCACCTCTGCCTCCTGGGTTCAAGTGATTCTCCTGCCTCAAGCCTCCCGAGTAGCTGGGACCACAGGCACGCGCCACTACGCCTGGCTGATTTTAATACAGACAAGGTTTCACCATGTTGGCCAGGCTAGTCTCAAACTCTTGGCCTCAAGTGATTCACTCAGCTTGGCCTCCCAAAGTGCTGGGATTACAGGCGTGAGCCACCGTGCCTGGTCAGTACTTTTAGATGGTAGGGTCCAATCAGAAAAATCCGGGGAAATTCCACGTTTTGGGTCCTAAGGGATAGGCTGAAGAGGCACGGCTTGGGCCGGGTACCAAGGAGAGGCATGGTGCCAGCCACTGGGCAGGTGTGGGCTGGCAGCTCCAGCTTACCCCTCACCTCTCCATGCCTGCCTCCTCTTAGAGGGGGCTGGTACCAGTCAGGGACTCCCAGACTTTCCAGAATTACAACAGCCCTATTTATTTGCTGTGGTGACACCTTCTCAACTGTGCTGTCTCTGATATTACAGAATGAAGTGGAATTTTAAAATGTAGGACACTGCCTGAGCCAACGGGTGGCCAGACTCACTCCCTGCAGCCACCCCCCGTGCCTGCTGAGGTGTGAGGCCCAAGGAGGCTCCGCAGCTGTGCTTCTCACTGTGAGGCTGGGTGCAAACACGCACTGCTTAAATCTTGTGCTCTGGACATAGACCACCTGCTCCCACCTTCTCCCTCATTCCCGAGCTGCTGGGTAGAGGAATCTCGAGGAACCCACATCTCCAGCTGAGTCATGCTGGCTTGGCTCCTGCCCCCACCCTTGCCCCATCCCCTCTTGCATCAAACGAGAGGAAAACCCACGCCTGCTCTTGCACTGGGGGCTGCGTGGGGTGGGGCTGGCAGGTGAAGGAGGCTCCGGGCTGGGAATCACAGCAGGGCCCATCCGCACTGTGCTCAGGCTCATTCCTCGGCCCCCACACCCACCCAGTTCACTGTCAAGCTTGGATTTTTGTTCAAAGAGTTTGGGGAAGGAAGCAGAGATGGCACCAGCATAGACCCATACCTGCTTCTGGAAGAAGGGGCCCAAGTCAACTGGCCTTTGCGGGTGCATCATTGCCAGTAGCCATGACAACTTCGTGGGACTCGCTGGTGAGCACTGGGCCATGCCTTGAACATATGCCACATCCTTCAATGCCCAGAGCAATCCCACAAGGACAGAGTCCTGTTACCCTACCGAGAGAGGAGGAGCCCAGGCACGAGGCCACACCACCCGCAAGCAATGTGGCGGGGTCGGCGCCCATGTCTGCCCAATTCCAGAGCCCTCCCCCATCTGCTGTGCCCTGGATTATGGCAGATGGGACAGCGCCTGGCTTCTGGGACGGGCAGTGCTGTGCCACCCCTCTAGAGATCACAGGACTCTCGATGCGGTCCTGAGCACTCTGTGCGCCCTGGCTCACCTGGTCTTTGAGACAGCCCTAAAAGGCCCCGAAATTGTCCCTCATTTTCCTCCTAAGGAATCGGAAGCTCCGGGGCTAAGTGACAGGCTTGGCACACAGTTGTCAAGGGATAGACAGGATCTAAGCTGAGGCCTGAGGCCAAGGCTGACCTGACCTTCTCCCATGCAGGTCCTGACACCTGAGAGCAGAGCCGTGCAACCACAAAGCACCCCCACACGGCCTCTCCCTGCCAAGCCCTGCTTGGCAGGCTGGGCTCCACGGGCCTGAGCCACGGGGCTCCCAGCTGCTCGTGATGCTGGTGCAGTCTCTGGCTTGCAGGATGCACCTGCCCAAGGAGCTTGCTTTGTTACCTGCCACAGGGTGCTTCACCCTCCCAGTGGAGCCATGGCTTCTGCCTCAGTAATACTTCCTACGTAAAACTTTGGTTCTGGGGAGCCTCCAACCCTTCTGCTAGTAAAATCAGGCAAAGCTCCCACCGGCACGGAGCGTCCTCTCAGCAGGTCCAGCCAGCAAAAGCCAGAAGCCTCTTGGCTGTCCTGTCTCAGGGACCCCTCCAGCCTTGGCCACAGCTGGCTGTACCCGACAGGACAGTGGAGTTCACCCTTTGGAGCCGAGGTCTGAAGCCAGCTCCCATTTCAGCCCCTCGCTGTGGACAAAAAGGAAATGAAAGTCGCTCCCATGCCTGGCTGAGTATGGAGCCCCCTATGTCAGGCAGGGAGGGGGATTCACTGCAGAGAAGCCAAGCAAGGGCTGCACTCGGCGCTCAGGATGCTGCTGATCACGCCCCCAGCACCGCTGACATGCGGGGCAGGTTTCACACTCCCTCACGTAATCCACACAACAACAGGCACCGTTCACCCCTTCAACAAGTGGAGTCGGCTCAGGCCGAGAAGCCCGGGGACTGCCCAGGGGCCCTCTGAGCCTGTCATGGCACAGCTGGGGCTAGGATGCAGCATCGCCAGGTCTGGGCCCTGCCCTGGTCAGAACAAACAAAGGGTGAGGGAACAGTGAAGGGGAGGGCGGAGCAGTGGCTGCGGTGAGTTTGTGGGAGCCATCTCTTCTTTTTCTCTAATTTTCTGCAATGTAAATATTTTTTAGTACTACTTCCATAATTCAGAAATTCCCCGAGTCACTCTGGGTCACATGTTTTGGGAAACGTGCTGAGGAAACACAGGGACAGAGTCCCTTACAGAAATGAAACGGGTTGGGCTAGGATTTCAAGGTGGGGGTGTTTTCATTCCCTCCACAATTTACTTCACCATTGCTCTGACATCATCTTTTAAATCATTTTTTTAAACGTAAAAAGAGAAGCAGCGTGTGGAGAGACTGGCCGGCCAGGTGGTGCTGGCCCCTTGAGGGCAGGCAGTGAAGGGTGCTGTGGCCATGCCCCATCAGGTCACTAGCACCTCCTTTCCAGAGCATGACTGGGAATGACTTTGCTAGCAGAGTCCACCCAACAAGACGTTTTAGGGATTAGGGGACGGTCCCTGCTTTTCCAGCCCTCTCAATCAGCACACTGAATGCGTGGTAGGGTGGGGCAGCTGTGTGCTGTGAAACTGAGGCCACTGCTACAGAATTGAAGGTTCCTGGACAGAACAAACCTTCAAGAATTTCCTCGTGGAGTATGTGAGTGAAGTCCGGTCTAATGGTCTGCAACAATAGAGTGACTCAGCAGTCAGGAAAGGAATCAAAAGGTACCTGCATGTTATCTTAAGTTTAGTACTACTGGGTGACATGCCATCACTCAAGGCGCTGTCTGTGGTGCGCTTAGTATGCGCTGAGCCCCTCAAGGACCCTGGAGGCCCTGGGGTCACTACCTTGTACCAGCGGAGGACAGATGCCACGCACGCCTGGAGTTGAACATGATCTACTTGTCTTCCAAGGTGGGCTCTCCCTGCTCTGACTCAGGCGCACCAGGACTGCTGATCAGACCTGCTCAGGGCTGTGGCTGCCAGGAGGGGACAGGATAGCGGTGGGAGGCCGAGTGGCACCCGGGGCAGGACCAGCCCCAATCTAGTGAGCTCACTGACACCCTACCTTTCCTGTCAGTCTCAGTAGCATGGACCAGTAAGATGTCCCCAGATCCTCCGCGGACGTCCGGCCCGTCATCACCCTGTAATGAACACAGCCAAGGAAGGTATGAGGCAGAGTATGCCCTTCAGAGAATCAGTTTAGGAAGAAACAGGCAGGAATGAGATGACAAAATGCCCTGCAACCCCAAGTCCCCTCTCCTTCTGTGCTCCTCGGCCCAGGAGCAGTGTGGCTGCGCTGCGAAGCCAGGGGTGCCCTCCAGACTCACCTTGTGCTTGGTGACAGGCACAAACTGGACTGTGTCTGGGAGCTGGATGGCCTGGGAGCTGCCCCGGCACCAAGGCACCAGGGCATGCCACTGTTTTGAGCACACAACTTGGGCCAGGGGACATAGCACCTTCCATCCTTCCTTGCTCACCAAACCACAAGTCAGAGGTGAGGTAGGACCCCCTGGGGGCAAGACAGTCCCCAGCCTTGCCCAGGATGCCTGTGGAGGCAGCAGGACTATTTCTAAGCATGTTCATGTTCCCCAAAACTGCAGCAAGCGGCCCTACATCTAAATCCGTCTCCCCAGGTGGAAGTAGAAGTTACTTGCATTGGCACAAGGTTCTTCTGTGGGGCCCTTCCTTAAAGGAGAGCAAAGCATTACAGACAGAAATATTCAATGACTTCTGACGCTGCACACCTGCCACCAACCCACCTGCCTCTTAAGAAGCAAGTCTTGCTTCCATGTGGGCAAACAGAGGCCACCCAGCGTAGAGCCAAAAAGAGCTGTGACTAGGGCCAGGAACAGAGGTCCAGGACAACCCCCCAGGCCTGTTTCTGCCCCTGGCCCTCAATGCTCCTTGCTCTGTAACGCTGGAGGGACGGAACCAGCCCTCTCAGCTGCGGTACACACTCCGGGACTAGCCCACCTTTTTATTTTTAGGCTTTGGTATTTTACCTCCTGACTCCAGAGGCCTGAGATTGTCTTGGGTTTACCTCTAGGAGTAGGAACTATGCCTTTGACCTGATTTTAAGGAAGAAATTTATGGCAAGGATCTCTCTGCAGAGGAGCCCAGCTGTGTGAGTACCCTCATCAGCCCTGCCTGTGTGTGACAGCCCAAGGCGCAGACACATTCCTGGGCTGCTCCCTGCCATGGCCAGAGCCAGCGCATCCTTGCCTGGGAGTGCGCAAAGGGCAGTATCTGCCCTTTTGTCCATGTGTCATCAAATCGAAGCCCCAAAACAGTTGCCTCCTGGTGCGGGCCAAGGCTGCTTTATGAAGCCGCTCCTTTGTACTTCTAGCACTGCACGGCAGGAGGGAGAGGCAGGGCACTCTCTGTCCTGCTTCCTCTCCACTCTCACAGGTTTGGGCCCTTTTTCACCAACGAGGTTCTGCAGGCAAGGCACAGGACCAGGGAATCCACAGTGTCCAGGCCTGAATTTTCTTTTCTTTTTTTTTAGAGATGGGTCTTGCTGTGTTGCCCAGGCTGGTCTTGAACGCCTGGACTCAAGCCATTCCCCTGCCTCTGTCTCCCAGACTGAAGCTACAGTGGAGCTATTTTTTCAACCACAGAAAAAGTTTCCCATTAGTGAGGGCCGGCCACATGCAGGCTCTGTCTGCAGAGCATTTACAGGGGTTCCATCTCCACACCCTCAGGAGTTCTGGCATCTTTAGCTAGAGAGGCTGCAGAACTTGACCTGTGTAAGATGACTTTCTATAAGCATCAGAAGGAGACAGCACACTTCCCCTGGAGTCTACCCCTCCAGAGCCCACAGCCCAGAGGCTCACCAGGGGCATTGAAAGACTTGGTCTCTAAGCCTCCTAGGGTTGTTCTGCTTATGACAAGATCACATTCTTCTCTGCCCCACCTGCTCTCCTCTGTGGGGCCAGGCTGCAAAGCCCCAGCCCGGGAAGTTCTCACCTCCTGCTTGAGCGTCAGCCTGGACATAATTTCGTTGTGGTCAATGAGGGACAGCTCGTCCACTTCCTCCTCCGACTGAGCCGACTCCAGAGCATCTGGTGACTTTGGGGCCCTGCGGGGAGAAGTGGTTTGTGTTGCAAGTGTCAAACCGGCTCAGCTCCCGATGCCTGGAGGCCAAGGCAGTGCCGGTGTGCACGGCTCGAAACCGCTCCCGGAACATGCCTGCCCCGATGGCAGCTACGTCACTATGGACTGGATCCTCAGCTCTGCTACTGACTGGCTGTGTGGCCATAGGACAGTCGCTGCTGCCTCTGGATGTTCCATCTGTACACGGAAGTGATTCCGCTGGGAAAATAAAAAGGTTCCATTAAGCTGTTTGAGTGATGGTCTCAGCCACTCCCTGCCAAGGCCCACCGCACAGTTAGCATTTAGGGAGAGGAGGAGCTAAGGGGCAAGCAGAATGGGAGAGAAAGCTGCATTGCTCTTGAGGCTGCTCCCCAAGTCTTCTCCAAGGACCGACTTGCCACGGGACCCTTTGCTTGGCGCTAAGAAAGAGCTGTGAACCAAGCAGACATAGCCTCTTGTCCCTGAGGGTTCAGTCGAGCAGGAGACAGAATTTATTTATTTGCTTTTTTTTTTTTTTTGAGACGGAGTCTCGCTCTGTCACCCAGGCTGGAGTGCAGTGGCGCAATCTTGGCTCATCACAACCTCCACCTCCTGGGTTCAAGTGATTCTCCTGCCTCAGCCTCCTGAGTAGCTGGGATTACAGGCACATGCCACTACGTCCTGCTAATTTTTGTATTTTTAGTAGAGACAGGGATTCACTATGTTGGTCAGGCTGGTCTCGAACTCCTGTCCTCGTGATCTGCCCAATTCGGCTTCCCAAAGTGCTGGGATTATAGGTGTGAGCCACCGTGCCCAGCCACTTATTTGTTTTTTTTTTTGAGACAGAGTCTCCCTCTGTAGCCCAGGCTGGAGTGCAGTGGTGCGATCTTGGCTCACTGCAGCCCTGACCTCCTGGGCTCAAGCCATCCTCCCACCTTAGTCTCCCAAGTAGCGAGGACTACAGGCACAAGCCACCATGCCTGGATAATTCTGTTCATTGTAGGGATGAGGTCTCACTATGTAGCTCAGGCTGGTCTTGATCTCCTGACTCATGTGATTCTCCTGCTTTGGCCTCTCAAAGTGTTAAGATTATAAGCATGAGCCACCGTGCCCAGTCTTTTTTTTTTTTTTTTTTGAGACAGAATTTTAAAACAAGTGGTCACAGTAGCACAGAGAAAGGGGAAGCCCAGAAGGGTACCATGAGCACAGCCAGGGGGTCTGGCCTCGTCTAAAGGTCGGGAGGCTTCTGGAATGGGATGGGTGAGCCGAGGCTTGCAGTACTGAGCCTAAGTTGCCGGCTGAAGGATGGGAGAGAACATTTCCCACAAAGGGGAAGGTGGGACGGCCGGGGGTGTCCAAGATGAGTCTCCCAGCTTAGGGTGTTCTGGGGAGAGTGGAAGCTGGGCCTACAGATATGCCTGGCTTTCCCCTGGCATTTTCTTCCATGTTCCTCTATTTTATTCTGGCCCGTCTTGTGGTCATAGGTCACATTTTAACCCCAGGTATCTGAGATGTAAAAATATGTGCCTTTAGGCCAAACGTGGTGGCTCACGCCTGTAATTCCAGCACTTTGGGAGGCCGAGGCGGGTGGATCACTTGAAGTCAGGAGTTCGAGACCAGCCTGGCCAACATGGTGAAACCCTGTCTCTACTAAAAATACAAAAACTAGCTGGGCGTGGTGGCGCTTGCCTGTAACCCAGCTACTTGGAGGCTGGGGCAGGAGAATCACTTGAACCCAGGAGGTGGAGGTTGCAGTGAGCCGAGATCGCACCACTGCACTCCAGCCTAGGTGACAGAGTGAGACTCTGTCTCAAGGGAAAAAAAAAAATGTGCCTTCAGTAAAAGAATATGGATGGGTCAGAGTGGGCCCTGCCCAGTCTCGAGAAAATCCCTGCTCCACATCTCGTCAATGTTCACCCTGTGGTTTGGCCTTGATGGAGGGACAACATCCCATAATTATTTCTGAGCAGTCAAAGTGTTCATCCTTCTCTTTCACGAGAACCATCTGGAACTCTGAAGACGATACTTTGGGGTCCAGTGAAGCTAGTGGCATACCCACGAGCTGCATTTGCTTGGCCCACACACTCTGCCCCAGGTATTAACCTAGAAACCACACCATTCCTGGCTTCACACCTGGGGAAAGCTCAGTCTGGGCAGACAAGTCAGAGAGACAAGTCAGAGAGCACAAGAGTGGCCAGGAGGCAGGCTGGGCAGGTGGCCCTCTTCAACAGGTCCCTATGCAATGCCTTCTCATTTCTTTTTCTTTCTTTTGCTATTTTTATTAACTGCCTCTTCAACCATTCATGCTGAGCCCTGATAATGACAAGTGGGCACTCCCTTGCTCTAAGGTCACCAAAGACCCCAGAGGTGGCTAAAGCTTGACCTAAGGAGGGAGGAAAAGCTTGAACACATGGAACATTTCATAGAGAAGGGGAAGTCAATGTGAAGTTGCAGGTGGGAGTGCCCATTTGCAGATCCTACACATCATATTTCACAGGTGCATACTGGGGAAATCTACTACGTATTTCTACACTTGGTCAGGTTTGGTTTATGCTAATATTGAAAAATGTGGCCAGGCATCATGGCTCACGCCTGTAATCCCAGCACTTTGGGAGGCTGGGGCAGGTGGATCATGAGGTCGGGAGATTGAGACCATCCTGGCTAACATGGTGAAACCCCGTCTCTACTAAAAATACAAAATAAATAAATAAATAAAAACTTAGCCGGGCATGGTGGCACATGCCTGTAGTCCCAGCTACTTGGGAAGCTGAGGCGGGAGAATCGCTTGAGCCCGGGAGGCGGAAGTTGCAGTGAGCCGAGATCGCGCCACTGCACTCTAGCCTGGGCGACAGAGTGAGACTCCGTCTCAAAAAAAAAAAAAAAAAAAAAAAAGTTATAAGACATTAAAGAGCTGTAATGACTAAATGCAATGAACAGCTCCTGATCTTGGCTGCAAAAAATTAAGATATACAAGACATTCTTGTTAGCAACATCACATGCACACATATGTCTAGAAATGTCCCTGATAACAAGTTTGTAAGTGGAGGGGGTGTCTTTTACACTCCCTATCAACTTGAAAGAGGCCAAGACCAAGGGAGGTTGGCCTGGGATTTGAAAAAGAAAAGACAAGGCTATCGTGGGTAATTTGTAAGGTAGATAATATAGGTGCAAACAATCAAGAAGTAATGGCAAACTACATGTGAAGGCCTTTGCAGGGTGGGGTTATTAGTGATTTTTCTTGCTTTCTTGCAGTTTTCTATGCTTTTCAACAGTTTCTATCCTGAGCTTGTATTATTTGAGAATCAGAAAAAAAGGAAGAGGGCCAGGTACAGTGGCTCATGCCTGTAAGCCCAGCACTTTGGGAGGCTGATGTGGGAGGATCGCTTGAAGCCAGGAGTTAGTGACCATCCTAGGCAACATAGCGAGACCTCGTCTCTACAAAAAACTAAAACAATCAGCTGGGCGTGGTACTGCATGCCTGTAGTCCCAGCTATCTGGGAGGCTGAGGTGGGAGGATCGCTTGAGCCCGGGAGTTCAAGGTTATAGTGAGCTGCAATTGTGCCACTGCACTCCAGTCTGGGTAACAGATCAATACCCTGTCTCTAAAAAACAAAAAAAGGAAATAAGGAAAGAAGGAAGAGTTTCAACTTGAAATACCCTCAGGCCTAGGGGCTAGCTGGGAGAGGCTGCTCAGGCAGGCCTCATGAGTGGGCGCACTGCTCTCGGGGGACCCAGCTCCTCTGGGTCCACTTCCTACCTCTCACTGCCGTCTCTGCTGTCCTTCCCAGGGACGCCGCTGACCGCTGAGGGATCTCTGGGATGTCCGTCTTTCCCAGCCGGTGGCTCCTGGAAAGAGGAGTGGGTGCTGAGTTCTGGACAGGGGCCCTCTGCGGGGCTGCTCTGTCTTCCCAGCATTCCTGCCTGCAAGTGGCTGTGGAGTGCAAGTTCCTATGGAGCAATCTCAGATGTGAACAAATTAAAGATGAATGCCGTTAATCACAGGAAACACAAGCCCTCAAGACTAGCATGTGGCCTTTGGAGAAAGTGAAAGGTGCCACTATTTGTCTCATCTGTAAGCTGCCAACCTAGGCAAAGCCACCTCAACTACCTCCTCAAAGAAGACTGTCATAGCCACTCCCCCCGAGCACAGCCAGGGACTGGGCTCTAGGCTGTGCCCACTTCTCCTCATTTGACTTCGTCAGTGAGCTAACACCATCGTCCCCACTCCATGCATAGAAACAGAGGCCAGAAGTCAAGGACCCTGCTCAAGACCACACAGCTCATAAACAGCAGAGCTTGGATTTGAACCCAGGGCTATCTACCTGCAAAGCCTGTGCCCTTAACCACTGGGCCCTGCTGTCGTGAACCAAACTCTGCTGATTTAAAGAAGTCCTCAGGGCTGCAGTGCTCAACCGGGTTCAGTCCCCAAAGGGCCAGCTCTCAGGCCCTGGGGTGCCAGTCCCCTCTTCCTCCGGCAGACTTGCTTCCTCCTGGGTCCCTGGGCTGGCCCTACTCAGTGACAACATGGCCCGCCAACATCCCTGGTCTGCTGCTGAGCCTGATGGAGAACTGGGGCAGGACAAATACAGAAAGAGTGCTTCAAGGCAAGGAGCCAGTGAGCCCTGGAAGTGTCACAGTGGAGGGAGAGAGCCATGCGAAGCTGGCCTCTACCTGCACGTGGACTTCACCATGGGGAGGCTGAGCCGGGGGGTGCCAGATGCACATGTCAGCAGAGGAGACAGCTCCCATGGACTGGGTCAAATCCCACTGGAGTGGACACTCTTCAATGTTCTATAACCTGCTAATGTCTGAAACAGGGCTGGCTCTGGGTGGGCCTCTGAACCCCTGTGGGGACCCTGCTGAGAGAACCACCTGAACGGGTGTGACCAAGCTCTTCACGGGTGGGGGCCCGCCCTGGGGTGGATCACTGGGAGTCTTCCAGCCCTCATGGGCCTCCCTTCAAGGAACCTGTCCCACCTGGGCTCATGGGGGGAGCAATTTCTGAAGCTTTTGAACTTGCTCATGTTTGGCTGAAGCAAAATGTGGAAAGTGGATTGCTCAATAGAACTGCTGTACCGCGATGGTCGGGAGCTGGGGCAGCAGCATCACGAGGGTGCTGACGTCGGGTACCTTGTGGCTCCCTCAGGAGGGGGTGTGCATAGTCATGGCAGGGGCTATGGGCCAGACTCACCCGCTTCCTCAGAAGCAGTCAGTGTTGGAGCAATGGGACATGCTGGGGAGGGAGATGAAGGTCTGAAAGGCCCTATGGGAAGAAGAGTCCCTCCCTCTGCATGAGGGACAGAAGATGAAGCCAACACCAGAAGATAAGGGAGGAAGGAACCCCACAGAGAGCACTAGATACACAGCCGGGGCCCGTGCCACGCTGGTCCCAGAGATTTCTAGATGACCCATCTGGCCAGGCTCTGAGGAGTGCCACACGCACTGAAGCAGGAGCAAAGGGCAGACCTCCACCTGGAAGCCACGTCCTCTCCAAAGGGCCGAGCTGGCTCCCAGCAGCCTGCAGGAGCCCAGTCTGCTGGTGACTAGGAGGGGGCTCAGCCCAACAGAAGCAGGTGCGGGGGAAGCGGCCTCGGGAGGGCAGAGCCCAAGCCCCACCAGGCCAGGCCACATGCAGGAGGCCGCCCGAGGTTACTTACTCCTCGAGAGGGAGCCAGCTCCTCGCTGCTCTGGCCAGAGGAATACAGATTGACATATTCACCCTCACCAGCTTCCTCACTGGCGTTTTCACTCTGGGGGAGACAGGACGAGAGGAAAGACACATGGGCCAGGCCCTCCAGCCGGCCCTCACAGCTGGCCAGGGGATGCCACAGCCTGCACTCTGGTCTTCCCAGGTGCAGAGAGCAAAGCTGCTTTTGCCACCTCTTGCCTCTGTGCTAGAGGGGATCCAAGTCTCCTGCTGCTGCCCCTCCAATGGTGTCTGGGGCTAAATCATCCTGGAGAGATGGCCCCACTGTAGTGGAGACAGCAGGGGTCCCCAGTGTGGCGGGAAACGATTATGGAGGGAGAGAAGCAACACATCAAGACAATCCCACATACTGGGGAGTGGGGTCCGCTGCCTGCACTTCCTCTGCCCCATGTACTTGTCTGCTCCAATCTGCAAGGCAGCATTTCTCTGAGTTGGACGAAGCGCTACAGGCACTTTAACAGGCTAGAGACCAGGCTTCTGTCATCGGCACCACATGCAACCGAACAGACACTTGTCCTGAATCTGTCACCTCCACACTTGCGAAGGGCTTTGTACCTTTCCCTAAAAACAGACAAGTAAATGGAAAGCTAGTAGCATTTTGTATCTTATGCGTCTGATAAGTTCCTCTCTAAATGGCCACTAATCCATTTGTGGAAAATCAGATTCCTAGTTTGATAGAACTTTGTATAGAAGAGTCAGTTCTGTTCTGGAAACACATGGGCTCCCATTGCACCTTGTGACCCTCAGTAGCTGTCAGCTCAGCCATGCTGCCAGCAGGTGTGCGCTGGCAGCCCCCAACTGCTAGTAAAGGGGAGGCAGTGTCTTTCAGGAACGTGAAACCGCTTTTTAAAAAACGTGCAGCCCCATGTGCAGGGGTGTGTGTGTGTGTGTGTGTGTGTGTGTGCACGCTGAGTTCTCACCGAGTCAGTGAAAGAGGTTTCGGAAGGAAGGCAGACAGTATTCCCATGAAAGCTGCTCTCCTGAGAAGCCGAGAGAGGCCCGTCCACGGTGCTGGGAGGTGGACCGGCCATGGTTGGCACGGCTAAGTCAGAGCTCTGAGACTGGTGGGCAGGTGGGAAATGTGGAGAGGAAGAGGAGGTAGGCGGAAGGAAAGGCGGAACGGAAGCTTGGTGGTGAGGCACGAAATCCTGGGAGTAGGACCTAAACACAGACTTATACTACAGAATCCAGGTGGAGAACAAACAAAAACGAGAATACAAGAAGAAAAGAGAAAAAGTAATTAGATTGGCAGTAGCTGAGCAGTGACAGGCCGTTCACAATAACTTAGTCTAACGGGCCACCAATCACGCCAAGCAACCCCCAGTCCTCAGGCCACTGTGATACCCACACCCAGCACCTCCTCCCTTGAGAAGGGCCCTGAGACTGGAGAGTGAACAGCGCTGTCCTCAGGGCTATCTAAACAGCATGACACAGAGAACGGCTCAAGTGGCCACATGCTCTGCTGGGACAGAAAATAAAACCTGCGTGGCCCATCGCTGTCTTGTCTGCTCAGGAACTTCGTGGCCAAATTCAATGTCATTGTAATTACTCATTTTGAATTTCTGGATGAATCTCTCAGGTTTTATTCCTTAAGAGTCAAACACTGCAACTTTTAAACATTGAAATCCACCTTGAATGCTTTTGGAAAGGAGCGGCACAAACCTTAAGCGTGGCTGGCAAGCTGCACTATGGAAATGCTAACGATGTCTGAGTCCATTTCTCTTCCTACCCCATTTTTTTCTTTCTTTCTTTCTTTTTTTTTTTTTTTAACAAATGAAGTAGGCTGGGCATGGTGGCTCACACCTGCAGTCTCAGCTCTTTGGGAGGCCAAGGCAGGTGGATTGCTTGAGCCCAGGAGTTTGAGGCCAGCCTGGGCAACATGGCAAAACCCCATCTCTACAAAAAATACAAAAATGAGCTGGGGGTGGTGGTGAGTGCCTGCAGTTTTAGCTGCTCTGGAGGCTGAGATGGGAGGATCACTTGAGCCCAGAAGGCAGAGGTTGCAGTGAGGCAAGATCAAGTCACTGTACTCCAGGCTGGGTGACAAAGCAAGGTCCTGTCTCAAATAAAAACAAATGTGATCTTACAACAGCTTTGATGCCACCTTGTAGCCACAAGGCTATACTCCCCCAGATGCTCATCAGAGAGGAAAGACACTGTGTTGAGAAGTGACAGCAAATCCCATGGCTTCTGGGGTCCAGTGAGCACCCCCGGCTGGGGCTCTGCTGCTGAAGGAGGGACAGAGGTGTTCCAGGACCTGGTCAGCAGCCACCACGTGGAGAGAATCTAATGATGTGATGTCATCGTGTCCTACAAAGGCCTGCCATCATGCTGCTACCATCATGGGGAGCTGGGAGAGCGCTGTGGGGGTGGCCACGTCCAAAGTCCTTGCAGATATGGGTGAATGAATGAGTCACAAAATTAAACAAAACAAAGACCTTGCCGGGCTCACTGGCCCACTACAGAGGCAGGGACGTGAGGAAAGTCAAGCCCAGTGCAAATGTGCGTGCCACTCGCTCAAACATTCTCTGTGTTTGCTGTGGCTGGGGATTTTCAGAACCCATGGAAAAGAGGAAGAAGAGGAAGAAAAATGAAGTTTTAAACTAACAAGAGGTCAAAGCCACTCATCCTTAAGTAGTTTTTTGTTTTCTCTTTTGAGACAGGGTCTCACTCTGTCACCCAGGCTCACTGCAGCCTCGACCTCCTGGGCTTAAACAATCCTCCCACCTCGGGTTCCTGAGTAGCTGGGACCACAGGTGCATGTCACCACAACCGGCTCACTTTTTGATTTTTTTGTAGAAACGGGGTCTTTCTATGTTGCCCAGGCTGGTCTTGAACTCCTGAGCTCAAATGATCTGCCCGCCTCAGTCTCCCAAAGTGCTGGGATTACAGGGATCAGCCACCATTCCTGGCCCTTAAGCAGTCTGGCAAAGCTACCCTTTAACCTGTACAAAGAGCTACCGTAACTCGAGGGACAACGCAACCCTCTCGTTTCCACCTGTGTGTACAGCCGTGGCCCCTTCCCGGCTGCACTGACCAGAGTTTCAAGCTCCTCCCTCATCTCACTCCTGTGATCTCACACCAGATCCATGACATCTGCCCTAAGCACTCACTACCACTTACACATCTGCTTTCCCATCTAACCTACAAACTCAAGGCCAACCCTATGCCATGGTCAAATAAATCAGTGGAAGTGTCATACATGTGACCAGCACTGAACACTCAGGTACCTGTACAAGTGAAGTTCCCTTCATATCCTTCTTTCAGGAGCTCGGGGGGCAGACACCCTGCTTGGTACACCCTGGCTTGCCGCCCTCACCTACACCCTCACAGCAGGCTCCACGCAACACTTCAACGTTTCACAGCAATTACCCAGGATGGCGCTGCAGGCCTGGGAGCTCGCTCTGGGCCTTCCTGGGATGGCAGTGGGGTGAAGGGCTTGGCTTTCTGGGTTTTCCATCGATCTCTGGAGGATGCCTGCACACAGCAAGCCTCCCTTACTGGCTGGGAAAGTCCACAGAGAAGACAGCAAGCAGGATGCACTGGCTGAGGGGTGGGACGGCGTGCTGCTGGGGGGGCTGCCTTCAGGGAACCCTTGTATGACTGTTTCAGGGAGTGGCTCAATCTTTTGTAGCCCCAATTCTCAGATCTGCCAGATGTTCATTCCCAATGCCCAGACACTGCCACGAGATTTGCTAAACAGATCCCCCTCACCTTGCCTTGCTGCTGCCTAGTTTAAGGAGTCATGTTCCGCGCTGACTCCTTCTGGAGTCTTGAAATAGCCTCATCGGCGCCCCCGTGTAAAGTCACTTTGTGCTTCCACGTGCCCTGCAATAACTGAGCACCTGATTTACACATACACAAATGGCTTTTGTGTCATCACAAAATGTACCAAGTTGGAGAAGTGTCTTCCTAACCAATCATATAGTGTGTTTAGCCGGTTTTAATTCAACAAGGTGAGGGGCAGACTCCCACAGCATGGTGCCTCTTCCGGGAGACGGCACAGGGCAGCGGCTGACTGCAAGGTCTCCAGTTGCCCCTCATGGCATCTCCGCTTGTGTGCCCTAGTACAAGTGACTGAAGTTCTTGAGCCTCAGCTCAAGCTGTTCATCTTTAAAACGGGGATGAAAACAATAGCCCCTCCCCCATAAGGTTTCTGCGACGTTCCGCGAGACGCAGAGCGCTGCGTGCAAGTCCTCCGCATGGTGCTGGTGCGGACGACCTCTCGGCCAGCAGCAGCCGTCCTCTCCTGCCCTCCCAACAATCCAGGAACTGCCCTAAATAACAGTACTGGGGCATTCAGTAGGGGCCTAATACATATTTGCTGATACGTATTTTAGTAGGCACCTAATACATAGTCTAGGCACTGTATTAATTAAGGTGTCTAGAATATTACCTGACTCACAGAAGCGTCTCAGTTTTGAGTGTGGATGGGTAAGAGACGAACTTCACCCACTGCATGGGTTCAGGTCCAGACACTGGGGAGGGAGGCTCAGGGAAATGACCAGGGGTGTGGGCTGCCAAGGAGGGGGCAGCTAGCAAGGAGAAAGCAAGGAGAGTCGGCCTCTCTTGGACAAAGGGGCCTGGCCTGCTCTGCCTCTGCCTCTGCAGCTGTGAGCTCACGTTCTGGTATTCAAGCTATGCAGTCGTGCTGGGACAAGAGCCAAACTGGAAAGGTACCTTCACGGGGCAGGGAGACACAGGGAAAACCTTCTGATCACCATGAAGCCCTTGCTGTGCCCCTTGGGCTCTGCAGATGCCAGGAGCTGCATCAGGGCTCATGGTCACACCATTTACAACAGGCCCCCATCTCTACCGATTCCCCAGAGCAATACTTCCAGCCCCTTATGATCACGCTTACCCACAGGGGCAGAGAGAAAGGCAGGGCGGGCCATTCCACAGAAACGCCGCCTCATCACAGCCTGGAGTTTATTTTAGGATCTGGCTCGTGCCCGGGTTTGCTTCTGACGAGCTGCTGCTCTCTGTGCAGCAGGAACTTTTATTTATAGCCAGAATAAGACTGTTTGGGCTGAGGATTTTAGAACGGGAAGGGCTGCCTGTCTGAGACTTGCAAACTTCTGCACAAGATCTAGGGGTGCCAGTTAGGAGAGGGGTGCCTGGCCCCCAATGTCAGCCCTGGTCACATAGCCAGTCGAAACACAGCAGGGACTGCCTCATGAGGACGAGAACAACTATTCCTACCTCATGCTTCCTGCTAGGCAGATGTAAGTGTTGCACGGATCATCTCAATTAACGTACACACAGTGCCTTACTGTTCTTATTACTGATGAAAATACTGAGGCTGGGAGGGGAGACCACGTGCCTAATAACACAGCTGGCAAGAGGTGGCGTGGGTATGGCTGATATCACAATCAGTTCGTGTTTTCTGAAATACTGAGGTGTATCCTGGACGAGACAGGCCCTAACCATGCAATCCCACAGCTCTGCAGGGTACAGCCTCACCAAATCTGCAGAGTTCCTTAGCTGAGTGCTTTGTGACACCAGGCATGCAAAGCCCAGTGAGCTGAGACTTGATCCATAAGCCAGGATGGAGAGAGGGGTGCACTGGCCAGAGTGTGGCAGGACAGGCAGGGAAAAGGTGGAATCAGTAACCAGCTCCTTTGGAAACACACCCCTGAAAGCCACTGGGCCCCGGAGTCGAAACGATGCTGGAGGCTGATGACCTCATATGCGAGCGTGTGGCCAATTCATTAAAAGGCAAAGCTGCCTGAAGCTGGCCAGGCACCAGTTTTTTTTCTCACAAGTAAAATACTTAGAAAAGGCACTAGTTTTCGGTGACACCTTCTCTCTATTATAGTCCTGGCATGGAAAAAGGATTAGGGATGGGCTCTGTGTTGCCTTAGCAAGAAAGCAGGAAAGATCTTTTTCTTCCTTTCTTTTTTTGAGACAGGGTCTCGCTCTGTCACCCAGGTTGGAGTGCAGTGATGCGGTCTTGGCTCACTGTAGCCTCAACCTCCTGGGTTCAACTGATTCTCCTGCCTCAGCCTCTCAAATAGGGGGGAATATAGGCATGTGTCGCCAGGTACAACTGATTTTTTGGATTTTGTAGAGATAGCGTTTTGCTGTGTTGCTCAGGCTGGTCTTGAACTCCTGGGCTCAAGTGATCCTCCTACCTCAGCCTCCCAAAGTGCTGTGATTATAGGCGTGAGCCATCGTGCCCAGCAGGAAAGCAGATCTTTAAAGGAACAATTCTGAGTCCTCAATATAACAGCCACTCCACTTAATTCCTCTGCTGATCAGGAAGAGCGCGTGCCAGAGGAGGCTGTCTGCTCATCAGCGGCTGAGGGTTAGGGACACAGGCTGAGGAACCTTGATCAGAATGGTTGCTCCACAGTGACTTGAGCTCCAAGCCCTGGAGAATTGTCAGCTCCACCAGTTACAGCGAAATGTGGTCATGTAAATGAATGGATTCACTGGCATGGTGAAGTGTTTGGGAAGAGAAGTTGCCAGAAATTGGTCATTACTGCATAATCTTGGCTCAAGTAAGGCTTATGACTTCAGAGTTTTTGGATGCTACTTAGCAAAACAGATAAGCTATTGGACAGCTGGTTTTCGGGCTTAAATTTTTATCCCTCATTTGTGAGAAAACACATTCAGGGGAAGCTGCTTTTCTAGTGTGGTCTGGGCTTCCTTCCTCAGCGGAGAATCAATGGGAGCCACAGCTCAGCACTGGCGCTGGGCTCAGAGCACATATGTCCTTCAACTAGGGGACTGTGAGCCTCAAAGTGTGGGCCCTAATTTATCTATTCTGGAAGGAAATTGAGCTTTTCACTGATGATGACACCCACGTGATTGTCTGGGGAGAAAAGCTTATCTGATTTGATTCTTATAGAGATGGGGTATGACCACTCCCAGGACACCCTCCTGCCCCAGGAAAGGTGCTTGGTAACACTCCTTGTTACTCCATTTGGCAAACTATTAGGGATACCTCTGGCTTTGTCTTCTCTTTCCTTACGGTCCCAATTAACTACTGGTTTACACAGTAGGGTCTACCTTAGGCCCAGGGGCAACTCCTTTTCCTTGATGCCCTTGTGTTAATTTAAAACAATAACTATACCTTACATAATGTCAAAAGATGAGTTCCAAAGCCAAGTGGTAGGTTCTGAGGCCAATGCCACATGCACATGAACTGAGATCTGCCACTGACCGTTTTGTCTTTGATCCTGGTAAGAAGGCAGTCCTGTGGGCCACACTGTGTGAATGACAAGATGGCATTCTTCTCACCAAAGAAAGGCAACATTAGCATTATGTTGGGTCCAAAAAATATCTTCTCCCTTTTCAAATAAACTCCTTAGTGGAGCTTATTTTTAAAAACCACCTGAATATCCTAAGAAAAAAGGATGTAAAAGAACAAAAATGCGTTGCTTGGGAGAAGATGGGTGAATGCAAAAGTTCCTTATTAAGTTCCTTCTCATGTGATGTATTTTTGCAACTGGAATCACAATATCTCCACTGAAAATACTACGTTTTGGCCAATGGCTTCATGGCAAATTAACTCTTGCAAAACCTCCAATACATTCTAGGATGCTCTGTAATTCACTAAGTGTTGATCTGAATAACATCAACCCTTTATAGAAAGATTTAGTACAGACTGAAAAATGATTCAAATTCAGTTCTAGAAGTCTGACAACTATTTTTACTCAGTTTGCATTTCAACAGCCTGACAGGGGCTCTAATTTATACTTATTCTTAGAACTCTATTTAGAGCCTGTAGCTACACTTTGTAACATGTCAGAACATGAAGGAGAAATACACGCCTCTCAACGTCCAGCCTACACACTTTTCTTTTGACCCAGCCTTACGAGATCTCAAAATTTATTTGGCAATTAAGCAGTTCAAAAATGGGCAATTAAGCAGTTCAAAAATGTTAATCTAACGCTGTATTTTTCATGATAGGGTTCTGGATTCCAACCCTGGCTCTAGCTTAACTTGGAACAAATGGCTCAGCTTCTCTCTCCTGGCTTCTCCATCTCTAGAACTGCAGTGAACCATTTGATCACAGAATAGGAAGGAAGGCCCTCGATAGGGAAACAGTAGCCTGACGTGGAAGTAAAGGCGAGAGGCACTGGACGTGGAACTGGCCCTCAGGATGCGTGTCAGTGCACGACCTTTACAAGGAATGGGGATCCTGTGGGTACCAGCCTTCCAAGAAGGTTTGTGTCTATTTCCTATAACTTTATCTTAAAACTTCTCCTCTGTAATTTTCCCCACCACCCTGACTGAACTCCCACATGACAGTTTGCCTGTCATGGATGGAGTCAGAAGTACAACCACGGCCAGGTGCTACAGTGACACTACTGTGCCTGAAGCTGGTCAAGGGGCACCGATCAGCCAAAATGCCAGGCTGTAAACAATAAAGATTCTCAAAGTCTACAACCAGGGGTTGGAAACAGCTGCATCAGAGTGGTTGCTTTTGAAAGCCCCCAATGCGAGGCACTCTCAGCTCTGTTCCTGCTGTCAAGGCTGTGACCAGTCCTGCTGCTGAGATGGGCATACTCCCTACTGCCCACAGTAAGGCAAGGCAGGCTCGCTCCTGGGCTCAGGAGGTAACGCCGTCTCCTCCAGAGCTGGGCCTTTCTCTATAGGTGGCTCTACGTTATCCCGAGGGTCGCAGTGACCTGGAAGGGGCTCTGGTCTGCATGTACCTCCTTCCACAAGACCAGGTCAAGCTGAGTGGGATCTAATCCAGCCTTCACACTTCAGAGCAGCACTGGGTCTTTTAGGAAGAGTGGAAAAGCACAGGGGGAACGCACTGCAGGAGCCAAACTGTGTTTCAAGGGCTCTGCAGACAGGAACTACCTGGGAAACTCTTGAGTCAGACACAGCAGCCAGAGCCTCAGGTCAGTAGGGAAGGAAAATGAGGAAGAAAATGGATTCTTGGCCAGAGCCTGGGACCAATGCATCTGTTACATGGGAGCTAGAGGCTAGGCTGCACCAAAGCTGCCAGTTCACAGCCCATCCCCTCTCCTCAGGGGACATGCAATCCTGAGAAGACGAACCGGAACATGACACAGGAAAGCAGCAGCCTCCCCCACATGGCGACAGATCTGATGCTAATAGCTCCCTTTCCATGAAATGCTGGTTGTGCGTCACGTACTACATGTGTGCTTTTCATCCTTGTAACAACCTTGTGCTCCCACTGCACAGAGGAAAGCGGGGCCCAGGGCACTGGGGCAGGGCGGTGTGCTCAGGTTCATACAGCAAGTAAGGAGAAAACACGGTGGGGGAGAAGACAGGGTTGTGCAGGAAGGAGAAACTCGTATGTTGGGAAGGGATGAAGGGAAGGCAGTGGAGGTGTGCAGGGGACAGGTTCGTGGTAAGGTGGGGAGAAGCAGTGTGAGGGCCTCTGAAGAGCCAGGGAAGCTGGCCCTGGTTCTGCAGGGATGTGGCGACACTATAGTCTAGCTGCAGGGTTGAGAAGCAGGGAGGGCCTCTGACTGCAGAGGCAGGAAGGCCAGTCAGGAGCTGCAGTGCATCCAGGTGAGACATGGGGGTGGGGAGGAAGTGAGTGGCCACGGGCTGGAGAGAAGCGGACCCGCTCAAGGCTAATGCCCTGTGCAGTATCAGCAAGACATGGTGGGATTGGGACAAGAGGGGCAGGACAAGAGTGAATGGGCACTGCCTGCCTGTCTGCTATGTGCCAGGCATGGGGACTAATTTCTGACCTCAGGGAGCCCAGGGTCTGGTGAGGAGAGAAGCCTGCACTCAAACAGCTGGAGATCTGTGGAGACTCAACCTTGGACTTGTAGATTCTGCCTCAAAGGGTATGAACTTGTAGACTCTGCCCCTAAGGGTATGGACTGGTAGATGCTAACCCTAAGGGCACAGACTGGTAGACCACACCCTTGAGGGTATAGACTTGTAGACTACATTGTGCTGCTAAACCCCCAAGAATGGAGGACAGTCCAGGAGTCAACGGTGTGAAATAACCTGAAGCACCTACGTACTACGTGAGCTACGCCAGGCCAAGGAGGAACATGCACCAGTGGGAGGGAGAGGCCTCAAGGGGGCTTCACAACATGGGGACAGCGGCACAGTCCTTTTCCCCAAAGAGGAGCACTCCATGTGGACCGTGCAAAGGGAGGGTCAGACCAGTGTGTGCACCAACACCCCCCCCCAAGGAGGGGCTGCCTTGAGAAACCCCTCTCCCACCCCCGGCTACCGGGTTCTGCCCACAGATGCTCCCTGCTCTCTCTCTCAATGTGATCTAGCTCTGACCAGGACAAAAAGCCAATGAGACAAGATGGCATCAGGGAGGAACAAAGGACAAAGGTCAGGATGGCAGGAACTTATTTTTTCCAACAGGTGCCGAGAGCCCCATGGACTGTCTTCCACTTCCCTCCCATGGGCCATTCCGTTTTCCTCCTCCTCTCCTCCCTTCTTCTCTCCTTCTCTCTCTATCTCTCCCCTTTCCTGTTTGGCCTTTAGGCCCGTCAGTGTGCCCAGGGTTTCTGTGATGGCTCATCCTTGGGGATGGTTTGTGGCCAGGAGGTTGTGGGTAGGGAAGGAGAGAAAGAGTGAGTGAGTGAGAGGCAGATGAATGGGCAGAGTGAAGGAGCCTGCAACAGGTCCCGAGGGGCTGGGCCTGGCATTTCCCAGCGAGGGGACGCCATGGCATGGGGACTGAGCGTCTGCATGAAGCTCAAGCCTTCTGTTGAGAGCACATGTGCTGATGCACAGAAACCTGGGCCCATCTCAGAAAACGACTGTTTTGCCCAGAATGGGATGCCAGCTGCTCTGCAGACCCTTTTAAAAAAATTAAAGTCCTCAAGATGATACACACTTAACTCTCTTAGCCTGAAGTTTTTTTTTTTTTTTTAAACAGATGACAGTTATTACAGGCATTTCAATATAACTTCTACTCACAACTTGGGTCTGCTAGCAGTTTTAATTATCCAGATTCATTCTGGAAGCCAAGATGGTAAAGAAATATTTCAACAGATTTCTAGCACCCAAATAGACCTCTTAGTGAGAGTAAATACCCATAACTTTCAGTTAGCAAAGAAAGAACGTACAAGAAAGTAGTGTGCAGTATGGAGGAAGGTGTTTTTTCTTTTTTGAGACGGAGTCTTGCTCTGTTGCCCAGGCTGGAGCGCAGTGGCGCGATCTCCACTCACCGCAAGCTCCGCCTCCTGGGTTCACGCCATTCTCCTTCCTCAGCCTCCCAAGTAGCTGGGACTACAGGCGCCCGCCACCATGCCTGGCTAATTTTTTTTGTATTTTCAGTAGAGCCGGGGTTTCACCGTCTTAGCCGGGATGGTCTTGATTTCCTGACCTCGTGATCCGCCCACCTTGGCCTCCCAAAGTGCTGGGATTGCAGGCGTGAGCCACTGCACCCAGCCGGAGGAAGGTGTTTTTTCCAATGCCAACCCTGCAGCACCGGCAGGGCACAGGCAGCCCTAATGGTTACTGAGAGATTCTGCATCTCTCGGTCTGAAGCCTGTGCAGGGGACGGTTGGAGGGACTCCCTGGGACCAACTCGTGGGAGGTGCTGGTGAGAGAGAAGCCCAGCAAACAGTCGAGTCCAGGCCCGGCAGAGCCTGCGGATGGGGAGGACTGGCTTTTCCTGGAGTGGAGGTTCTGGGGAGACGGGAGGGCTGGCTGTCATCATTCCCCTCATTACCTTATTCTAAGTGTTTACATTTGAGATGACCTTCCCGAATGGATGCTGGGCTTCCTGGCCTCCATGCCTCTGGCAGGTCCTTCTGTTTGGAACATCTTGACTTGCTTTCCCTGTCCTTTAGCTCCTAAAAATCCCGACTGCCCTTCAAGTCACAGTTCAAGCTCCACCTCCAGCCCCCACGACCCTGTCCTTGCTCCGCCACCCACAAGGTTTCTATGCCTACAACTCTCATGTCATTCCTCACACGTGCTTTCATGTGGTGTGAACTTGTATGTTACATACAAGGTATCTTAAGACTCCCATATATTCCAGGGATAAAAACCATGACGTGGCCAGGCGCAGTGGCTCACGCCTGTAATCCCAGCACTTTGGGAGGCCGAGGTGGGCAGATCACCTGAGGTCAGGAGTTTGAGACCAGCCTGGCCAACGTGGTGAAACCCCATCTCTACTAAAAATACAAAAAATTAGCTGGGCGTTGTGGAGGGCGGCTGTAATCCCAGCTACTCCGGAGGCTGAGGCAGGAGAACGCTTGAACCTGGGAGGCGGAGGTTGCAGTGAGCCGAGATCGTGCCACTGAACTCCAGTCTGGGCAACAGAGCAAGACTCCATCTCAAAAACAAAAACAAAAAACCAAAAGCCATGACGCACTCAGACCCAAAATTAATTAATATGTGTGCAGATGTTCTTTGGTTCTGCGCAGGCTTCATGCCCGTCTTCCTCAGCCTGCTGACCCGTGGCCCTGCTTTGCTCGGGGCCATCCTCCTCAACTGCATGTCTTTTGCAACCCGGCCTGGAAAAGTTGATGTCCTGAGCTTGCTGAATTAAACCCATCCCTGGTATCAGGGAAGGAGTGAATGAGAATACTTCTCAGTATCCACCTCCATTTAAATTGTTCCACACAGGTTTAGTGCCCTACAAATTCCCTTGGCAAGAGGTTTTCAATGGTTAGAATCTTTTAGTGGAAATAATCGTCCACTGTGCCAAGAACCACGTGAGGTGTCTTCAGATTTGTCAACTGCTGTGTTTCCAAGGGGCACTCCTTCAGAGTTCCATGCTGGACAAACCATACAGGCCCAGGAGCAATGAATGAAGAAAGTCAGGAATAAAGGGCCGCTCTGATAGTAATCCAAAGCTCTATGTCTGGGGCTCATCTCAGAATTTAACCAAAGGATATATGAAGGACATGTTGGCACCGTACTGAATCCCTTCTCTGAGGTTCCGGCATACTGGGTGCTGAATGTCCCAAACCTGGCCATTACTAATGGTTCCTGAGGTATTCTCCTTTTAATGACATAAGGACCTTATAAGGTCCTTCCCTCAGGCTCCTTGGTGGGCTTTTTGCTAAGAATGCAGTGTTTTAGACACAAGATGTCTTAAGGCTCTTGTATGTCCCAGGGATAAAAACTATGACGTACTCATAACCAAACTTAATTAAAACGTCCTCGAATTTAATTTTGTAGCGAACAGTCCAGTTCATTCATAGTCCTCTAACCCTAACTGCTCAAAAGGGATATTGTGGAAACTCTAAGGGGAAAGAAAACAAAAACAAAAATCTAGCTCAGTCAAGAGCTCGGATTGTCTAAAGGCCAAGTTTCGCAAGATTTGTGAAAGGAGCTTGCCAGAGGTGCCTCTGAGGAAACCAGGGGCTTCTGTGTGGCCACAGCAGGGTGAGGGGAGCGCATCTTCCCAGCATGAGTAGGGATGCTGGGGGCTCTAAGGCGTGAGGCCTCAGTACCCATTGGGAGAATGCACTCCAAGGTCCTCAGACAGGCAGGACCATCTTGGTCGAAGGCACTGGGCATTGGACTGCCCACCCTGGGCACAGATGGAAACCAGACAAGACCAAACTGGGAACTTGAGTTTGGATAAGTCTTTAAAAGTCACTCGGTCCAAACTCATCATTTACAGAGGGGGAAAAAAGGCCAAACAGGTTAACTCTCATGTGTAAAGTTAGAAACAGAACAAGACTAGAATCCAGAACTCTTATTACTAAGACAATGAGAGCAAGAACAGTAATAAGCTTTCTAAGCTTACTACATACCTAGACATTTCATATAATTTTACTTAATTTTCACACTTACAAAATATGAGGCAAGTAAAATCCAGTCCCAAAGGAAAGACGCTGAAGCATCTTTGGCGGGGGGCCATGGGGGGAGAATTGCACTGCCCAAGGCCAAACTTCTTTCAAGTGGGACTCGAAATTGTTCTAGAGTTCTTTCCCCTGTGCTAAGTTTCATTTTAACAGACGAAAGGGAGAATGGTGGCCATTTTGGTTCCTGGACATGCGCAGATGCCAGTGAAAGACTCCCCTCTTCAGTGTCAGCCCCTAGGCTTCAGCAGTAAACTGTTTACCCAAATGGCTGCAGCCCATTCCCTTCCTGGACCCATGCCCCGTGCAACATGACTTAGTAGCAACTACCATCAAGAGGCAGAAGCAACTTCCCTGCTCCCTGAATCTGGGCTGGCCTTGTAATTTAACTGAGCAAATGCAATGGAACAGGCATCACACTACTTCTGAGCTGAGGCCCTAAGGGGCCTTGCACGCTTCCATTTGTTATTTTTGGAAGCCCGCCAGCTGTCATGTGAACAAGCCCAGGCCAGCCTGATGGAAGTGACAGACTACATGGGTCACAGCCAAATCAGCCCCATTGTCTCAGCTCAGGTCCCAGGGATGTCAGTGAGTTCAGCCAAAATTGGCCAAGCCTGGGCCAGAGCAGCACACCCATCCTGCTACCCCCTGTCCTAAGCAGTGACAAATGCTCACTATTATTTTAAGCCACCAAGTTTTGGGTGGTTTGTTATGCAGCAAAAGCAAACTAATACATCCCTGAGAGTCAAACCATCCTGCGCTAGTGAAGCCTGCTCTCCTCGACCTGGCTTTCTACGTGAGGAATAGTACCACCCATCTACTCATCCATCTCATCTATCTTATCTATTTATTTTGAGACAGGGTTTCACTATGTTGCCCAGGCTGGACTTGAACTCTGGAGTTCAGGTGATCCTCCTGTCTCAGCCTCCTGAGGAGTGGGGACTACAGGTGAGTGACACCACACCTGGCTATATTCCTTTTTAATCCTGGAACACAGAGGGCTGATCCAAGGTCCAAAGCGAGATTGGGATAAAAAGGCTAAAATGTCTCTGTCAGTTTATGCCAGACTGGTGATGCTCCCAAGGTGGCCACTCACATTTCCCATGCCTGCCCCTGCCTCACCTGGATGCCTCATGGTCTTTAAGGCCCCAGAGAACCAACCATTCATAGCCTTCCCATCTAGGTGTAGGGACCCGCAGAAGGGCAGGGGCCGCGACGGGCAGCAGAACACATGGCTGAGGCACACGCTTCCAAGGAACGGCCCTGTTCACGCGTTTCCAAGTAAAGAACAGCAGGGAGCAACTCACCGAGGGCACGGGCAAGCTGCCGTGCCGGCTGAGAAAGGAGTTAGAGACGGACACACTGAGGCCCTGAGCGGCACTGCCGTCCTCGGGGGTGAAGGCCACTTTAGTTTGCTGGACACAGTGGGAGACAGAGGAGAAGGAAGAAGCAGCACAGGAGGCCTGCTGGACAGAGGGGAGGAGAGAGAAGGCAGGGAAGGAGGGAGAGAAGCAGAGAACAGTCAGGTCCGTGCAGGGAAAGGCCGTGGAGGTTGCTCTCCACATCCTCTAACAGACGTTCTGGAGAGGGATGGCTTCTGGGCCCAGTTCAGGGACTAAAACCAGCTGCCGAAGGCCATCTGCATGAAAGGGCACCCTCCTTCATTTCCTTACACTAGATCCTAAAAATTGTGTCCACTGGAAGCAGGTTGGGTGGAAGGAGGACGAGGGGGCTGGAGCCACACAGAACTGGGCTGACTCTGGGCTTGGAGCTGCTCCTCTGTGGGGAGTGGATCCATGTGTCATTCACACGTCTTCAGAACTCAGACGGGGCTCCGGCAGCCTGGGTTTGAGTCTGGACCCTGCCATTTCTCACCCGTTTGGCCTTGGGCACTACTTAAAGGTCTCCGTGCCTCAGGTTTTCCATCTGTAAAATGGGGATAACCCTAGTGTCTCCTGTACAGGGCTGTTGGGAGGATGAAATGGGATGATACGTGTGAAGCACTTGAAATATTGCTTACCACACTGTACATGGGCCAACAGGTGTGTGTAATGAGCACCATTTTTGTCTGTGAAGTGTGGATAACGCTTCCTGCATCTGCATTTGAGAGAGGGTGTGACCAGCAGCTGGCAGGACCTGTCAGGTGGTATGCCTGGGCTGTCATTAGGATTGGGTGTGGCTCCCAGGTCTTCTGTTTCTAGCTGTGGGCTTGGATTAAGGTTCGCTGGCTCTGTCTGCCTCAATTTACTTATAATGGGGATGCCAGGAGCTGTGGCAGGGACCATGTAGAGCCAGATGAGAGCCCTGGTGCTTACCTGGGGAGGTGTTCAACACAGATGTTCCTAACAGGCCTCCGGGGGCTGAGCTCGCCACTGCCCTGCAGGCGTGGTAGAACAGGTTCTGATTCCACGTGCTCCCTAGGGGTGTCTCCCCAAATATTCAGAAGCCTGTGGACTCCACAGTATGGAGAAGATGCCCAAGGATGGCAAATGGGCCGAAAATATTTTCAATAAATCTGGCTCAGCAATGGCTTTTTTTTTTTTTTAGACAGGGTCTCACTATGTTGTCCAGGCTGGTCTTGAACTCCTGGGATCAAGTGATCCTCCACCTCAGCCTCCCAAGTAGCTGGGAATATAGGCATGTGCCACCACCACTCCTGGCTCTCGGCAACAGTTCTAACCAAACATTTTAGGCAAGGGGTCTCTAAATGAGGCATTTATGTTTCCATGGTGGGACCCTTTTTGAAACATCTTCAGAGCAATTGAGATTCACATTCTCAATTGTGTCTGTGGGACGGGCAGGGCAGGTGAGGATCTGAGACTCTGAAAATGGCACGTGCGACACGGCTAACAAGTGGCAGGACTGGAATTCAGGACTCCCAACTCCAAGCTTGGCCTTTCCTCTACTGGACATGGCCACCTCTGAAGTGGCTGAGTGTGGTTTTTGAGTGGAAACAAAACAGCTTGCTTGGTTAGCCACAGCCCACTGAGTATAGGAAGGCTCAGGAACTCCTGGGACTGGGCTGAGCCCCAGGTGATTGATTATACGGAGTAATCCAGGGACATTTGTCCTCCAGTCTGCAGCTGCCTCCCAGAAGAATCAGATGGCCCCTCATGTCCTCTCGCAATGGATAAAAGATGGCCCAGTGCACACCAGTCGCCTCCTGGTAGAAGCCACCAGACTGGCCAGCACACGAGAGCAGCAGCCCAGGCAGCTCTGAACAAGCCTGGAGCTCCCTGCTGGGGAGCTTCCTCTTCCTGGGGAGCATGGCTGGACAAGAGGCTCAGATCTTCAAACCTGACTAGGGCCCTCCATGTTCATTAACTGGCAGCAAAGGGAGAAAGTTTGGAGGGATGCCACAGGTACCCCCGATCTGCTCACCCTCCCAGTGCCTGGGCAGTTCCAGAGCCTCATGGGGTGCCCACGGTGGAACAGCTTGCCTTCTGTGCTGGCCCGTGCTTCCTTACATGCACAGGAGTCCTTAGCACACGAGTGTTTTCTAGAAGAGGAAGGTGCCATGTCTGAAACAGAGTGGCTCTGTTTAAAGCCATCCTCCACTTCAATGGCACTTGTTTTCCTTGGGCCCTCCCCGGCCAAGGCTGGGTTGTAAGTCACTCTACACAGTTAGGCCCATTATGCCAATCAAGTCCACAGATGGCTGTGCACAGACCATGTCCTGTGCTTTGATTGAGTCCCTCCTTTCTGGGAGGTCTATGTTGAAGCCAAAGAAGAAAGAAAAAAATACAAGAGACTGTCAGCAGAGAGAGCAAACACCCTGAGTACAAGCCTGTCCCTGCTGCGCGGGGCTGCTGTGGAAAAGAAAGGTCCCTGCACCCCAGGGTGGGGAGGTGGTGGAGTGGGCGCTGGGCTGCTGGTGAGCATCTAAGGAGGAAGTAAAAGCATCTGTGTGGGAGATGGTGCCTTCCACGCCCAAAACCAGGGCCCTGCCACAGCAGGGAGGAGGGTTAACCCTGCCCCCAAGGAGGGTCATTCTGGTTCCTAGAGACCTGCTAGGATCGGAAGTTCTAGTCACAAGGGAAGGTGTCACTCACCAGCTGCCGCTGCTTGGGGGGTAGGGCGGGCGGCGGGGCCAGCTCCTGCACGGAGTCCACCCCACTGAAGGAGTCGCTGAAGCCGTATACCTCCATGAGGAGCTTGTTCTTCTGCTGGTAGATGTGCTCGTTCTGTGGCGTCTGGTAGAACATAGAGGGCTGCGGCTCCGAGTAGTCCTCCAGCAACTGCATGTAGGCCAGCACTGTGAAACAAGGGAGAAAGCTGCAGCGAGGCCGGGGGAGGCCACATCAGGGAACCCCTCCCCCCATTCTTCCCACAGCAGCTAGGGGGCTTTCCACTGAAAGCACCTCAGAGAGGGACGAACAGACGGAGCACGGAGGACTTTTCGGGCAATGAAATCACACTCTGTCTGATGCGCTAACGGAGGAGACACGTCCAGACCGGCAGACGCGCAACACCAATGGGGAACCCTAATGTGAACTGGGGACTCAAGCGAGGGCACATGGCGGGTGCAGGGATGGCAAGTCTCAGCTACCTCCTGAGCAGGCACTTTCCCCTCGAGGCATGTCGCAAGTGCCACGAGCAGCTGCCAGGTGGAGCTGAGATTCAGATGCCAAGAAAAAGTGGTGGCTCTGCAGTGCTAAATTTTGTATCTTCAAATAAGCACAAAGCCAGAGGCTTCTCTGCAAACCCCAACTAGTCAACAAATCAAGGAAGGCCAGACACTGAGCTGAGGAAGACAGTCACAGAGGTAGGGAGTTTATTTCTTCCCTGAGCCACACTGGGGGTCCAGGTATAGAGGAAATGCTCTCTCTCCAGGAGTGTCACTGAAGGAAAGTGTTCAAAGTCACCTTCTTTATTTAAAAGAATATGTAAGAATTTCTTACTAGCTCCAACAAGCACCGAGCAGAACTTGGTTGTAAAAGATGCACAGGAAGAAATGGTTCCCCTCTGAGGTCAGCTGCTGCTACTGAAAGGGCAGCTCACAGCCCCTTGAGCTTGTCTCACACTTCCTTTTTTTTTTTTTGAGACAGAGTTTCGCTCTTGTTGCCCAGGCTGGAGTGTAGTGGTGCAATCTCGGCTCACTGCAACCTCCACCTCATGGGTTCAAGCGATCCTCCTGCCTCAGTCTACTGAGTAGCTGGGATTATAGGCATGCACCACCGTGTCCAGCTAATTTTTGTATTTTTAGTAGAGATGGGGTTTTGCCATGTTGGTCTGGCTGGTCTTGAACTCCTGAACTCAGGTAATCCACCTGGCTCGTCCTCCCAAAGTGCTGGGATTACAGGTGTGAGCCACCAAGCCCAGCCCCACACTTCCTCTTTAATGCTGCACAACCAATGTCACCAGGCTCCAGACGAAGAGGCAAGCCTAGGAAGGTGATCCCAAGCACCCACAAACTGCTCCCTAAAAAGACTAAATATGACCGGGCGCACTGGCTCATGCCTACAATCCCAGTGCTTTGGGAGGCTGAGGGAGGAGGGTCACTTGAGGCTAGTTCAACACCAGCCTGGGCAACATAGTGAGACCCCCGTCTCTAAAAAGAAAAAAGAAAAGAAAAAAATTAGCAATGGTGGTATGTGCCTATGGTCCCAGCTATTCAAGAGGCTGAGGTGGGGGGATCCCTTGAACCCAGGAGTTCAAGGTTGCAGTGAGCTATGGAAAAAAGAAAAAGATTAAACACAACCATCTCTGCCTGACTTTTCTGTAAAACTGTGATCTCTTCAGGAGGTCTTTCTGAACTCTTGATGTTGAAGTCCTTGTAGACACCTGCTAGCCAAGCACAGAACAGCAGTGATGCTCCCAGCCTTCTAGAAATGAGGAGGACCCAGTCCATTTCAAAAGCAGCCCAGAGGCTGATTTTAGAGGCCTTGCTCCTAACACAGCCAGCATTGCTGGGAAGGTTCAGCCGCCAGTGCTCAGGGCCTGGGACTGTGGGGATTTCAGGTGCCGGACAGTGATCACAAGGCTCGTCTGGCACAAGGGACTCATGGGGCTGCTCCGGGCAAGAGGGGCTGGGGACCCTCACGATGTCAGTGCATCCCAAATGATGAGGACACGTCGTGACATTGGGACTGAGCGTGCATGAACTCAGGCCAGCGTTAGCCACGCGGCCAGGGTGATGATTCTTTCCTTCTTTCCCTCAAAGCAATTTTGAGGCATTTTCCACAAGGTCACCTGAGGGTCCCCTCGGGGAGTGAACAGCAGACTGGGGACAAGGATGAGGCTCAGGGTGCCTAAGTTTGGGGCTCTTTCACAGGGTACGGAGAAGACCAACCCCTGCACAGGGGTCAATACTGTAAACTGGATGGGATCTCAAGGAAGGAGGGCTGAATCTCTTCCTCCTCGGCTTGGGAGGAAGTGTAACAGGCTTGTACAACTCAGGCCAGGCTCTCAGTCCCAGATCTGTGCCCCACTTGCTTGTTGATCTTGGGCAATACTCAGTTCTTCTGAGCTCCAGTTTCTCTACCTATGAAATTGGAGGTAATAGAGCCTGCCTTGCAGGTGGCTGTCAGGACTACCTTCCATAGGGCATGTGAAGCTTTAGCTCAGGGCACACCATGGCTGTAGCTCAGGAGTTTTTTAGAGGTTTGCAGGCTCCAGTGCTGGAGACAGTGATGAATTGGTTAAAGCCTCAAAATGGTGGCCTAAATTAATAGGGATTTTCAGCCACTTGAGACTGTTTGAAAGGAAACAATGGCTACCCCTCCCTTTCCTTCTCCCCTCTATAGACCCTGCATGAGGACCGCCACCCACACTTGTTCTAGGAGCTGGAAGGGTAAGGCTCTCTGGCATCTGCTGCAGCTTGCAAGGATGCCATCCTGCCCAGTGTCTGAGCTCAGAGGACCCCTCCCCTAGGGAAGGAAAGGGGGTGAACCTGAATGGCACGCAGCCCAAGATAACAGGGGTGGAGGGGGAGGCCAACAGCTCTTTAAACACTTGTCCATGCAGAGGGAGGGGAAGAGAAGGAAATGCTTCTGGCAGTGCCATTGCACACCCCTCTGCGGGAGCCCTGGTTTCTGATGAGCAAATATACACGACAGATGGGGATGACATCATTAGTCCCACAGAGCCAGCTCTCCCTCTAGCTGGGGGACCACACTGCTGAGGCCATCACACAAGCTGGGCAACACCCACTGAGGAGCTGGGGATACATGACATCATCGCAGCCGCCGCCTTCTGTGGACCACGCAGCCAGCCCTCAGGGCGACCCTTGCTGGACTGAACCAAGCCAGGTCTTCCCTTCTTTGAGAATGGGGCCCAGCTCTAAGCTGGGCTCAGAAGCTCTCATTTGGGAATTTGGAGTAGAGATTCCATTTCTAGGTCATAGAAGTTCTCTGCTGGATGTGTCAACTGAGGCCAGGGAAGCCTGGGGCTGTGTGGCTAATGTGACCACACACATTGAAACGGTGACAGCTGTGCTGCCAAGAAAATCGAAGCAGAACTATGCTAGTGAAGCAGGGAGAGGGCGGGGACAGAGGGGGCCAGGCAAGTCCCAGAAGTGTGGAGCAGTTAGGGGAGCTAGGAGAAAACCGAATTTCCAGGAGAACTCTCCTTATTACTTTTATGACAGATTTACCGTTGGAAAATATTCAAAACTTCAGCTCCAACCCTGGGCTCCAATAACATCATATATTAAAATGTCTGGTCCAAGAAGTGTGCTGAATTACTCCTGCTGGGCAACCCCAGCTTCCAAGTCATTCTGGGAGCATGAACAGAGACAGTGTGCTCTAGACAGGGATCCTTAGACAATCACTCTGTGGAAACTAGGCAAGTTCTGCTGAAATTCACGTATCCACCTCGCTCTACACAGATGTTGCTGCAATGCTGTCCTGCGTGCCAGGACACTCGTTCCCCTCTGTCACTGTGATCAGGCCAGAAGGTCAACTGCTGCCATCTAAAGAGGAGAATCCCTCAGGCTACATGGAGACCGGACCTGAGATTGTATAGAAACTGTAAAGGAGAGGTCAGCTGATGAGGCTTTAAAAATGATCACGTGTAATGACAAAACCTGGCTCCCAGAAGTGTCCACATACCTGGCTGGCCTATCTTTTATGAAATAATGAGGCCACTGATTTGATTCTGGTCTAATGCTGAAATAAAACATACTGCCATTTCAGGTTATAAAATGCACTTCCTGACAACAGTGCAACAAAGGCTTACTGTGTTTGTTTTTCTTCTCTGGTAGAGGAGGTGGTTTTTCTGGGTCACCGGTTGACTCAGGAGCAGTAAAATCACCCACAAATTCGACAGGGGCTGAGGAACCTCCATGCTGAAAGGGCAGAATAGCAGCAAAGGGCGCGTAGGGGACGGATGGGATCGGGGCTGTGCTCTGCAGGTCCTCCCCAGAGATGTTGTCATACTGCGAGGGATGCCGCTCGTAGGACACCCTGCAGCCAGAGCCGTCCGCCGTCTGGGAGGCTGCGCTCCTGCGCTTCTTCTCGGGGAGAGCAGGTGGCGTATCTGTCTGCTGCCCTGGGGCCAGAGGTCCGTCTGGCTGGGGATGGCCGCCAAGAGGCAGCTGGAAAGGAGGGCCAAGAAATGGAGACCCAGACTCCCCCAAAGACTCTGGCAACGGGCTAAGGTTCCAGGCCGTCTGCTGAGGTATCTGGTCTGCGTTAGAGAGGTCTTGCTGGAGGAATTCATAGTCGGGATCATAGTGGTCTGCAGTTACAACAGGGGAAAAAGAGACCCGTTAGCCACAGGCCCTGCAGGAGCAGCCAGCTCCCCCCGCCCGCCTCTCGCCGGCTCGCTCATGGGTGTGTGACAAAGACCTGTCTCCAGGGCTTATTTTATATTCACATGTTATATTCTTCATTCTTCTCCCTGATTATAAAAGCAAACCAGATGGGAATATGGCTGTTTGCTATACTTTTATTTTTTACATTTCTTATTTAAAAAAAAAATACACAACCATTACGGAAACTGTGGCAAATTACATCAAGAAAATAAAAATCACCCACAGTACCATAATCTAACTGTACTTTCTATTTACATTTTGAAGTATTTCCTTAAATGACTTTTTTGCCTATACAATTCCTTTTTGAAAAAGCCTAACTGAGGGCCACGCGGTGGCTCACGCCTGTAATCCCAGCACTCTGTGAGGCCGAGGCGGGCCGATCAGTTGAGGCCAGGAGTTCAATACCAGCCTGGCCAATGTGGCAAAACCCCGTCTCTACTAAAAATACAAAAATTGGCTGGGCACGCTGGCCCACTTTGGGAGGCTGAGGTGGGCAGATCACCTAGAGTTCAAGACCAGCCTGGTCAACATGGTGAAATCCCGTCTCTACTAAAAAGACAAAAAAATTAGCCGGGCGTGGTGGCACACACCTGTAATCCCAGCTGCTTGGGAGGCTGAGGCAGGAGAATCACTTGAACCCGGGAGGCGGAGGTTGCAGTGAGCCCAGATCATGTCACTACACTCCAGCCTGGGTGACAGAGTGAGGCTCTGTCTCAAAAAAAAAAAAAAAAAAAAAAAAAAAAGAAACAATTGAGAATACTATGTAAATGGTCCTGTACTTTTTCTAGTTATCAATATGAGTGATTTTTAATAGCTACAGATTATTCCAGCAAATGAATGTACCATAATTCATCTGATTTCCTACCAATGAAAATCTTGCTATTAATCACTGATTATGCTCCTAGGATACATTCTCAGAAGTGAAAATATCTAGTTCACAGGATACGAACAGCTTCCTGCTCTCTAAGCCCCCTGCCCAGCAGACTCGGAGGGGCCCGCACAGTACACATTCAGCACTGACTAACGAGAAGGCCGGCTCGCGCGGCTCCCTCCCCTTCAGCCTCTGTCAAGTGTTGTCAGGACCCCCACCCCTTTGTTTAAAGCTCTCAACACAAATGGCTCTTAATTTTGGTAAAGAGAGTCAAATTACTCACTGACAGATGAACTAACAGTCACCGCTTGAATATCTAGGCTGTGGTTTTACATTGTGATTTCATTTACATGCTCAACTTCCTTGGGAGGCAGATACTGTTATCCATATTTTGCAGATGAGGAAGCTGAGGCTCAGATTTTAAACAAGTCAGCCAAAGCCACGTAGTCAATGATTGCATGACCTGGGACTCCCACCCAGGACTGTAATGGCCCCAGAGAAGCCACCGAGACACGATGGAACAGGAGGATGGTGGCGGCTCACCTAGTGTTTCACAGCTTGTGTTCCGGGAGCACTGCCCACTGTCCCTGTCCAGAGAGGACAGCTGCTCGTCTGACTTGCTGAGCTTGCCTATGCTGCTGCAGGGGGAGAGGCGGGGCGACTCTCCACCATATGAGTGGCTGCCTCCTGACAGTCGCCTCTGTGCGTAACAGTCAACATCAAAATCCTCAAGTGGAAAAAGAAAAACAAAGCCAAATCACTTCTGAGAAACGGTGGCACAGACCAGGGGTGAGGCAACCGGTGCATTTACTTAGAGAAGGAAATACTGCCAGGCGAACTCAGAAACCACCTCTGACGTCAGTAGTCGAAGGACACATACAGCTGAGAAGCAGCCATCTGGAGTTTGTGGGGGGTGTGGCCAGGGAGGGCCCTGGGGCTGGACTCACCTATCCCCAGGAGACGCCCTTTGGCTCTGCCCTCCCTGCCCTGACCCTTATCCCCATATGGGAACTTGGACCGTGTCCTGGAGAGAGAGGGATGGGTACAAGGTCTCGCACTCCTCGATGTGACAAACACCAGCGCCTGAAGACCATGGGTTTCTTTCAGCTTCAGGAGCCACATCCCTGAGCCCCCCACCCCCTCCCTGCCTTCCCATGCAGGGAACAGGGGCTGCATTACCTGCCTATTGATTCCAACAGGCAAACTGGAGCCACTGGTGGCTCGGCTCATGGGGGCCACCACAGCCACTCGGGTAGGGGACGGCGCCGACTGTCTTTTCTTGGGTGGCAATGCTGGTGGAGGACTGAAACAGACCGAAACGTCCAGGCAGACCAAACCACACTCACCAAAGCTCTTCAGCGTGATATTGGGGTACAGGATGTGGGGTTCTTTCATTACTAGACTCTCCACACCCAATGTTCACACTTCAACTCCTGCCTACTCCCCTCCGCCAAAATAAAACCTGTAAATACCAAATGAACAAAAAAGAACAACCCTTTCTTTTTCTTTCATAATAAATCATACCATGTCTCCCTGGGCTGAGGGCACAAGGAGGCCTTCAGGAGAGCTCAGGGTGGCCAGCGAGGGCCGGCGGGGTGGGGACAGCTCCAGAGTCAGCCTCCCAAGGGGGGCCAAGCCCTCAGCGCTGAGGGGAAAGGGCCCGAGCCCTGTCTTCCTCCCTTTCTTTCTCATTCTGCCATGGGAGGCACTGGACAAATAGGAAGGTAATTACCTATTATCAACCACCCGAATGCCAGGCAGAGGAGGCTTGGGGGGCGCGACCTCTTCATCCGTGGCATCTGGGAGGAGCTCAGTTGACTGTGACATCCCAGTCGTCTTGTTTAGGATCTCTACCTCGCGGTCTGTCAGGGGGAGCTCTGCTGGGCTGGAGAATTGGGAAGAACTTGGGGTTACAGAAGGTCAAAGGCGGGACAGAGCACACACAGGCCCTGAGAGGGTGAGGACGTGACCAGGAAGAACACAGTGGGTGAGGTGGGGCTGAAGAGCAGGCTCCCTGGATATAGAACCCTGGGGTTCTGGTTTGGTTGCTAATGAGCTACTGGAGCTTGGCTGTGCCCCCAACTTTGCACCTCAATTTCCTCATCTGAAAATGATCTAAGGGTTCTCTAAAATGCTCCAGGCCGGGCGCAGTGGCTCACACCTATAATCCCAGCACTTTGGGAGGTCAAGGCGGGCAGATCACTTGAGGTTAGGAGTTTGAGACCAGCTTGGCCAAGATGGTGAAACCCTGTCTCTACTAAAAATACAAAAATTAGCTGGGCATGGTGGCGTGCACCTGTAGTCCCAACTACTTGAAAGGCTGAGGCAAGAGAATTGCTCTAATCTGAGAGGAGGAGGCTGCAATGAGCCCAGATCGCACCACTGCACTCCAGCCTGAGCCACAGAGACTCTGTCTCAAAAACAAAAAAAAAAGCTCCAAATTTATGTTTTATATTTTTACCAGGAGCTTGGAGTAGAGATGAATATAAACCTTTACAACCATCCATGTCATCCTCAGTTTACTCTTGATCAAACAAGAGTGCTCTCAAGTCAAAGCACCCAAACCCAAGCCTTTAAAAGTTCTTTGTCATTATGAAACGAAGCTGCCCAGGAAAAGCACTGGTATGTGTCACTGGATGCGCTCACAGAAGATCCTTGGAAACAGTCATGCTGAAGGGTAAACTTGAGACAGGGCAATACTTCAAGCCTGTGTGAAATATACACACACTGCTAACCACTGAAAAAGGAATATGGGCCTCCAGCAGCCCACCCTCATGCTGCCCACCCCACCGGGCCCTATCCTTGTCAAGTGCAGACTTTGCCACTGAGCGTGACACCCGCGACACGAGGGTTAGTCAGCACCTACCCATCAGGCTTGCTGGCAGGGGAACTGGGCTTCACGGGGCTCGTCGGAGACGGACGTCCCTGCTTCTCGATGGTGAGCCTGACCAGCTCCTACCCCCACAAGAAAAAGGCAATGAGCAAAGCTCCCGTCACCACTGAGTTTCCACCAGAAGGCAGGCAGGTGCTGTCTGTCCTCTGCTGCTGAGTCTCATTTCTGTGCCTACAGATTCCCCACGCACCATAAACGCAAGTATCACTTGCCTTAGGTAATCTGCATGACTTCCCAAATGTCCCCTGCCCTCCAAAAATACCTTCATGGCATGTCAAGTTTCAAATGCGTAAAGGCACTTCCTCTTGGAAGGGGAAATGGCAAACCCCAGCCTCTCAAAATGATTGTTTATCACACAAATTAAAATACTCATCAGAACAGGTTCCCAGTCAGTTTGTTGGGGAATAACTCTGTTCCTAGTTCTCTAAAGCCATTAGATCATATGCACGATGATGGCATGGGTGGTTTCCCAAGGCGAGCTGGCCACAGGTGTGGTGGAGCTGCTAGCTGGTGGGGGTGGGGTGAGGGCTGGCTGGGATCCTTGTCAATGGAGAGGGAGTTAAGGGGAGATAACCCAGCAAAGAAATCACTTTAGAACCATTAACTGAGAAAAACAGAAAAGAAAAATAGCCTTTTTCAAATCGTAGCAAAAGAAAAAAAAGGGAAGACATAAGTGCCCATGTGTTTTTTTTTTTAAATTAGAATGCATTTTTTCCCAGTTTGATGAGTTTTGACAACTGCATATACCCAAGTAAGCGCCACTAAAAACACAAAGAACATTTCTATCACCGTCTCCAGCCAATCTGCCCCGCCCCAACTGTTTAACTTCTATTATCATAGATTACTTTTGCCTGTCCTAGAACTTGATATAAATGGAACCATATCATACATACACTTTTGTGTCAACCTTCTTTTTAAAAACAGCTTTATGGATATATAACTCATATGCCATTAAATTCACCCATTTAAAGTGTACGATTCAGTGGTTTTTAGTCTGTTCACAGAGTTGTGTGACCATCAACACAATCAATTTTAGGACTTCTCATCACCCCATAAGGAAGCTCCGCATTCCCCTCGACCCCCAGCCCCTGGCAGCTGCCAATCCATTTCCTGTCCGCACATCTTTGCCTGCTCCGTCCCCCGAGCTCAGCGTCAACAGCTGTGCTTCGTGTGGGCGAGGCGCCTGCTGCTCGCTGCCAGCAGTGTTCCCACTCGTGGATGCACCACAGCTTCTCCCTCCACCTTCCTGTTGCTGGACATCTGGCCTGGCCAGGGCCTGCATGTGTGTGATGAGGGGCTTCCAGGCTTTCAGCAGAAAGCTGTTTCCAAGTTACAGAGGAGGTGGCAGCGGATGCCAGTGGGCAACACAGTAACCAGAGACCCTGAACCAGCGGCTGCCAAGCCTCTCCAGACTCAAAAAAGCACCACACACAAAAAAGGCAGCGTATGCTGCAAATAAGGCAAAGAGTCAGTTACCATCCTTTCCAGCGCAAGGGTTCTTTCGAAAACAAAAAAACTAGAAGGTGAACACGCCGAAAAAAATATCAAACAAGAAATTTACAGATACCAATGGTCAATAATCATAAGACATTCACCACCTTGGATGGTAATAAAATAGAAACTTCCAGACATGGTAGGTGGGAGCACCACTTCAGACAGCCTCTCCAGAGGGATGACTTATCAGTATATATCAAAAGCCTTAAATATTTGCATTATGAGAATTTTGCACCAGGTGCAGTGGCTCATGCCTATAATCCTAGCACTCTGGAAGGCTGAGGCAGAAGGACGGCTTGAGCCCAGGGGTTCGAGGAGCACTGAACTGTAATCACACTCCAGCCCAGGTGAGAGAGGTGAGAGATTGAGACTCTCTCTTTTTTTTTTTTTGAGACAGAGTCTCGCTCTGTCGCCCAGGCTGGAGTGCAGTGGTGCGATCTCAGCTCACTGCAAGCTCCGCCTCCTGGGTTCATGCCATTCTTCTGCCTCAGCCTCCCGAGTAGCTGGGACTACAGGCACCTGCCACTGCACCCGGCTAATTTTTTTTTTTTTTTTTGTATTTTTAGTAGAGACGGGGTTTCACCGTGGTCTCGATCTCCTGACCTCGTGATCCGCCCGCCTCGGCCTCCCAAAGTGCTGGGATTACAGGCGTGAGCCACCGCGCCCGGCCAAGACTCTGTCTCTTAAAAAAAGAATCCTGTCCAAGAAAAATGTCATGAATGTGTGCAAAAATTAAACCACAAAAGATGGTTATCACAGAATATACATAAGATTACGTATCATTAATGTGGTAATTTTGAATAGTTCAACATCCCACAATTAAATATTTGATAATATGTATCAATTACATAAGTCATGATAGAACCAGACAATGGGCTGACCATTACGTTGTTATTAAAGACAAAGTCACAACAAGAATATGCACTGTATCGTGGAAAGATGCTGTAATACACTGAGTGGAAAAACAGTTCTAGGTGATATGCTGGTTTATATTGCACGTTTTGTAAACAAAGCCAAATCAAGAATATATGTAATACAAAAAATATGGCTATGAAACACCCTTTTATCTTGTTCTTTTTCTATTTTCTAAATTTTCTGAAATGAACATATATTACTTCTGAAATAATAATTAAACAAGCAACCCCGCCCTCCAAAATTAAATGCATATATCAAACTCTTGGGCTCAAGTGATCCTCCTACTTTGGCCTCCCAAAGTGCTGGGATTACAGGTGTGAGCCACCACGCTCAGCCAGGCATATCCACAGATGCAGGTTCAGTGTTACCCTACTCTGTGACAGTTGTTACCCCATTCAGATGTCTATTCTTGAAGAAATGTGGAGAAGCAAAATCTCTAAGAGCCAAGTACTAGCAAGAAAGGAGAACCTTAATACTTGCATGTTAGCACAATTTAGAAGTTAATATTTAAGGGACAGCCATCTAGCTGGTGATTACAAACAGGACAAGATGGAGGAGGAGAGACTACACAATCAGTGAAGAGAGCAGTTAGAAAAGAGGCAGCTCCCTTGCACCCTACCGCCTGGAGGAGGGAGGACGGTGGGAGAAGCAGCTCTTCCTAAAAGCACAACGCCAGGCCCCAAAGAGGAGCATCACGGCCTTAGAGGGAGTTAAAGAGCGCCAGAACACAGTGCCCTGGATGCCCCACTTTCAGATTCACTCTTCTTTACAAGCAGGGCAAAAGGAACAGAGAGAAGTCTGTGTTGTTTGCATCTGTTGATACAGGAAAACATTCCTGGTTCTTCATTGATTCATGAGCAATTATAATTAGATCGTCATCTTTCTGGAGAGGCAGCTGTGAACTCAACTAATGAACAATGGCAAAACAATCCTGGAATGACAGGCACACATGTGCAGACATGTGCCCAAATTCAAAGATGACGTCATGATCCCAATGACGCTCCCTACACTAGCTCGCGTGGCCTAGGCTTGAAAAGACTATAAAAGGGGCGGGCTGCTTTTTAAATTTACCACCTATCTCCCTGCCTAGACAGAAGGTCTTTAGTCTTGACTTGCCTTAACTATCACAGAGGAGAAACCTTAAAATGTGCACATATCTGGCTACTGTGCTAACACCCTAATCTCATTGAAAGTTGACCATTTATAATTTGGCATGAGCCCAACACCTCCTACTGAAGGTAGAATTTTTTGAGAGGGATGTCAGACTTTTTAATTGTCCTGAGGCACGAGTTAGAAAAGACTGAAAAAGGCCAGACGTGGTTGCTCATGCCTGTAATCCTAGCACTTTGTGAGGCCGAGGCAAGTGAATCACTTGAGCCCAGGAGTTCAAAACCAGCCTGGGCAACATGGTAAAAATCTGCCTCTACAAAAATTAGTTGGACGTGGTGGCATGCACCTGTGGTCCCAGCTACTCCGGAGGCTGAGGCTGGAGGATTGCTTGAATCCAGAAGGCGGAGGTTGCAGTGAGCAAGATTGTGCCGTTGTTGCACTCCAGCCTGGGCGATAGAGTGAGACTGTCTCAGAACAAAAAGAAGAAGAGACTACTCTAGAGTCTATGTCTACAGCAGTGACTGGAAACTGCCGACTGGTCACTGAAAATCAGTTTTCAAAAGTCAAAAACGGTATTTGGAAAAGTAGCTCTCCAAATATGTAATACTTTATTTCCATGTTCATTTTATTCATACTGAAAATGATCATAGGTCGGGCGCGGTGGTTCACGCCTGTCATCCCAGCACTTTGGGAGGCCTAGGTGGGCGGATCACTGGAGGTCAGGAGTTCAAGACCAGCCTGGCCAACATGGTGAAACCTTGTCTCTACTAAAGATACAAAAATTAGCTGGGCATGGTTGTACGCGCCTGTAATCCCAGCTACTTGGGAGGCTGAGGCAGGAGAATCACTTGAACCCAGGAGGCGGAGGTTGCAGTGAGCCCAGATCATGCCATTGCACTCCAGCCTGGGCAACAAGAGTGAGACTCCGTCTCAAAAAAAAAAAAAAAAAAAAAAAAAAGAAAATGATCACAGAGAAGGAAGGGCTTAAATAACAGTTGACAAGTCAAAATACAGCTCTGGTGCTCAAGTAACACAGTAAATTACCTGGTGAAGTTGGGAAGAGGTGGGGTACCGATTTCAAAAGATCATGCTGGGATATCTCTTTGGCCTCGAGTGGCTCGGCCCCCCAGCATCCAGGTGCTAGGCTGGGTGTGGTTCTCAGAGAAAAACATTGAGGGTCTTTAAATTCCTCAGATTTCCTTCCTTCAAGAGTCATAATCAGCTCTGAGCTACAGGCTCCCGGTGGAAAAGCAGCCCCAGAGCCAGATGAGGGGACAGGGGTCTATCTTTTACCTGAGATGATAAGACTACCTGGAAAAGAGCCATAATCACTGTCAAAAATGGTCACTGTGAGCCGTTAGAAATGAACACTTCTCCAGGTAACACTGTTTCCCCACTGCCTCCTGGTCACCTAGTTCTTACCAGGTACTTTATATACTTTATCTTACTGAATTTCCTCAAATCTTCAGGGTAAATATTTTAAAACCTACTTGAAACTCAGGGAAGTAACTTGCCCAAGGTTATACAGCTTGAACAAGTGGCATTTATGTGGAGGTTTAAATGATAAATGCTACCATGCATTCAGGGACAAAACCAAAGTAATCCTGTTTTACAACCCATGTTCAATCATTTGAAAAAAAAAAAAAGAGGAAAGACTCCCTTGAACAACTGAATGGGTTACGTAAACAACGGTGAGTCAGTGTAAGAACGTCCAACGCCCCTCCTCCAAGTGGGCTGACAACATCCTCATGAGTGCATTTCCCTTCTGCACAGCTCCAGTCCCTCCCAGCTGGGGGAGGCTCTCTCACGCCACCAGGGCATGGGCTTTTAAGGTGTCCCAGGCCTGAAAGGGACGGTGAGAGAGGCTGGAAGCCAGCTAGCTTGGAGGTGGGAGTGCAGAGAATCCTGTCCTCCCATGGGAGGCAGCAGCTCAGGGTGTCATGGTGCACAGGAGCCGGGGAGGGGGCAGCAGGTTGGGGGTGGGAATCACAGCCTTGCCACTGACTACTGCTCCACCTGAGCCTGAGTCTCCACACCTGTGAAAGGGGCAAGGGGCAGCCATTTATGCCTATTATGGAGGGTTGTCATGAGTATTAAGTGAGGACAGTGTACAAAAAGCACCCCATAAATGTTAGCTGTTATTACTATTAGACAATAACAACAAATGCCAGCGTCACAGTGTCTCGATCACTCTCACTGTCTGTAATGACTCCAGCATGAAAAGCTCCCAGCCACAGGCAGCTCCTGTCCATCCTCCAGATGCTGGCCTGTCTCTTCCTTGGGGAAGCGTCTCTGACCACCCTGAGAAAGGAAGGTCATCATACCCTTTCATCACACCCTGTGCCATCTTCCTTGGCAGCGCTATACCACATGGGTGTGCCTTTGTGTTTACGGTCCTGCCCCCCTTAGACTGTAAGTGCCATAGGGCAGGGTCTGTGCCAGCTTTGCTCATATTTCCTATTATCTCTCATTGCCTGGCATATAGAAGGTTCTCACTAAATGCTTCTTGAATAAATGAAACAAAACTGAATTTGTAAAGCTTCTCACCTAGAGAATCTTTGTTCTGGCTAAAATATTTTTAAAGCAATTGTGGAAAAGTTATTTGCTCTGACATTGACAAGTTCATAACCTATAGGTTTCTCTCTCCTTTTTTTTTCCCCAGTCACTTTGAAAAATCAAGGAAATTTTTCTTTCAGACATGCCTTTCTACTAATGAAGTGGTGCTGTAATGACTCCATAGAGGAAATGTACTTGGGACTGCCACAGAGCTTTATGAGTGGAAACTCATTCTCCTCTGTTTTGGCTGCTCTAACTTGTGAACATCTCATCAGAATCAATTCGATAGAAGGAAACCTTAACAATGTTACCTGAAGAATAACAATTTTCAATAATAGCATTTTCAGAAGCCTAGACAGGAACAGCAGGGGTGGGTGGGCCAGAGTGACTCAGGGCTGCTGATAAAGCCCCAGGCCACGTTCCACTCTGCTCTGCTGAACCCAGTGTGCTACTGTGAGGACCAGATATGATAATGTACGTGCCTGTCCTCCAAATCCTGGAAAGGGCCATCAGCTCTGATCACAACAGCCACCCTGGGCTACATCCTTGAGTCTCGCTGCCCTAAGCAGATACTAGTAACTTTTTGGAATGAAGGGAACATGGGGAGGCTGGGCGCAGTGGCTCACACCTGTAATCCCAACATTTTGGGAGGTCGAGGCGGGCAGATCACCTGAGGTCAGGAGTTCGAGACCAGCCTGGCCAACATGGTGAAACCCCATCTCTACTAAAAATATAAAATTAGCTGGGTGTGGTGGCTCACACCTGTAATCCCAGCATCTCGGGAGGCTGAGGCAGGAAAATCACTTGAACCCAGGAGGCAGAGGTTGCAGTGAGCCGAGATCGCACCACTGCACTCCAGCCTGGGTGACAGAGTGACATTCCGTCTCAGAGAAAAAAAAAAAAAAGGAGAACATGGGAGAATTCAGAGGAAAATATTGATGTCATCTAGGCAAGCCCCTTTTACATGAACTCTATGGCCCCAGCAGACACGTCAGCCTCCCCTTAAATGCTGCTGGGGTTGGAGGGCCACCCAGATGTCCTGGCAAACACATATTTCATTCTGGAGCAATTTGCAATGCTGAGCAATGCTTTCTCAGCCTCTCTCTATAATTTAAGTCCTTTGGGGGTCCTTATTCTACTCTCCAGAGCTGCTGGGGAATGTTAAGCCAAGGAGGCAGTTTTCAGGAATTTGTTAGCCTCGTTGAGTGGGAAGGAATTTTTTTTGACCTGGGGTAAACACCTCAGCTATAATTTTGGATTGAGGGGTCCAGAAAGGAGAGGGACACAGGTTTTTCAAGCCAAGAGATCTGTTTACAAAGCATGCATCTAGCACCACATAATTAATAATAAATAGCAGCTAAGGCCTGACTGCTCCGTATGTGCCAGGTGCTGTTCTAGAAGCATTATGTGTATTGACTAGTGTAATCTTCCCTATAACCCTGAGATGCACGATGCTATTATTATACCTATTTCATAAAAGAGTTACTTAAGGTGCAGAGCAGTTGAGTAAACTGTTCAAGTTCATAGACTACGAAGTGGTGAACTTGGGATTCAAATCTAGCCAGGTGCTAAGGCTGGCCCCTTTCTACTACATTATATGGCCTCACACAACAGCGGGGTTTCCACTGTCCTGCTGCCTGCAGCCCTGGCCCTGACCCAAAGGCCCTTACCTGGTTCATGTCCAACATTCTGTCTTGCTTCCCATCCGCTAGGACTTATTTTCTCTATTAGGATTTGTCCCCCTGACCCCAATTCCAGACCTTCTATGGCCTTTGCTTCCCATCTTAACTAGGATTCACAATTTCTTATGCTGTTTCTGACTTCTCTGGATAGCAAATACACAGACCACATCACGGATATCAAGTAAATACAGAAAGTTCCATTTCTTACTCATCTCACTCCTGCTTTTCTACCAAGAATCCTAGAAGCTCCCAGAACATGAAAAGGTAGTGCTGATATGACATGCTGGGAGCTTTGCTTAAAGTCATTGTGAAAACGATCTCCATTGCATTTTGTCTAGCTGGCAAGCATGCTCAGCCAGCACGATGCTACGAAGACTCACTAAGATTTAATGCAGTGCTCAGTAAGGGCTGACTGCTCTAGACAGCTTTTCCCTAAGAGCCATTCGCACCAGTCCTGAGAGAAGTAAGTAGTTATGGGATAGAGCGCACCAACACCAGAGACGCAGAAAGACATTCTAATGTTTGAAGGTCAGGAGCAAGCTCTTATGTGACAAGCACCAGCAGGCAGGCTGCTCTAAGTCCCTGACTGGGACTGTCTGGAACCTGCACCGGTACCTTCACTCCATCCAGCACAGCCTTGATGACCCCCTTCACAGTCGTCACCATCTCCTTGTCTTCTGAGTTCACGCCTTCCAGCATCACTTGGTCAGACCAGCGAATGAGGTTGGCGAGGCTTTGGTACACTCGGCTATAGCAGGAAGAGAGGGCTGAGCTACAGGGAAGAGAAGAATGGAAAAAAAGAAAATCTAAAGCATGACCATCACTTAGCACAGAGCCAGCTTCTCGGTGACAAGGGTGTGTTTCTCCAACTTTCTTTGTGCAAAATCCATACTGCCTTTTAATAAGCAAACTTCTCCCATGAGACTTTTTCCATACATCCAACAAAGATTTTGTGGAGCTTTATATTCTAATCTGTGTTTCAAAATTTTTTTCATTTCCCAAATGTAACATTACAAAAATTCCACCACGATAGTTAAGATGCTTTTTCAAACTTCACATCCTTCTACAAGATTCTGATCACATCTCTCAAGGAGTGCCCCATCTTCCCCTCCTTCTAGCTGCTAATCACTAGACCAGGTCCAAGCAGTGTATACTGATTGTTAGCAATTAGAATCAAATCTATTTTAGATGTGCCACAAGGAGCCGACAGGTTTGCGGAATTTTAACAGTCATGAGCTCAAAACAGGTCTGCAGTTTATTAGAATTCCTCCGTCACGGGGCCAGCTTCATCATCTTCTGCACTATAACGATGAGACAGACGTCAGGAGCGCACGAATGAAGACTATTTTGAGAATAGCAAATCAGGGGTGACGGGGCCTGTGATGGTGGTGGGGATGTGAGGATGGGAACGCAGGTGAGTGTGTGTGTGTGTGTGTGTGTGTGTGTGTGAGAGAGAGACCACGCTACCAGCTACACTGTGATGCCAGCGCCCACAGACAGAAGCCCTGAGTGCCTCAATGATTGTAGAGTAGCAGCCGAATGGAGAATTTTTACATCTTTCACGTATTTTTAAATAACTAAAGATAATTTTCCCTAGGAATTGTGGAAAGGATTATTTTTCCATTTCAAACAATTATCACAGAGGAAGAGCAACAATATAGAAAATTTATGTGCTGCAACCTCCTCTACTCCAAAAAAACACACAAAAAACAAAAAAACACCCCAAAATGATGCAGATTTAGGAGCCAAAGATATAACTTTGAGGAAAATATATAATATTGTAAGATATGATTAAAACAGGTTCTAAAAACAAAGCTATTTAGAACAAAAATGTGAACCAAATAGTGCTTTAATGAGAAGCTCTTCAGAATCAGGCAAGGAGGAAACAATTTTTGCAAGGATCTAAAGTTTCCATTTAGCCAGGCGTTCCACTCTGCATGTTCCAACAGGAGAAAAGGGTCGGCAGGAATGAAAGCAAACTTTTCAAGTCCATTAGAAACAAACAAACAAAATTCCTAAAGGAGCCCTGAGAAAGCCAGGATTGGGTATTTTAGAAGATTATATGGATGAAAAGTATTTGTTGTTGGAACTACTCTCTTAGGAAAGAGGACGGAGAGGGGAAAACAAAGACCCTGCAGTCTCTCCGGGGGTTGGACCAGAGCTGATCTGATCCTGCAGGGGAATGTGCTTCTAACGGCTGGGCTGGACCTCGCTCTGCTTCCTGGCAAGGCCAGGTGAGGCATCTTGAAAGAAGCCTGCTGCCTTCCCCTGATGTGCTGTAGGAGGATTCCACCGGAGAAAGCATCTCACTGTCACACTGCTGGTAACAGTGAGGTGAAAGAGGGGAAACACTTTTATTCACTACTTCCTTTCTACCTGCATTGGATGCTAACGTTTCCCGGAAGGTGCTGGAATTATGTCCAGCCTTCCCGTCATTAGCTTGGAAGCAGAATATTCCTGTGTCAAGGGGCTAAGACATAAGAAAGGAAGGAAAGTTGAGGACTATAAAAAATGCCATCTGAGGCCCAGCTGCTGGCTCAGTTCCACAATGGAGCAAAGCCCTCCGCATGTGACGAGTGTGACTCTCGCTCTCACATGGGCCTCTGCGTGCCTCACTCGGGAATCCTCCATTCAAAGCTCATGCTAAGAGCCAGCTGCTTGTTGGAGGCCAGCCTATCACTGTCTCAGGAACCGAGGTGAGGGCGGCAAAGGGCCTGTTTGCAAGGACCCCCCACTCCCTGCCCCACGGAAGAAACGAGAAAGGACCTTCCAGCTCGCAAACTGCACTTAGGGAGGAAAGAGATAATGCAAAGCATCTAAAAGGAGCATCTGAGGAGGTATTTCCAATCACTGTGGGAGACCAAGAAAACCACCTCCACTAGCCTGGAAGAATTTCAGAAGGAAAACCCCTTCAATGGGATTAGTCAAAGGACTACCAGAAAACAAACCATATTTCATGGGTCCTTACAGCCACACCCAGGCACTTCCCATTTTCTCCTCTAGGAAATGGTTATAGACATTCAATGTCAATTAAGAGCCACCCCTCAATAGACAAAAAATACCCCCAGCCATTACCATGTGACTTCATCAGTTCTTACCCAGGGTTTGCAAGTGACCTCCAAGCAGAGCCTGGCTCTGGGAAGCAACACTTCTAGCAGCAATACACTCTGGGTGTGAGGGTCCAGGGGACGCTATCCTGGACTCTCCCAAAGAGGCTTAGCGCCTGAGGGTGCAGGGTGATCAGTCGCCTCTTCCCACTGTTCCCCTCTCGTCCATGCTCTAGGACATATACCCTCTGCCCATGACTGCCCGAGTCGCCGCCCTCCCCTCCCCGGGATACACCAGGCCCAGTGGCCTCAGTTCCTTTGCTCTTGTTCTCCTGCCCCCACTGCCAATCCAACTGCTGCTTTCCCTCAGGTCGGGCTCCAGGAACTACTCAGTCAAGAGGCTTCATCAGATCAACTCCAACACCCCTGTAACTCTCCCTTCTTCAAACTCCAACACAGCTTCCTCCCTGTACCGTAAAATAAGTGCTTTATCGTAGAACAGAGGGAGCTGATTTGTTTCAACTAGGCTTTAACTATTCCAAGGCAGAGACTACCACATGAGACTAGGTCCACAAAAACATGTTCTAAGAGGGAATCCATACATCTCGCTGTGGCATGACGTCAGCACATGCGCTCCTAGGAGCCCAGCACCGAACACTTCTAAGAGCCGGAGCTGGACTGACTCTGGGAAAGACAGTGAAGACAAGCATGCCCTGCCTCCTTCCCGTCACCAACCAGCGCCAGCGAGCTTCTGGCCAAAAGACCACAGTCTCCACGCGTCAGCTGAAACTCCAGGGAGGAAGCCCCAGGGCAGAGAGTTTCTTGTAAATAAAGACACTATTTGCTTTATCCCCCAGAAGAAGAAAACTATGAACTTCATTGCCAAGTTCTGAAAGCAGTTCATAAAAGCTTAGCCTCATGGGGCTAAATGAACACTAAGTCATCTTGCGGAATTGCGACAGAGAAGCATTTATCCTGAACAGGTACCATGGAAGAAAAACAAAACATGTGCCAGCCTCTTAAGAAAAAGCTCCTGCTAGGCTTTCATTTCAGATTACATTTGGTAGTGCTTTTCTTTTTACATTTAACAATAAATACAGGACAAGCTGCTAGCTAACCTTTAAGAGGAAAATGTACTCCAGCAATAAAAGTATTACCCAACAAAAGCTTCTTGGGGCAAAGGCCGGCTCCATGTCCCCTGCAGCGAGTGCTTGTAATTTTATGTTGCCTCGGCATCTGTTTTAAAATATGTTTAGCTTTCTCATACCAGAAGCAGGGCTCACGAACCCTTGACAAGGTTCCTAATACTACACCCTACCCGACTGGCTCTAGCTGGTGGCCAGAGACAGAAACTTACAGGCATCTTTGCCCGCCAGCAGGCTAGCTCCTGGCTTACCTACTGATCCTTTAAACAGACCATTTGCCTGAGAACTTAAAGCAACCACCTCTTAGTCAAAGGCTGCGCCTCCTGAACACGTGCCTGCTTGCTTTAAACCCACCAATTAAAGCTCCCTGCAGGAGGCCTGTTTGGATAAGGCCCGCCCTGGACCCAATAACCCCAAAAGCGGCGCTGGTCCATAGGGTCCCTTCTCTCTCTCCCAGCTTGTGCTTCTTCGCCTCCCTGTGCAGCCTCCAGGCTGCTGTGTAACCCCCAAGGTCTAAGGTACTAAAAAACTCTTAGCTTGTGAGCCTGCAATCCAGCCCCTGGCAGTGAAGTCTGTGAAGAGACTCATGCAGATGGAGGCCCTGCTGGTGCTCTTCAGTCTGGGCCTCTGGCGATGAGTGGAAACAGTAGCTTCCACCTGACAGATAATGAAACTCAAAAAGTTTCATTCAAAACAGGCTCCTCCCACCCGCAGTGAATCCAGGCTCCATGTCCGGGAGGCGTCCTGGCTTGACGCAGTTAAGTTCTGCAATGACCACAAACTTACACTGTGGCCACATCCCTAGGGATGGCAGAGATGTGTCCCGGGCTTCAGGAGTAATAGTGACCTCAACTCTGAGATGGCATCACGGGATAGTTGTGGGGGGAGTGGTCAGGGGAAGGATGAGGGGTGATGGAGTCCTTTTCCTGACTGTTCCTAGGAACCTTGAGTTTCCAGTGCCACCAAACCAAGATGCTTCTAAGGCTTCCATTGTTCTGACACAGCCAAAGACTTCAGAGCCACTCACCTGTGCTGAATTCGAGGATCGTTCTGCACCAGGGGTAAGATGGCCTCCAGCACCTTGCTGGCTGACCCTGGAAGCATCTCCAGTACCTTCTTATCAATTGCCATTTTGTCCACAATGGTCTTAAAGTAGCGCAGGGCACTGACAACTTCCTTCTCTTTCTCCTCCAGCCAGCTCAGGTTCTGAAAGGAGACGTTAGGCATAAGGAGGAGGAGAGAGATTAAAGGGAGCTATTTTGAAAAAATAAAGGAACATTTTCTTTAAACCAGCTTGAGATCGATAGGAATGGAAAGGCTCTTGCTACAGAAACCAAGCCAGATCATTTTTCTAAGGATTGTAATCAGGAGACAGAGGGTAGAGCTGAAGGAAGAAGGGGGCTTGGACCAAGATAGCTCATTCAGAAATTTCTGAATTCCCTTTCCAGACCCTGAGGTCTTGAAAACCACTTATCCTCCTGTCTGTCCTCATCAGCCACACTGACAGACCACCACTAACCCTGTTAACTAGAGTGAGGACTAATTTGCTGATGACTTGGAGAAGCACCAGTCAAGGCCCATGGTACATCTGTATCCTGTAAATCACATCAAGAAGCTCCAGGCTTTTGTTTCAAAGATCTGAAAGACTGTGTAAGACTGGTCCAGGGCATGAGGGGCTGAAACCCATTCCCTCAGGACTCCTCACTAGGTTCCCAGATTGTTCACCCCACTGAAGCCCCCACTCAAGGAAATGATATGCTATTCCTCAAGGGCCTGGAAGCTCCCAGGGCTAGAAGGGGCAGGAAATCTGGGGAGAAAAGGCAGAGAAGCCAGAGCAGATGACCGTGATTCTCAAGATTCAATCACGACTCATGCAGTGGGCGCTAGCAGCATTCATGGTCCCTCTGCTCCTGAGAGAAGCCCACCTGAGAGAAAGGGAAAATACAGAGCCCTGCGCTTTCCAGTGTTTAAGCCACAACCCCAAGCTTTTCTCCCTGACCGTGGGAGGCCTTGGATCCAGTTGGTGGGTCTACACACCCCTTTTGTTCTTCTCTCCAACTTCCCCTCTACTTGCCCTGATGTCAATGATCCAGGTCTCAGCTGGCTGGCAGGAAAAGGAGGCTAAGAGTAATCTACAGAAGTGGAGTCTCTGAACCTGTTCTGGTTTGGGAGGCTGTCCTTTAAAAAAAAAAAAAAAAAGAGTAGTCTACAGAATGGATAAATCCCAAAATGGACAGTGTACTCAAGTAGTCGATTACATGTCTAGTGCAAATTAAGAGGGGTGTGTATGAGGCAAACAGCCACCTGCAGGATCTCAGAGGTCTAGAGGATATAAATAAAAACTGAGGGCAAGAAGATAATTTCTAGAAAAAGGTGATTTAAACAATATACAGACAAACAAATGGTAGAAATTAATAAAAAGTGCTTATGATTCTGAATACTAGCTCTTTTCTTCTAAAATAGTGCCGATTGGCCAGGTGAAGTGGCTCACACCTATAATCCCAGCACTTTGGGAGGCCAAGGTGGGCAGATCACTTCAGCCCAGGAGTCAGGACCAGCCTGGGCAACATAGTGACACACCGTCTCAATTAAAAAAATAAAGTTTAAAAAAAGGTGCAGAATATCATTTTAAATATAAAAATGTTCAATAGTAGAGGCTTTTATTTCATGGGAATGTCAAAAGAAAAATATATAAATGGCTACTTTAGTCAGACAATGCACAAAAGACCCAGTCATTTCTTTCATTGAGTCTTTCCCACAAGGTGTCCTGCAGACTAGAAGACACAATTCTCCCATGGTGGGGGAAGTGCCCTTCCTCATCCCCATCCCTGGGTCCTGCACCCTGGCTTTATTTTTCTCTTTTCACTACCTGACAGATTTGTTTACGGTCTGTTTCCAAGAGGCTGGGCGCTTACTTTTCCACCTCGTGGACAAGAGCTCTCTGCTTCATGTCATCTGCCCGGGGCAGGGAGGAACCTGAGTGTGAAGGAGTCGCAGTGCCGACAGACCTCAGATGTGCCTAAAGCCATGGTCAACCAGGCAAGAAGAGGACTATGACAGTAACACTGCCACCTTAGCACATCAGAAAGTGTTAGAGACCAGCAATGATGAAACTTGCTGAGGAACAGGAAACATTTTAAGAAAATGTGTCATCAGGTCACACAGGGAGAAAGTGGCTAATCTGAAGATGGGAGGCACTCGAAAGTGGCAAGGCACTTCAGAGCAGAGAGTTTTTCTGTCATTGCAGAGAGATCAAATCAGCTGTTTAAGAGTCAGGCTGTCCTGGGCTCCTCCTAAAGGAGCCAACAATGTAGCACAGCCAGGCTGCCTCCGTGAACTCAGATTCTACTCCCAGAATTAATGGCCTCTGGGTGTTGTGCATTCTCCAGCCTTTCAGCTGTCAAGCTGGGGATCCTTGTGAATGCAGCCAGCAGTGAGAGTTCACAGCCACACAGCCACATCCAGCACTGGCTCGGACTGGGGACTCCATGCCTTGGCTTTGCTGAAGCTGCCTCGCTGCATAACCCGAGGGCAGGTGCGTTCACCTGCGCACCCCTCCTGCTGTGGGGGATGGATTGCCATCATTGGTCCACATAAGCCTGGAAACTAAATGAGGCTGTCCGTGTCTGGGGATGGCTTAGAGACAAAGCCAACTGCTGGGCTTTGGGCTTGTCACCCACAAAATGGGGAGAATAACATCTGCCCCGTGTAACTAAAGAGGTGACTGTGGGGGACTGAATGAGAAAGCATATGAAGTGGTTCACAACATTTAACAGGCACTATACCAACACCAGAGACCATATACCTGCCAGTAATAAAGCAGAGAAAGAGGGCCTAGGATGGGAACATCTGAAAGGGAAGAAAGAGGCCAGATCGTAGCTACCACTCATCGGGGACATGGAGGCACCCACTGTGCTATGGATTTTATATAGGCTATTTTGTTTAAAGGTTACAACCACCCTGTGAAGTGGATACTATTATTTCACAGGTGGGGAAACTGAGGCTTAGTGGGACGTGGGGGAGGTTAAGCAACTTGCCTAAGGCCACACAGCTGTAGTGACAGATATGGAATTTGAACTTGGTCTGTCTGAGTTCAGAGCCTGGAGAGATAGAGAGGAGAATAAAGACCAGATCAGAAATGTGCTGAAGTTAAAAAGTTTACTTGAGATCCCCTGGTCAAAAAGATCTCATTTAACAAACGAGTAAACTAAGACCCCGATGGCAGAGATGGACATAAAATCCCCATCGCCTTTCCTGCCCCGTGGGCCATATTCATTTCTGACGCCCAGGCTGTGGCTCCACAGCCATGTGCTGCCACAGGAGATGGCGGGGAAGAGGGTGAGGAAAACTGGCCCTCCTCTCCAGACAGTTCTCTCCCCACAGCCGTGCCGCAGCCGGGACACCCGACTTGCTCTGTCACTCCTTGTCCCATCTGCAGCCTGGGTGCCTCCCCTCTCCACAGCAACATAAGCCTCATTTCCACACTATAGGACAGTGTACCCTGAAAATGTGGGTAAAGCCAGGGAGTGAGGGGGAGGGCAAGTCACAATCAGTATAATAAAAAACTAGAATTGCAGGATTAAAAAAAAAATGGCAATGCAACATTATTCCTATTAGTCCAGAACAGTGAGGCCTAGCAAGAAGACATGTCGAACACAGACATTGGTTACAATGAGAGCACCAAATCACCACCTGCCACCAGGCTGTCCGGCAGCAGCATCTCCCTGGAAGAGCTGAAGGGGAAAGGCTTTCAGGAATCCACCCAAGAGCACTCGGATCCAATCTCTGTCCAAATGCCCTCAGAGATGGGGCATTAACACCTCCCAGGACCCCCTGCTCACTGCTCATTGTAATTATACCTTTGGACACCCAGTATATGGCTAAATTTCCTCTACAACTTCAACACTCTGCAGCTCACTGCTAGACTTGTTAAAAGGTTGCAAAAAAGTTTAGAAGTTCATCACAATGTACTTTGAATTTTTAAATTCACTAAGAAGATGCAAGAGACTGCTAATGTGGAATCAGTCTGGGAAGACAACAGAATATAGTGAGAAAAACAGATTTTGATCAAGAAAATGTGCACCAGGGCCAACACTGTCTGCACAGTGGGAATAATAAAAGCTTCCCCACACAATTATGGTGAGGAGTAAATAAGACAGCATGTCTGAAACCACCCAGGACAGGGCTGGGGCGAGAAGGAGCCCTCGGGAAGTGGCAGCGAATCTGAATCTGTACTTTCATCTCCCTGCACTTCCATTTCCCTCGTATCTGAGCAGGGAAAGCCATGCATATGACCTGAAGTAAAATAAGAATGTACGTAATCACTCCCTAAGTGGTAAGAGAGCTAATGAATAATCAACGAGGGCAGCAGATGACAGACCCACTGCAAGGTTTCTTGGACATAATCCTCTAAGTCCACGTACTCTGGGAAGTTTCTCAATGCTTCTGGTTCTGTCCATGGGCCTCCACGAAGCAAGAGGTTCGCATTTACTTGTCCCACGCAGGTGGCTTGGGACAGAACACAGACATCCAACCCTTCCTAATGAGCAATGATGAAAAAGGGGTAACATTCCTTCTTGGGTGAAGATCACACCTACAGCTCCCTGCTACAGAACAGGTTTCTCAGCCTTGGCACTACTGACATTTTGGGGCAGAGAATTCTTTGTTGTGTGGGGGGCTGTCCTGTGTATTGTAGGATGTTTAGCAGCTTCCCAACCCCTACCCACTAGAAGCCAATAACATCTGCTTTGCCTTCCTATGGCAACAACCAAAAATGTCTCCAGACATTGCCAAATGGCCCCTGGGGTTTACAGGCACCCCACTAAATGAGCGGTACTTTAGCACTGAATTTTTCTCTGTGACCTCTCTTGGAAAAATGAATAAAGGGGAAAATCCCGGCTGGGTGCGGTGGCTCATGCCTGTAATCCCAGCACTTTGAGAGGATGAGGCGGGCAGATCACTTGAGGTCAGGAGTTTGAGACCAGCCTGGCCAACATGGCAAAACCCCATCTCTACTAAAAAATACAAAAATTAGCCAGGCGTGGTAGAGGACGCCTGTAGTCCCAGCTACTCGGGTGGCTGAGGCGGGAGAATTGCTTGAGCCTGGGAGGCGGAGATTGCAGTGAGCTGAGATTGCTCCACTGCACTCCAGCCTGGGCGACAGAGTGAGACTCTTATCTCAAAACAAACAAACAAACAAAAAAACAACAAAAACAACAAAAAGGGGGGAAATCCCAGGAATTGAGTGGCCGAACAGTTTCATATCAGAATTCACTAGCAGGATAACGTTGTTAGTAAGTGAATCATTTTACTCTGACTGCCTGGACTAGTGTTGGATGACAATTACACTCTACTTGTAGTTAATACTACATTCGGCTACAAGAGGTTACTAAACAGATTGCAATAAAAAATAACTGTGGCACAGACCAAATCTACTGTATTACTCTTCTTCAATCTGGAATTTAGATCAATCTGGCAAACACTGACTGTTTCCCTCTTGCTTGTCAGTCACCTTTCGTTAAAAGAGGGGGCAGGAAAAACCACTTTTCAACAAAAGACTTTTAGATTTAAAACCTTTATTTTCCTCCACTTTTAACTAAAATTTTAAGATATTCTGCTGGTCAACATAAAACCCAAAAATAGATGAACTGCAAAATTCAAGAATTATGTATTTAAATAACAGGCTAGTGTTTACCAGCGGCATTAAATGGATGGCTGTGACAGTAGTTCTGCTACATAGAAATTATACTTTGGATAATCACTAAAGGATTAAGAATATCTGTCTACAAGGTTTATTTTATTTTACATTGCTAAGTTTAGTTTTATTTATTTATTTTTTGGAGACAGAGTCTCACTCTGTTACCTAGGCTGGAGTGCAGTGGTGTGATCTCGGCTCACTGCAACCTCTGCCGCCCGGGTTCAAGTGATTCTCCTGCCTCAGCCTCCCAAGCAGCTGGGATTACAGGCGCCTGCCACTATGCCTGGCTAAATTTTTTTTTTTTTTTTTTTTTTTTTTGTATTTTTAGTAGAGACGGAGTTTTGTCATGTTGGCCAGGCTGGTCTTGAACTCGTGACCTCAGGTGATCCGCCTGCCTCAGCCTCCCAAAGTGCTGGGATTATAGGCGTGAACCACTGTGCCCAGCCTAGTTTTATTTTTATGTAATGAGTCAGGATTAATATTTAAATTCACGAGATATTAAAAATTCTGTCTTTCATAAAGAGGAAACGTAGCATCTCGACAATTCAGACTCTGACGTCAGACAGCCTGCATTCAAATCTTGACTTTGCCACCTTTTTGCTGTGCGACTTTGGCTAAATGCTTAATATTTCTATAGATCCAGTTTCCTTTTTGGCAAAATAACTTTTCACACATCAGGGTTGCTATGAAGACAAGTAAGAGGACACATGTAAAGCACTCAGCACTGGACCAAGAAAAGGCTCCATAAATGTTAGGGACACAGGTGTCTGGGGCTCTGAGAGCACTTGGTTATGCGGCGGTCTCACTGCACTCCACCAGCCTTGTGAGATGGGTAAGAAAGCACTCGGAGGCTTCAGAAGCCTTTTCCCTTCTAAACTATTCAGATCATCTTAGCAATTCAAGGAACAGCTGGTCTTGAGAGATGAGACTCGCCCACATCCCCTGGAACCCGTTGGACCCAAGCAGCACACCCAAACCAACCCCAGAAAGAATCCCTAAGCTTTTGCCACAAAGCTCTCTCCAAAGATCATGGGACCTTGCATAAACTCTCACTTTTATCCAAGGTCCCCTGGACTCTTTCCTGAACAATTCAGCCCACGGTCACCACCCAGTTGAACATAATAATAGTGCAATAGAGTTTTTTCCATCCCCAAAACCATGGACCAGGATTCTGCAGTAGAAGGCAAGGCAAACCCAATTGTTCTTAATGTTACACTGACCTTCTGCCTTTGAGACCTGGAAGCCACAGCACTGGTGGACATAAATTCTACTGCCTGCTGCTCCAGATCCAAGGGGAGAGGGTAGCCCTCTGGTAGAAATCTGTCTGTTGCCTCCTGGAAGAGAGGAAACCTGGATTCCTACAGAGTTTGAAATGGCTGTTTGAGGCCGAAGGGAGGGGTTGATGAAAGTCAATAGCTGTTTCAACATATCTGGCTTGACTGGCCCTGCTGAGGCCACTAACTCTTGAGGACATCTTTGGCTGTGTCTCAAGGGGTTTGCATGTTTCAGAGCACAGGCCCTAAAGCCAAATGATGGATGTTCTGGACATCACAGAGTTCCCTGTGTTTGAGTGTGCGCCAAGGCAACGTAGGGAACTGCAGGGCAGGGAGGCAGCAGCCTGGGGTGTGGACATGATGTGCTGAGCTGTTTTAAATGCCCAGAGGATGACACAGCTGGAAAAGGAGAACTGTCTTAGCCAACTGAGCTTGGCTAACGTGGCAAACACTCACCATCCTAATGGTTCTTATTTTACAAGGACACCAAAGGTCCCGCCCATGGAATGCTACGAAGTAGGTATGATGCACTGAAAGCTCAATCCCCAGGGAGGGAACATACAAATCGCACAAACTCATATTGCTGGAAGCAGGTGAGGCCAGGAGAAACATCCAGAGTCAGCTTACTTTGTTCACAGGCTTCTCTGGAATCTTTACGGACACCTCAGCTGGTTTTCCCTTCTTTGATGGCGTTCTCTTGATTTTGGGTGAGTGGAATTTGTCCATCAGCTTCATGGTGAAGGAAGAGAGATGAGAACGCTGAGAGTCTGAAAACAAAGAGGGTACTGACTGTTAGATGGGAGTGGGAAGAAGCGATGGTTCATTGACCTTTTGTGGAAATGAGCAATGTCCCCAAACCCATCTTTTTTCTTGGCTGTTGAGAGTTTCAAGGGAAAGGACGTATGGATCCATTACAAAACATTTCTGCTTACATGCTTCAATTTTTGCAATTTTCATCAAGGAATTGTGGAAATCAAAGGCAGTCCAAATAAATATGGAAAAAGAACTTGCAAATATTCCCAAGTGTCCTTACAGAGTTTGTGTGATGATCTAACTAACATCCAAGGGAACTGGCTGAGAAGAAAGAACACCCAGTCAAATCACAGATGTGTAGGATGTGAGAACTGGAAAGGAAGGCCCTTTCGCATCAACCTCTTCATTCTTTAAGAAACTGCAACAAGTGACATGTGCAAGGCTCTGGAGTTGGCAGCGGTGACTGAATCAGAAGTAAGGTGTTCAAAATCCTCTGGGCCCTGGTGAAAGACTGAAAGACTTGCCCCAAAGATCAGGAATTAAGACTAGGACATCTGTTCTCACCACTCCTATCTGACATTGAACTGGATCAGACCTAAATGTAAGAGTTACAACTGTAAACCTCTCAGAAAAAAACAGTTTTTGTGACCTTGAATTTGACCATGTTTTCTTAGATACAAAACCAAAAGCACAAGTAACAAAATAAAAAAATAGAAAATTGGACTTCATCAAAACTAACAACTTTTGCACTACAAATACTACTACTAAGAAAGTGAACAAACCCACAGGATGAAAGAAAATACAGTCATGTGTTGCTCAAGGACAGGAATAAGTTCTGAGTAATGCATCATTAGGCAACTTCGTTGTGCAAATGTCATAGAGTATACTCAAATGAACCTAGATGGGATAGCCTACTACACACCTAGGCTATATGGAATAGCTCATTGCTCTGAGGCTACACACCTGTACAGTACGGTACTGTACTGAGTACTGCAGGCAACTGTAATACAATGGTATTTGTGTATCCAACCATATCTAAATGTAGAAAAGTACGGTAAATGGTATAAAAGATTAAAAATTCCACCTGTGAAAGGCACTATCACGAATGGAGGCTGCAGGCCTAGAAGTTGCTCTGAGTAAATCAGGGAGTAAATGTGAAGGTCTAGGACACTCCTGTACACCAGGGTAAACTTTATAACCATGGCACATTTAACCTTCACTAAATTTATTTTTAAAATATTCTTTCTTCAGTAAGTTAACCTTAGCTTACTGTAACTTTTTTACTTTATAAACTTTTAATTTAAAAAAAACATTTTTATTCTTTTGTTTTTTTGAGACAGGGTCTCACTCTTTTGCTAAGACTAGAGTGCAGTGGTGTGATCACAGCTCACCACAGCCTGGAATTCCTGGGCTCAGACATCTTCCTGCCTCAGCCTCTCGAGTGGCTAGGACTATAGGCAAGTGCTACAATGTCTGGCTCAGTTTTAAACTTTTTGTAGCGATGAGGTCTCACTATGTTGCCCAGGTGGGCAAAAATATTTTCTTTCTTTATATCCTTATTCTTTAAGCTTTTTTCTATTTAAAAAATTATTATTTTTTTTTCACTTTTAAAACTTTTCATTAAAGACAAAGACAGACACACATTAATCAGCCTAGGTCTACGGGGGCAGGATCATCAGTATCACCATCTTCCACCTCCCCATCTTGTCCCACTGGAAGGTCTTCAGAGTAATAAAATGCAAGAAGCTGTCATCTCCTATGATAACAATGCCTTCTTTTATAACACCTCCTGAAGGATCTGCCTGAGGCTGTTTTACAGTTAACTTTTTTGTTTTTAGTAAGCAGAAGCATACTCTCAAATAATGATAAAAAGTAGAGTAAATCCATAAACCAGTAACATAGTCATTTATTATCAAGTACTACGTACTGTACATAACCATATGTGCTATATATTTACACCAGCATCACCACAAACAGGTGAGTAATGCATTGCGCTGGATGTAATGATGGCTACATCAGGCGAGGCGACAGGAATTTTTCAGCTTTATGATTATCTTATGGGACCATAAGATTATAATGTGGTCTGCCCTACATATGTTATAATGTGGTCTGTCACTAACTGAAATGTCGTTATGCAGAGCATGACTCTATTTAAAAATCATATGCAGCCATCCCTTAGCATCCTCAGGGGCTTGGTTCCAGGATCCTCTGCGGGGATCAAAATCCACGATGCTCAAGTCCCTTATATAAAACAGTGGAATATTTGTGTATGACACACATCCTCCACATGCTTCAAATCATCTATAGGTTACTTACGATACCAAATACAATGTAAATGTTATGTAAATAGTTATACTTTATTTTAAAATCTGCATTATTACACTGTTATTTTTATTGTTTTTCCCTGTATATTTCTGACCATGACTGAATCAGCAGAGGCTGCAGAACCCACGGATATGGAGGGTCAGCTATACCTGATAAGGGACTTGTATACAGAAAACATTACAAAATTCTTACAGCTCTAGAATAAAAGGCATGTAACCCAATGTAAAATGGGCAAAGAGTCTGAGCAGACATTCTCCAAAGAAGATACACAAATTGGCAATAAGCACATGGAAAGACGGTCAACATAATTAGCCATTAAGGAAATGTAACGCTTCACGCACACTAGGTCTAATAAAAAAGGCAGTACCAAGTGTTGGTGAGGACTGGAGAAACTGAACGCCCTACACATTGCTGGTAGGAATGTAACATGGTTTCTCTGCTTTGGAAAATGTCGGGCAGTTTCTCACAAGATCACAGAGTTGACATGTGACCCAGAAATTCCACTCCTGGGCAGATTTGCAAGAGAAATGAAAGCCTAAATCCATGAGACTTGTACAGGTAAGTCAAAGGAAAGTTCACAGCAACATTATTCATAATAGCCAAAGGTGGGAAAAACTCAAATGTCCATGTTTGTGAATGACTAAATAAAATGTATTATATCCATACAATGGAATATTATTTGGCAATAAAAATAAATTAAGTACGGATCAGCTACAACACAGTTGAACCTTGAAAACATTATTTAAGCTAAAGCAGCCAGCCACAGAAGACCATATATTGTATGATTCCATTCATTTGAAATGTCCAGAATAGGCAAATCCATAGAGACAGAAAGTAGATTGGTGGTTGCCTAAGACTGGACGGGGCAGAGATGGAGAGGGGCTGCTATAATCAGTATGGAGTTTTTTCTCCTGGTGTACAAAAGTATTCTAAAATTAGAATATGGTGATGGTTGTATAGCCCAGTGAATTACTAGAAAAAAAAAAGAACTGTACCCTTTTTGAATGAATTGTATGATATGTGAATTATATATCAATAAAGCTATTTTTTTAAAAAAGCCCACTGGCAGTCTTCCTTCATCTCAGCATTATTACAACCAGTTCCAGTGTCTGAAAACATCTTATTAATCGATTTATTTAAACCTGTCTCCTCACAAGAATGCAAGTATGGCTGGGCGCAGTGGTTCATGCCTGTAATTCCAGCACTTTGGGAGGCTGGGGCGGGAGGATCACTTGAGCCCAGGAGTTGGAGCCTAGGCAACAGAGTGAGACTTTGTCTCTACCTACAAAATATTAGCTGGGCATGGTGGTGCAGACCTGTAGTCCCAGCTACTCAGGAGGCTGAGGTGGGAGGACTGCTTGAGCCCAGGAGTTAGAGGCTACAGTGAGCACTGCGCTCCAGCCTGGGCAACAGAGCGAGACCCTGTCTCAAAAAAATAAAGGCTTGGGGGACAAGTTCCCTGAGGACTGTACCTGTCTTGTTCATGCCTGTTTTCCCAGTGCTGACATGGCAGTTGGCCCATAGAAGATAATCAGTAAACATATATTCAACAAATGAAGAAACCAACCAACAACAAAAATATCCCAGGAAGAAGACTGCTTCTTTTAGTAACAGCAGAAATACTTGAAATTGGCTGAAAATTAAGCAACAAAACACTGTCCTACGCAATGGAAAAATAAATACCTGTAGTTTTAAAAATAAAAAGCACTCCCTCTGTCAAGTTTTTCCAGCAATTTAGTACAACAAAACAAACCAGAAAACCAAACAAAACAACCCTCCAAATAAATAGCACGGCACCTTGCACTACATGGCTCTCACTCTGTCTACTATTGCTGCACGTGACTTAACAAGGCCAAAGTTCAGTTCCCTTGCTAAAGACCTTCCAGGTGGCCAGGCAGGATCAGATAAACTACCTGCCCTTTGCAAATTACCTAGGCACCCACTGCGCTCTGGACCAAAGAGAAAAGCCAGGGCCTGACCCGCATTCACATGTGGTCAAACCAAACAGCTTCACAGCTGTGTGATGGCCAGAGCTGCAGAAAGCCCTTCTTAGTCCCCAGATGGGGACACAAGTCAACAGGAAGCTGCTGCACCTGGCTAGCTCACCTGGAACAGCTCAACAGGGTCAGGAGGCTCTCAACACCAGCCCTCATATGTCAGCAGTCATCCCTCGCATTCAAATGAACTGGGATGGTGTGACTTCTCCCGCTCCCCTCTGTCCTGCCTCTTCTCTCTCTTCACCCAAGCAGGGTGGATCCCATTTACAGTTTATACTTCCTTCTTTATACTTCAACATGGATGTGAACAGTCTAATCCTTCATGTGATGCTTAAGAGGGTGTGCACTGTTAGCCAGGCCTGGTGGTACATGCCTATAGTCCCAGCTACTCGGGAGGCTGAGGCAGGAGAATGGCGTGAATCCAGGAGGCAGAGCATGCAGTGCAAGATTGCACCACTGCACTCCAGCCTGGGCGACTGCCACCACGCCTGGCTAATTTTTTTGTATTTTTAGTAGAGACGGGGTGTCACCGTGTTAGCCAGGATGGTCTCGATCTCCTGACCTCGTGATCCACCTGCCTTGGCCTCCCAAAGTGCTGAGATTACAGGTGTGAGCCACCGCGCCCGGCCAAAAAATTTTCTAAAAGGGGGGTGTGCACTGGAGTCAGAATGTTTGCATTCAAATACTTAGATATCATCTCTCTAAATCTTTCCCTTATTTTGTCTGGAAAATGAGTGAGATAACATTATATTTCTTGAGATGGCTGATGTGATGTAGATTAAATGAGATATTTACTGTGGATAATACAATAAGGTATTTCACAAAATGCCTGGCACACGGCACCCGCTCAACACAAGGAGCTTGGATGCATAGCAAGGTCGATAGATACCGAATTCTTATTTCCCAGCTGCTTCCAGATCTTCATCCAGTTATTCTGCAACACTGAACATTTAACTCACTATTCTAAGTAAATGAGACCTTATAAATGCCCACTCTTCTCTTCCTTTGGCACTGAACCAGAAGTCTCAATCTGGCTTTTAGCCTATTAGTCTATTTCCCTCTTTGGTTTAACCTGCCTCCCTGCATACGGATCCTATTGCTGTCCCTACTCCATGTCTTCTGATGGCAGCCCCACAGTGTCCCTAAAAGACACAGCCTCTTCCCTCACCAGGCAGGTTCCCAAGTCAGATGGGCTGTCAGAGCAGTTTCCTAATCCATGTGACTTGTATCCTGTTGAGTAGGACTGAAGCAGGGAAAGCAGACACAAATGGGGAAGTCTGGGCAGGATGCGTGGGTTCTCTGGTGCTCAAAGATCTTCAGGCTGGGTGAGCCAACTTCCGCTTTCTCCACTGTCTACTGCCCTGAGTTGCTGTTCAGGCAGGCATGGGGCTGAGGAGCTGGCAAGATTCACAACTGCGCCGTCATGACCACGGCGGAACTGGGGTAGACAAGTGAGGTGTAGAGGTCGATCACCAAAAAACCCTCTCAGGTTCATGCAAGGGCAGGGACCAACTAAGGGCACTTCTGCCTATGAGCTGTTGATGGAACTCAAGAGGTTTATTATTGCACTCACAATTCTTGTCTGCCTTGGGCAAGGCTGGGAAAACATGTCAGCACCTAAAGACAGTGCAATGCCTACCAATAAATCTCCCTCCTCAGGGTATCCACCTCAGCACAGCCAGCTCTAGCACAAGAAGCCATAAATCAGGCAGAGAGAAGAGATTCTTTCAAATGACAACCAACCTTCTCAACGCTGGAAATCGAGGACAGCACTAACTAGGACAGTATGTTTGTCACATCCTTCTTGAAACCTTGGGTTAGCAGCACAGGCTTCAGGTGATTCTCAAGGTCATTCACACTATGCCTTTGAGTGCTGAGGAGGTACTATAATGCTTTGCGATAGCAGGGTGGGGAGGAAACGACAGGTGCCCTCACATGAACACTGCTGTTAGGGCAATCTCGCCAACGGCTCCAGACAGGCAGGCAGACAGACAGACAGACAGACAGATGCACTCTCCCTGCCCCTTTCTCATGCACGTCAATCATCTGGGATGGAGGGCGACGTGAAGGGAGTGTTCCCACATGACTGCTGCGTCGCAGGCAGTGCCACCAACTGCTCTCTTGCTATTCCCCTGCTTTTCACACTTAGGAAGTTACACTGTAGAATTTGTATATGCGTCTCTTTAGTAATTTTCTAGAATTGAAGTTAAAACAAAAAATTTAAAGATTTCATACAAATATATATATGTACAAGTTATAGAGAATGAATCAAATCCAGGCACCCACCATCTGGCCTAGCAAACAGAACCTTCTGCAGCGATGGAGGCGGCCGGTACCTGAACTGTCTAACACGACAGGCACTAGTGGCTACTGAGGCCTGATTGTGGCTGCTGTGGCTGAGGCACTGAACTGTGAGTTAACTGTGTAAACAGCCCCTGGGGCTGGTGACTGGCACACTGGATGGTGCAGCTCGAGAAGCGGATGGATTCCACTGGTGCTGCCATGTGCTCCTCTACAGCCACATCTCTTCCCTACAGGCAGCCCGACTCTGACTTTCAGACTTATCATCCCTTACTTTTCAGGATAGTTTATATCGACATATACAGTTTAACTTATAAGTTTGTGAACGTTACCTAAGTGATGGCATATTGTAAAGATTCTCACGCTCTTGTTTTTTACTCAATAGCAGGCCTGACACTCAGGCATGCTGGGGTGTATCAGTGATTTCGTTTTCAATGCTGAGAAATTCCGTAGATTCCATAATCCCAGCTTTATTTATCTGCTCTCCTGTCAGTGGACACTGGGTCGCTTCCAGCATTTTTGCTTTAATAAACAATGCTGCTCATACATGTCTCCTGGAACACATGCCAACAGTCCTCTAAGAGCAGAACGGCTGGATTGTAGGGTATATGCCACATTGATTCTTACAGATATTGCAAAACAATTCTCCCAAGTGGCTATGCCACTTTACAGTCCCACTAGCAAGGTTGGGAGAGTCCTAGTTGCTCCATATTCCTCCCGGCACCTGGGGTTGCCAGACATGCAAACTTTCCCACATGGCCATGTCTAAGAAAGGACACAAAAGTCCTCCTTCACCTGGAAATGCCATATGCTGGTGTATTTTATTGTGATCTATCTAATCTGTGAGAGCAACTTCAAGTTCACCTGAACTTGAGAACAGAAAGCCTCAGACTCTTGCTCCATGTTACATTTACCCCAAGGTCAGAGACTCCCAGTGACTAATCTGCTAGTCATTCCTTCCAGAGGAAGGGTGGCTTATATGAGCTTACAAACAATTTCTGTATAAATTGACTGTGATGTTACCAACAGCAGCCACTTTCTTGGGCAACCATCGCAGGCTACAGATCTGGCTGTCGGATGAATGTCCTTCTCTACCGAGAGAGAAAGAGGATGGGCCGGAGGAGAGGATGTAGCCTGCTCACAGAATCATGTCTCAACAGAAAACCAAGCAGAGCAAAAAGACATCAAAGCCAACCCAATTTCTTCAAGTGGTCTGCCAGATGCCAATATTTCATTCTTAAATTTTTAACTTGCCCCTCGGCCAGGCTTAACAATGGTCTCTGCCTGTTGCTGACAAATGTGGCTATCAACTGGCCTTCTTTCTGTGTCATTTGTAGCAGCAGCTGGGTTCCCAACTTAGCAGTGGTTTCTGTCTCAACTTAATCTCTCACCAGGGATGGTGGGGAGTCTCTAAACATCAACCACACGGGATCACAAAGTCAAGGGCAAGGTGGACAACTTTGAGGCAGCCAATCTTGAGAAACGCTGTGGCTAATTCCTCATTCCCTGTCTTCTACTGGGCTCAGAAGTCGAGCACTGGGAAGGATTTAGAGATCACTTACTTAATAAACATTCCCCATTTTCCAAATGCATAAAAAGGACAAATGGAGTGGAGGCGTGATTGAGGACATTAGGAAAAGCTTTTTTAAAGATGAGGATTTCCAATTTTTTAAAAGTCTTTTCACTTGTCTAGGATTTTGTGGACCGCAAGGTAAAGATGGAGACAGAGGGCTATGGGCACAGGAGGCAGCAGAGCTGAAGTCTGTGGCTTTTTTTTTAAATCTATTTATTTATTTTATCTTGAGACCAGGTTACGAGACTGGCTAATTTTTGTATTTTTGGTAGAGACAGGGTTTCGCCATGTTGCCTAGGTTGGTCTCGAACTCCTGGGCTCAAGGGATCCTCCCATCTCAGCCTCCCAAAGTGCTGGGACTACAGGTGTGAGCCATCACGCCAGGCCTGTGTGTCTTTGTTTTAACTTCAGCTCGGCCACTAACCTGGGCAAACTTTTTACCCGAGCCTCCGGTTCCTCACCTAGAGGAAAGCCATAGCCACAGACCTAGCTCCTCCTCAGGTAATTGTGGAGATTAAATGTGACCCGTGTGTAAAGCATGTAGCCAAGGACCTGATATATAGCAAATACTTAATACATGGCAGCTATTATTGTCATGTGATAACCTCGTCAGGTCTCTGCCAACACTTAAAAAGGCAAAAGCTAAAAATAACCCCAGTCTAGTCGAGCCAAAAGCAACCTGGAGTTATATTTTTCTTTTTTTTTGATATGGAGTCTCGCTCTGTCGCCCAGGCTGGAGTGCAGTGGCGTGATCTCGGCTCACTGCAAGCTCCACCTCCTGGGTTCACGCCATTCTCCTGCCTCAGCCTCCTGAGTAGCTGGAACTACAGGCGCCCGCCACCACGCCCGGCTAATTTTTTGTATTTTCAGTAGAGACGGGGTTTCACCGTGTTAGCCAGGATGGTCTCGATCTCCTGACTCCGTGATCCGCCCGCCTCGGCCTCGCAAAGTGCTGGGATTACAGGCATGAGGCACTGCACCCGGCCTGGAGTTATATTTTTCTAACAACTTTAACATGGAAAGATCCTCTGTCTTACTTAATATACAACTATTCCTGTTAAAACAGAGGGAAAACAATATTTGAAGTTTTGCAATTCCAAAGACTCTTTTGTTATGAAAATCCATTCCTACTACCCAATTGTTCAGGAAGTCTACTGGATAACTATGACACTGCTAATGGGAATATTAAGCCTATCTTTTAAAAAATTTTCAAACAATCTCATTATAAAAATCCAAGCACTGTAAAAATATATAACGTAGACGGTAAACATTTCTCATAATTCCACACACAGCAGAAATATTTTTTCACTTTTTTTTTTTTTAAACAACAAGCCATTGTGGGCATTTTCCCATGTGAGTGCAGTTAATGGCTGCATGATGCTCTGCTGGACGGCAACCACAGTGTATTTATGCAGTCAGGCCCCCGAATGAATAGATTCTAACTTCTGCTCTTCAAACAATGCTGCGTTGATGAACACCCTCAAGCTGGCCTGTCTGCGCCCTTGTATGGTGAGACAGACTCCTAGGGATGGACGGCATGGGAAGCTGGATGCGACATAGTCAAACTGCCCCCCACTGAGCTGAATGCAGCCAGCACTGCCTGCCCCAGAGTGGGGCCCTGGATGGAGGCAGAAGGGGTGAGGAGGGATTCTGGGCCCTGGGGCCTTCTCGCCTATGCAGGAAACCAGGCTTCACCTTGGATTTGGGTTAAGATCTGACAGAACCACCCTTTTCATTTTACTTGCATAACTGGTAAGCATTACAAAGAGATTCAGAATCACAAAAGGCAACATTCAAATGGCCAATAAACATATAACAAGGTGCTCAATTTGTCATCAGGAAGCAGTACATTAAAACCACTGAGCTACCACCACAAACATGCCTGAATAGATAAAAAGAAAAAACAGGGAACACTATCGGTGTTGTGGATGAAGAGAAGGGGGACTCTCTACCCTGCTGACTGACAGCCACCCACTATGGCTGAACACATCCTTCCTCTCCAGCCCAATAACTCCACTCCAAAGAACGCCTGTGTGAGGTCACCATCAGACATGTACCAGAATATCACAGCAGTGCTCGGCGAATGCCTGTCGACAGCAGGACGGGTGAACCGTGGCACCGTCGCACAGTGGAATATCATGCAATCGACACCCATGACATGCATGGTTCTCACGAGTGTAGAGAGAAGCCAGATTCAAAAGAGTACATTTTATACGATTCCATTTATATAAATGCAAAAACAGACAAATTTAATCTATTATTTGGGGATTCAAGATAGTGGTTATGCTCGGGGAGTGGGGGGTGGTTAACTGGCAGGTGACATGAAGCAGTGGGCTTCTGAGGTGACGGTTATGGCCTGTTTCTTGATCTGGGGGTTGGTTGTACCAGTGTGTTCAACTTGCGAAAATCCTGCAAGCTATCTACATAAGGTATGTGTATATACTTCCTGATGTATAGTATATTCCAACAAAAAGGTGAAATAACCCAGATACAAAGGTCTAAGATTCTTCGGAAAAAGAGCCCACATGATTTTTATATGGGTCAGATTAACAACTGCAAAGTTCATTTACAACTTAAGGAAATTCCATTCCCTAAAACAAACAAATGTATTTACCCATGAATATTCCAGAATGAGTATCTTCCCTAAGAACTCTGAATTGACTATCTCAGGAAGAGCCTGTGAATATCTCAGGAAACTTTTGTCTCATCTTTTTAAAAATAATAAAAGATAACACCTACATAAATGTATACATTCTTAGGATCTTAAATCACCAGTAAATAAGCATTTTCCAATCTCTTCTCCCTTACTGTATGAAAAATTCTAGGAACTTAATATAAATACAATTGAATCTTATAATTTTTTATGTTTAACCAAGATTGAATCAATATACTTTTAATAATAGTATCTGTCTCATGAGGCTCGCCTAAGAATTAAAACCAAAACTCATTCAATGACTTTTTAGGCATCTCATCTGTGCCTTACATCAGCGGTGGGGCCCCACCCACCCGGCCTGCTCACACACTGCACCAGCCATTCTCTCCTCTCCCCACCACCAGGTTTCCTTCTGCTGTGTGTCACTTCACGTCTGCACATACACATGGTAGATCTCCCCCATCTTAAAGACCCGAGTCCTTAAGCCCACCTTCTCCTCCAGCTACTCCCACGTTTGTTTCTCTAAATAGCAAAACCACTTGAAAGACTTGCCTATATGTTGTCTACAGTTCCTTTCCTCTTATCCTTCATTTTCCCCCAACATTTTATTTTTTGAGACAGGGTCTTGCTCTGTTGCCCAGGCTGGAGTATAGTGGTGTGATCCCAGTTCACTGTAGCTATGACCTCTGGGGCTCACATGATCCTCCTGAGGAGCTGGGACTACAGGCATGCGCCACTATGCCTGGCTAATTTTTTGTTTTATTTTGTTTTTTTTTTTTTTGAGATGGAGTCTCACTCTGTCACCAAGGCTGGAGTGCAGTGGCACGATCTCGGCTCACTGCCTTCCTGGTTCAAGTGATTCTCCTGCCTCAGCCTCCTGAGTAGCTGGGATTACAAGCATGAATCACCATGCCTGGCTAATTTTTTTTTGTATTTTTAGTAGAGACAGGGTTTCACCATTTCGGCGAACCTGGTCTCAAACTCCTGACCTCAAGTGATCTGCCTGTCTCGGCCTCCCAAAGTGCTAGCCACCATGCCCAGCCCTGGCTAAGTTTTGTTCGTTTTGTAGAGATAGGGTCTCACTATGTTGCCTAGGCTGGTCTCGAGCTCCTGGGCTCAAGTGATCCTCTTGCCTCAGTCTCCCAAAGTGCTGAGATCACAGGTGTGAGCCTCCACGCCTGGTTCCAACGTTGTATTCTGGAAAAAAAAAATCAAATCTACTGATGTGCTGAAAGAATATTATGAAGCGAACGTCCACATACCCGTCACCTAGATTCGTCAACCGTTAACATTCTGCCATGCCCGCTTTCCAAAGTTATATTTTGGAAAAAAAAAAATCAAATCTATTGATGTGCTGAAAGAATACTATGAAGCGAACGTCCACATACCCTTCACCTAGATTCGTCAACCGTTAACATTTTGCCATGCTCGCTTTCCATCCCTTTTCTTTCTCTATCACAGAAACACACATGCAAATTTATTTTTCATCAAAGCAACTGAAAGTTGCACACGTTATAACACATCTCTAAATACTACCAGCTGTCTCTCTCCTAGGAACAAGGACATTCTCCTGCATAAATAACATAATAACATTATCATACCCAAGATATTTAACACTGACATAATATTTGCTCCATAAGCAAATTTCTCTTATCAGATTCTCTATAGCTTTTTTTTTTTTTTTTTAAATCCAAGATCCAATTAAGGAGCATACATTGCATCTGGTTGTCATGTCTCTCCAATTTCCCTTATCTAGTCTGGAGGCAGGAGGGACGGGACTGGCTTTTGGACGTTGACATATTTTGAAAAGTGCCTGCCAGTTGTCTTGGAGGAGGTCCCCCGTAAGTTGGATCTGCCTGTTCCCTGTCATGAGATTCGGGTAATACATGCTTGGTAAACACAGTTCCTGGGTGGTATGTGCTTTCTACTGTATTATTAATCAGTTATTGATAATGCTAAGTTCGATCACTTGGTTAAGGTGGTATCTGCCAAATTTCTCCACTGCAATGATATAGTTTCTCCTTTGTAACTAATAAGTAATCTGTACTGCAATTTGAGATTTTAAGCATCTTGTTCCCTAACAAATTTTCACTGAATAGTTTGGCATCCACTGATGATCCTTATGTGAATCTTTATTTTACTGGTGGTTACACATTGGTGATTATTAATTATTCCTCGATATTTATTGGCTGGCATTCCTTTATAAGTAATAGGCCCCCACCCTTTACTTTTTTTGGTATCACTATGGACCTGGGTGTTCATTTATTATTCAGTGTGTTATAATCCATTATAATCATGCCCTTTCATGTTCAAACTTCCAAACTTGGCCAGAGGGAACCTTTTTAGCCCATCTCCAGTGTTACTGAGGAGTCTCCATCAATCTTTGAATACTTCTTTGGTTTTTGATGCAAAAGAAGCTCCAGAATCACCCCGTACCTTCCCTACCCCATTTCTCCAGGAAATCAGCTTGGAATCTGCCATTTCTTTAATGTACCCTAGCTCCTTTTGGTGGGGAGTGGTATTTAGAAACCAAGATCGGGGCATTAGATGTGCTCATTGCCACTGGGATGTCACTGTTCTATGTCCTTTCAGTGGACACAGCTAGGAGAGAAATATGTACATGTATTTAATGTAAATATATATAATTAAATATGAGTGTGTATATATCTATATATTTTTAAATCATAAGTTAATACTGTTATTTCTTACTGCAAGCCAACACCACCAGGTTCTTCCTCCTTCCTTGATTCCATATTTGCAGCTCCCTTCCACAACAGTGAGAACCCTGGTTTCTAACATCATCAATCTATTCATTTGCCTTATCCTACAATAAACACAAAATTTCTTCAGAATTGCTACACGAATATCATTAACAACTACTAAAGGTAAAAGTTCAAGATTTCTTAGCAATTCTTTTAGTCCTTAGAATATATCCTGTGATGGGCATATAGCAAGTACTGTGTTCAAAAAGATATTCTAATTCTTTTTTCTGTGTGGGTTATATTATCATTTAATATACAGTTAGGTTTGTTTTTATTGATATTCAATTTCAGGATTTTTTCTGAATTTGTAAAATATTTATACAGTTCAAAAGTTAAAAAACTACATAACTTCTGTTTTATCCCTCATTTACACAGAAATAAGTAGTATATCCATCCTTATTTCCTCTTCTTACAAATACTGTATTAGACATCCACAGGAGCCTGAATTTGGCAGTTCAAGAGAAGTGAAGGAGCTAGGTGAAGGCTAGGGGTATATATTCGAGAGCTGTCGGCATATACACAGTATAGGAAGCTAGAAGACCAGTGGAGGCCCTCAGGGACATGTGTAGATAGAGAAGAGGGCCAGATGACTTCATTGTTGGGTGGTCTCATTACACAACACAAGCTCTTGGTGATTCCCTTGGACATTTGACAGGTGGCTCAAACACAAGTCTAAAACTGTATCTCTGAAGCTTCCTCCCAAACCTGCTTTGACCACATCTTGGTAAACAGGACATTTCACCCTTCCAGCAGCTCAGGTTAAAATCCTTGATTCTTCTCTTTTGCTTGAGTCCATCTGGCAATCCTTCGGCAAATCCTGTGAGTTCTACCTTAATGGTACATTCAGAATCCACCACTTCTCACCACCTGCACCACGGTCAGCCTGCCCAGTGCCATCTTTATTCCTCAAATGGACGACCGCGATGGCTTTCTAACTGTCCCCTGCTCCTTGCCCTCCCCATTCTCAACTCTGCAATCAGAGTAGTCCTTATAAGAGCTAAGTCTCGCTATGTCACCCTTCTGTTTGAAAACCTCTGATGGCATCTATTCTCCCTCAGAGAGGCCCTGTGTGATTTGCACCCAACCATGTGCCGCCCCAACCAACCCCCTCCCCACCTCTGAGAGTAAGCCCTCCATGGTAAGCCTGTTCTCCGATGTCCCCCAGATGGGGAGGCCTGACAAGTGCAAAGCCACTATGAGTGGTTGGGTAATGTTGGTCTAATCCTGGGACTCAATACTGGGAAGCTCACTGGGCTCTTAGAACAAGCTGCATCCTTCAAGCAAGGCTTTAGAAATCAAGGTGATATTTGGGTCCCCATCTATCTACCTTACTGTCTTCTTTTCCAACTTTCAGAATTCAGGGGACAGAGAAGGGTTCTACTTACTAGTCCTTTGAGACCCCAATGAGAGAATCAAATCTCATTCATTTTGGAATCTGGCACTTAGCCCAATAACTGACACATCATAAAATAAATAAGTGCTTGTTAGCAAACACGCAGATAAAAGAATCAATGAATTAACCCTGTAACAACCAACAGCTATGACATTCAGTCTACACCAGATGGTAATATCAGAGATGTAGATAAGATGGTTTATATGGATTTTTAATATAATTCTCTAAGTAGTTCTAGCACACGAGTCAGAGACAACTCATTCAGGAACTTTCTTTGGTGGGACGCTTCAGCCTGGGTTACTAGAACATCTGTTGTTCAAGCTACCTCCAGGGAATAGACAAGAAAGATTATACTGTTCACCCTCCTCCTCTAGGTTCTAACGGACTCTCTGGACCAGTACTATCCAATAGAAACATAGTGTGAACCACATATGTAATTAAAACAAAATTTTTTTTTTTTTGAGACAGAGTCTCACTTACTCTGTCCCCCAGACTGGAGTGCAGTGGCAAGATCTCAGCTCACTGCAACCTCCACTTCTTGGGTTCAAGTGATTCTTCTGCCTTAGCCTCCTGAGTAGCGGGGACTACAGGTGCCTGCTACCACGCCTGGCTAATTTTTGAATTTTTAGTAGAGACGGTTTCACCATGTTGGCCAGGCTGGTCTCGAACTCCTGACCTCAAGTTATCTGCCCACCTCAGCCTCCCTAAGTGCTGAGATTACAGGCAAGAGTCCCTGTGCCCAGTCTTAAAAATATTTTTTAATTGACCCAATTTATCTAAAGTATTATTACAACATGTAATATAAAAACGATTAATGAGCTATTTACCTTCTTTTTCTTTCATATTAATCTGCTGTGGATTTTATACTTCAGCACATCTCAGATGGCACTGGCCACATTTCCAGTGCTGCTGGACTAGACGCACAGCCTGGGCCCTCACCTCCTGTGATGGGACGGCTGGGACATGAAGCAAAGAGCCTTGGCCTGGTTGGATCTGCCTGCTTCAGGGTGGAGTGCTGAGGTCTTGAAGGTGGCACTTCCTGCTCGCCTTCAAAGCATTCTTTTTTTTGGAGACAGAGTCTCACTCTGTCACCCAGGCGGAGTGCAGTGGCACGAACTCGGCTCACTGCCATCTCCATCTCACGGGTTCAAGTGATTCTCCTGCCTTGGCCTCCCTAGTAGCTGGGATTACAGGTGCCTGCCACCACGCCTGGCTAAGTTTTGTATTTTTAGTAGAGATGGGGTTTCACCATGTTGGTCAGGCTGGTATCAAACTCCTGACCTCCAGTGATCTGCCTGCCTCGGCCTCCCCAAAGTGCTGGGATTACAGGTGTGAGCCACTGCGCCCAGCCAAGGCATTCTTATTACCACTCAACAGATGAGGAGACCGAGTCACAGGCGGCTTCCTGCTCGCCTTAGGCAGGGCTCAGGGCAGCACTGGAGTCCCAGACTATGGAGCCCTCCCACACCCTCTTCCTACACGGAGGTACTGCCCATTTCCTCCTCCACAGTACCTGGTACAGGGACAGAGGTGGCTGGGTGATGGCCTCAAGAAATGTCACTGTGCAAGGTCTGGTGATGGAATGCATGGAAAAAGAGGCAGTCTTCTATTGTTTCAAGAGAAGAAATCTCTACCATCACAGCTTCCCAACATTCCAGACTGATTTTCTCTGAAGGTAGGGACCACAGTCATTCAAAGGGGAACTGCCACCATGTCCTATGGCTATGACATGGGGCAAACAGAAGTGGCACTCATCTCTACACGTGGCCTAGGGCAGCCTATCCACGTATTCCCGTCCCACCCACGTCTCAGATGGAAGGGAAAGGCCGTCATCTTGTGTGATGCTGAGTCAGCTGGCCTCCCTGGGGCTTGCTTTTCTCTGCTGTAAAATGGGAGTAGTGATCTTTACCTCACTGGGCCGTTGGGAGGATGTCATACAGTACTGCACATACAGTGAGTCACTAAGCCCAGTCCTGGCACTTAGTTAACATTCATAAATGTCATCTGTGGCCACCAGACCGTTCAAAAATATACTCCTTTTTGGGATAAATGCCACCATCTTCAGTGGACAGCTGTTATTTCTTAACACAACTGGCTTTAAAAATAGAGAAAAATTCTAATAACTTAAGCATCTCCTAGGATTTAAACAGAACCCACAGCCCTCGTCAGGTAAACTTTTCCGCGTGAACAAAGCATGGAGATGATGTCCAGGGAGCCCCTCCCTTACCTGCCAGAGACGTGAAGAGAATTCCCAGACTCGCTCCTCTTATAAACCACAGATGCTGCTTGAGGGGATGGAAGGGACGCCTCTGAGACTCAGAGCGGCTTCCCTCCCGGAGCCCAATCAAGTGGTTAAATCAGCAGCGGCTGTTTTTAAACTTCCTCTCAGAAATTTTTAAATTAGATATTAAAATTTAGATTTTTAAAAAACTTACAATTTAAGAAATCCCCTTAGAAGCCAGGAGTGGGGCTTCTAATATGTGGGGAGCTCTTGGCATATGCCTGGTCCTCATGCTAACATCAGAGGGGAGGTATTCTTATTACCACTAAACAGATGACGAGACCGAGTCACACGGTAGTCATGGACCTTGGCCAAGGTCACAGGGTTAAGTTTAAACCTCCCCTCCCCTCCCATTTTCACAGACAAGGTGACTGCAGCCCTAGCCGGTGTCCTGAACCACTCAAGGCGGCCTGTCCCCACGGTGGCCTACTCCCAGGGAAGCGTTTCTTTTCCATTACTGTTAGGCATTGATCTAGAGATGAAAACCACAGACTTCATAGGCTTCCTGAGATGTGAATTAGTCATTTCTCAGCTTTATTTTCAGAGGCAAAATGAAAAAAAGAGTGATGGTAAAATAACAGTTTATTCTGAGTAAACCACAGAGCAGAGGCCAGGGTACATCTCATCATCTGGAGGCAGAGCCCTCCCCCGGCCTTTGTCTTTTAGGTGGAGTTGTTTGGGGCAGCCTCCGTGGCTCAGAGGAACCTGCCTGTTAGGATGGCTGCCAGCCTAGGAGGGGCAGGTGGAGGCAGCATGCCATCTCAGCACTCCAACAGTGCTCTGCCGGGGCCGCAGCCTCCTGCTCTCCAGTGCAGTGCCACCAGCAAAGCAGCCAGTCTGGGGGCAGGAAGGCCTGTCTAGCTGGGGCTGGGTCGTGGTGATGGAGCCCCATGGGCCTGCAGGCAGGAGGTGGCAGCAGACGGCCCCCACCTCTGCTGCGCTAGCCCTGCTCAGAGACTCTGAGAACTCACAGTTTGACAGGCCACCCTCTGGGCCTCCAGAGGAAAAACAGCATTTTCATTCGTCAGTAAGCATACATTCATGTATTTATCTCCCAGACAACAGGGGAAGGAGCTGGCAGCCACAATCCCTAGCAGCTTGGGACACTGCAGAAGGAGCTCATGGGCAGAGAAAGAAGACAGTGAAGGGACAGGAGTCACCTCAAAAGTCCTTCCCTGTCACCTTAGGGAAGCAGGCTGCACTGCACAGTGCAGGTCAGACACTGCGTGGCATCCTCACTCATCCACCCCTTCACTCCATAAACATTTACACGCAAAGCACTTGCAAGGTGCTGGGGTCAGGAGGAGGCCCAGTTTACCACCCAGGCCCCCCTGCCCCTGAACGAGGGCAGTTCAGGCTCCTTCCTCCGAACTGGAGGAGAAAGCGTCAACTCGCCTCCCTCAGCCCTTTCTCCTCCTCATGTTCTGACATGACACCCAAGCATGCAGAGGGCTGGGATAGAAGAGCCCACCCTGGTGCTACTGATACCAGCTGACTCTTACTTCAGAGTTACTGGCCTAACCCCCACGGGAGGCTCCTGAGGGCCCTTGAGGTTCTGGGAAAATCAGAAGTCCTCCTGGTTTAAGCACAGACAGAATTTCATTGGGTTAGAGCCTAAAATTCAATCCACTTCATTTCCAGTCAAATGTATTGGCCCCCACTATGTACAGGGAGTTGTATCAGGTGCTGAGTAACACAAGGCCCTGCCCACGTGGAGCTGGCAGCGATGACAATGGCTACACAGCAATGACTAGGACCACTTCTTGTGCAGTGAGCACCCAGCACCACCGCAGGCACTCAACAGGCCTCATCTCACTGAAGCCTCGAAGTGACCCTCCAATACAGGTACCACTGTCTTCATGCCACAGACAGGGAGAGTGAGGCCGAGGAGTAAGTGACAGACCCTGGATTTGAATCAGTTCTGCTTCACACACCAGCCACACGGTCTCCTAATTTAGTAGAGAGAGGAGTAAGTACCCTAAGGATTGTTCAAACAAAGCAGAATTCAAGTTCAGAGGAAGGAGGGCTCACGTCTGCTCTTGGCCCTAGAGGACTTTTCTTATTTCCTCTGGGTCAGTGTTCCACTTAAGTCAGCACCCACTCAGCGTGGGACACTGGGCTTGGCTAGGATCACCACCATCCTGTCCCCACCCTCGCTTCTGACGCAGATGCCACAATCTTGGTGTAGGCTCCTCTTCCCCCTTTTGAAGCCAAAGACTAGCAAATAAGCTGTTTATTAAGTGTGTTCACAACCTTGATCACCAGGGGAGTAAGTCACTGTAAGAGGAGAAGAAAAGACTTCCAGGCCAGGACTGCTTGTAAAAGTGAATTACACCCTTCTGGAAAAGCCCAGGACCAAGATGGCTGGTTCATAGCAGACGCACATCAAAGACCTCCCGGCTGTGCTAGCACCTGGGCTAAAAATACTCTCAGCGCAAAACCTCGGGACAGTCTCCCGGCCTCAAGGAAGAGGCCAAAGTTATACACTGGCTCTCTCGACTTGGGAGGTGGGATTATGGGTGCAACCAAGACACTATTTTTAAACAACCCCAAAAATAATGGGTTGGGGAAGAACATATATTTCAGTGATGCCTGGAATTGCCAACATTTGGCAAGAAAGCGGAGAAGGGGATCTTCCTAAGTCAGAAAGTCCTCCCTTTCTCACTGCCTTTATGCCTTAGCAGTCTGTGATCAGTTACAAAACTCGCCATACTGATTAAAGAGGCTCCTCAACCAAGTGTTTTGAAAAGACAGCCATCCCCCTTCCCTGGATCTTGAACTCAGCCAAATAGCATTCCTCTAACTCCCTCCAAATTACCTCTCTCATTTAACACTCTCTAAACCCCACACTGTCCGGGGAATGCCCCTAGGAAAAACCAGGGGCAACCCAACTTCAAAAACTCAGTTGCTTTACTCTAGAATCCTCAGAGCAGGAAATAGTGATCGTTTTTCAAGAGGGAATCTCATTTTTCATTGCTCTCCCTCAGCAGCTGTATCCTCTAAGTCTCCTGGAATTGAAGTTCTATTTTAAAGGCCCAAATCCTCCACAGGAGGCAGCCTCCTGCCGTCTGTCTGAAGGCCTACATCTCAGCCCGCCAGGGAGGAGGCACGGGCCACACGGTGGAGAGGCAAAGCAGAGATCGGTCTTTTCCAAGTCAGTTGTTGGAATCAGAACACACCTTCCCCTTGAAACAAAGTTAAAAACCAAGTCCCAGTTCTGGGCCCGCCCACAAAACTGGGGTTGCAATGTGGCTGAGCGCCTCCAACCAGCCCAACAACGTGGGGCCTTTGCTGCCACAGAGGTTCTGGGGGCACTGGAATGCAGGCTCTGCACTCAGGTGGTCTATAAGCTGACAAGAAAGTCAAGCCTCCAACCCAGGGCTATGGCACACTGTGAGGTGAGTCAAATGCTGAGGACATGTGGGGGTCACTTTGTGAGAGATGCAGGAAAAGTTCATGAATGGAGGCCCTGGAACCGAGACTGGCAGACGGTGCAGGATCTGGCTGTGGAAAGTGCAGGGCAGTTGAGCTGGGGGAGAACAGGTGCCCTGGAGAGTTGTGGGAACTGGTCCTGGCCACTTGAGGGGTGGATTTGTGGATTACTCCCAATGTTGATGTTTACGATGCACAACCAACCCATTTAGCACTTCCCAAAATCAATGTCATAGATGAAAACATGAAACAGAAAATCTCAGAGGCCATGCATGTATTAAGGCTAATATCGTTTCACGAAACTTAATCACAACCAACTTGAAACATGTGAAGACCCTTCTCCCTGGAGTGTGGAGTGGAGAAACCCCCTCACTGGGCCAATAGGTGCTGCTGTAGGTTAGGGGTCATGTATGGTGGTGAAGACCGCAAACCTAGCCCATAGCCAAAAGTTGCCAAGACACTGGTTAGCTTCCCCTCCTGAGCCTGGAACTAAGGACCAAGCACAGGTGCAAAGGCACAGGTGGGCATTTCAGAGAGGGAGAAGTAGCTAAGGCAGAGGCTAATAAGCTTTTTGACCCCGGTAAGAAACGTATTTTATATTACAACCAAGTACACAAAATATGTCAAAAATCTAAAGATTTAAATTCTATTTTACTTTTTCACTACTTGCTATTTCACTGAATCAATTTTAGGACAACATTGTGTCTTCATCCTTCGTTCAGCTGAAAAGGGACTGGGCATCAGATGACGGCATCAGTGTCACATGGGAGGGGGTCTGGATGCCAGCTCTTTAGCCCTGGTGCAAACCTAAGAATCTGATGAACTGGGGTCTCTGGGGAAGGGACCCAGGACACTGGGCTTCAACAGGTGGCCCTGCAGTGCTGGAGTGTGAGAAG